>NC_000003.12:55161515-55464545 GCF_000001405.40 Homo sapiens
ATAAAACAGATGAACAAGCACCTCTGCCTCTCAGGGTTGCTTGTGAAGACTAAATGAGACAATGTCCTATCAAGCACTTGTCAGAGTCTCTCACATGTAATTAACACTCCGTACGTGGAAGCTGTGATTACTTCTCATATTTAGGATGTGGGGGTATGTACAGGGCATTGTCTACTTTATAAATGTCTCTTCTTCCAAAATGGAACTGGACAAAGTCAAGACAGAAAACAGTTTCAGATATCCATTCAAAGCAAGGATAGGTACTTAGCACTGAAGCAAAATCTTTGCTGAGATATCTATAGGAATTGGTAAATGTAAATCATTCAGGGGGTCTTTTTAAAACGTGGCCTGAGTTTATCCCCTTTTGGGTCAAAGACAGATGTCAGAAAGCTTCTTCTTTACCCAGCTTTGCAACCTCCCATCTGCCTTCAATTAGGCAAGCGGTCAGCCTCTCCACATTTAGGGTACACCAAGGCAAGGCCCTGAGTTACACTCTTGTCGCAAACCCACTAGGAATGACTTCACAGCTGGACACGGTTTGTCCCACAGAAATTCCAGACACAACATTGCCCAAAGCATTTAGGCCTTGCAGACCACGACATTATATTTTAACATGTCACTCATAATCCTGATTCTTCCTCTCTCCCTATCTGGAAACTCACGTTTGCCTCTCAGATTGCATCCTCTATGCTTTGAAAACACTGAGTGATAACCACACTGACTCATCTGTTCTGAGAGGAGGCTTGCTCTGGCCAGGCCAATTTGAACTCTGAGCCACAGGCCCTGACTTCTGAACCTTCTCTAATGAGTCTGTTTTGTGCCTTACATATTTTTACCCAAAGATAAGATCTGTTCTCATTTTCTCTAGATCTATTTATGCATCCCTAATAAGCAAGTTGTTATAAAAAAGCAAGTTTAGATGTAGTCTAAACACTTGAATGTGTAGCAGCTGCAAGATTACCTGTTTGAAGTCTGTTGATGAGACTTCTCCCAGGGAGGACATAGCAAAGGGAAAGGCATTCAAATCATGAGAAGAACATAGAGGTGGGGTTTTTGGTTTTAGTTTTGGTTTTATTCCAAGCCAAAAGACTAAGCTCAGAGAGCATAATATCTCCATTCCTCAAGGTCATGGCCAGGCCCAGATGTTTTTTGCTTTGTCCAACATTTGTAGGCTCCTCATTTCTGGCAGTAGGTGCATACAGTATAGACTTGACTTCCTTTGAATTTCCTGCCATTAATAAGGCCCAGGGTCAATATAAAATATGTATTGAATATCTAGTCACATTTTTTCAGGCAGCATTAAAATTCTTCTCTATGGAACATAATGTTTGATGTACTTGGAAAAGGCTACTTTGTTTTATAATATGTACCTCTGAGGAAGTCAAATATTTTTATTCCTTGATTCCTTCCCTCCCTCCCTTCCTTCCTTTCTTCCTTCCTTCCTTCCTTCCTTCCTTCTTTCCTTCTACTCTTCTATCCTTTCATCTATTCATTCATTTCTCCATTAACACATTTTTTCACATTTATGTCAAGTATCTACTGTGGGCCAAGCAGTGAGCTAAGTATTAGAGATAAAAATAAATCGAACATCCAACTTGATTTTTAATCTTGTAGGGGAGAGAAAGTTAAACTGGGAAAATGATGTAACCAAAGTATAAGTAAAGTTCACTGGGAGAGTCAATAAAGTTCACTGGGAGACCCATGGGGGAAGAATTTGCTTCTAGAATAATTAGAGCTGGGCTTGAAACTGGCTCTCTCCCTAACTAGCTGTGTAACCTTGGGCTTTACTTAACTCCTGTGAGCCTTGGTTTCCTCATCTTAAAATGGGGATTATAGTAGAATCTATTTCATTGGATTGTAGTGAGGATTCAGTGAATGAATGAGGTAATCATAAAAAGGGTTCAGTGCAGTACTTGACTTCTCTATGATTAGAATTAGTGATCCTGTCTAGGAAAACCTTACAGAAGAGGTAACATTGGTCTTAATCCTGAAGAATGAGTAGGGACTTGAAAAGGGGGAAGAACATTGCAAGTAGAGGGAAAACCATGTCTAGGCCTGGAGTCATGCATATGTGTGACGTGTTAGGCAGCAGATGGTCAGTGTGGTCAGACAGAGGGGATGTGTGGGATGGGAGTTGAGACTGGACAAGTAGGACAGCTGGAAAAGGACTATGTATTCGATGGTGAACTACATGCTTCAGACAGGAAACAATGGAACGTAGCATGGTAGTTCTCACTCCAGAAACCAGAGACTGAATCCTGGAAGGAGAGAGACGGATAAGAAGCAGTTTCTTAGCTGTCCATCGGCCTCCTAAGGTTCGCATAGAGCTTTCAGCTCTGTTGTCCATCCAGTAACCCTAAGATATTTTCCAGTTTAGGCTAAGGTATTTGGCAAAAGATTCGGGAGACCTCCTGCCTTCCTCTTCTTCTGCCACTGGCACACCCTCATGGTCCACTCTGATGGTGAAGGGCTGGGAAGTGGGAATTCTTGGGTCTCCTCATTCATCATCATGGCTGAGTCTAATGGGATAATGGTTGAACAAGAGGGTCTTCAAGGTTACCCCCAGTTCTGAGTCATGATTCCAAGTTACAGGGATTCACTTAACCTCATAAGATAAGTAATGGGCCCAAGGTCATACAGCCAGGGAGTATGACCAGCAGAACCAGGATTTGAGCCTAAGCTGCCTAGCTCTAGACTCTGTACTCTTAGTTTTTGCCTTACACTGTCTCTATTCTGTGCTCAACCATTTTGCCCAGGCCAATGATCACATTTCCCTACTTTCTGTTGTTCTCAAGTTTAGACTTAGAATTTAACTTGGGAGCAAGTGGGTTTTGTGGTCTGTTTAATTAAAATTCTAGAACACAGAGTTCTCAGCAGAGGTCTTGCTCTGGAAAGCATCCTGGGGGCTGGACCTTAAGCAAGGCATGGGAACACTTGCAACAAATTTTTCCCTGTACTGGCTGGCCTTTAGGAATGGGGCTCCTGGAGAGGAACTTGATTGGCCTCACTGCTCCTCTTGCCACATGTGGGGTGGCCAGATTCCATTATTTTGCAGCACAGGTGAGGATGAGGAAGTGTGCATGTGTGTGTATGTCTTGTGTTGTGTTTGGAGGATTGTCCATAATGGAAGTGCATAAACATCAATCAAGGCTTCTTTTTCTTTTTGGGTGTTCAAAGTGTGGAGGTGATATATCCTGTTCTAAATTGTGAATGGTATTTTCAAATACTTTAAAACAACGCTTATTATCAAAGGGCAGAAGAGATGTGCTTAAAGGTAATAACACCTTATTGGCTTAGAGGCACCTTGCTGGCTTTAAAATGCTTTCTTGGCCTGGAGTGTAAATGTTATTGGCTTTGAACTCACTCCCAAATTATACAAAGGTTTTGTCCCTCTCTTGACTGCCAAATGTTTGAGCCCCACTTCAGCAGTGTCTTGCTGAGAGGCCACACTGCCATAGGCCCTCAGACAGCTGTAAAATCTGACAGCCTGAGTGAGGGAATCCAAATCTGTTTCTTATTGAGTAGCCAAGATGGCTGGGTAACACCACAGCCAGCTGTAGATCACTTTTATGGACAGCAAGGGATGTGTCATCTCAGTAGCATCTGCACAAAGTATCTTCTTGGATGATTCCAGGCTGAGGAAGGGCCAGGTGTGGCTGTACATTTTTGTAAAACCCCTCACATGTGAACAAAGTCCACTGCTCAGCACATCCTGCGCTTTTCCAGCATCTCTTAGATAGTGAATTTGGTACCTCTTGATCATTGAAATTCAGGAATCAACTTAAAAGGTAACTTTCTGGTGCTAAAGCACATCTCTCTCCTTCTAATGCCGAATTCACTTCATTATCCAAGCCCTTTGGTCTCTGACTTACAGTAAATAATTATCCACAGCTGTTGCAAGTTGGTTTATCCTCCAATAAAGGTCAGGATGACTGACTAGACATCAGAGGAAAAACTTCTAAAATTTGGTGTTTAGACTAACTTACATCTATGTTTATCTCTTTTGTGTTTGTTGTAACTAAATAGGCGAGTGCGGTTTGTGGTTAAAGCATGACCAGGCAACCTGGATGTCATGGTTTTCTCTCTAGTTCTTTAATTTTGATGCATGTGGAATTCTCTCCTCCTTTGATGCCTCAATTTCCCCAGCTGTCACACATAGATCAGCATTCAAGGGTTCCTCTCATAGACTTCCTCGGGGGTGATGGGGAGAGTAATGGGGATCTGCTTGTCCATACTCTAAAAAACCAAATTCTAGAAACCAATTCTCTTTATAAGACCCAGGGAAGGCCAATCCACCTCCATTGCTTGACAGACTTCACCTAAAGCTGAAATAGTCACAAACTAAAGTTTGCTGGACCATGCAATGAAGCTGCAAGTACTCCCCAGGGGAGTTTACCTTCAACACCAGGAGGCCAAAGAAACAAAAAGGCCCCATGTCCCAGCAGGAAATGGGACACACTGGTGCATTTCCATTCACCAGGAAAACTAGAAGGAGAGGGAAACTTCTGCCACGCACATTTCCAGATGGGATTTGTGGGCTTGGCTCATGGTGGGGCCCACACAAGCTCTCCAGCTGTGTCCTGGGATCTCTAGGAAGAGGCCTAACAGCAGGATGAGGCAGGAGACGTACTTCCAGGGATAAAAATTTATTAGGATAAAACCTAATGCAAACACAATTTTCTCTGGAAACACCAACAAGAGGAGCAAAAGAATAAGCAAAGATGATTCCAAAGAAAATGAAAGCGATTGCGATTAATGGTTGGGGAGGAAGGGAGGAAACTACAGGCCAAGAACAAAGAACAAGAAACCTCTGAAGCTTGCTACAAAGGGAGCTCTTGACCCCCTAGTTGAAGTCATTATTATTTCATGCCTACTAGGGCTGCCAAACGGGCCTCTCTGAACTTGAGCTCTGCTTTTTTGAATAATACACTCCCATCATCATGTTGATTAGAGTACAGGCTAGGAGCATGGTATAAGGTAGAACCTTTTGGGATCAGACAGACCTGGAGCTGTATGAGTTATTTAACCTCACTGTGCCACAATTTCCTTGTCTGTACAATGGGGATATGATACTACCTGCCTTAAATGCAATCATGCTTGTGAGGTACCTAACACACTTATCCCTCAATAAACGATATTATTACTTCTCTTAGCACTATACTTCTTTCACACCACTTCCCTGCTTAAAACCCTTTCATGACTCCTCATAGCCCATGGCATGCATAAAGGGTGAGCAATTTTTTTACAGTCAATGGCTCCACCTTGCTTTCTGGACCAGAGCTGTCCAATAGAACTCTCCACAACAATGGAAATGTTTTCTATCTGTGCTTTCCACTCTGGCAGCTATCAAGTCCAGGTAGCTATAAAAAGCAGATAATATAATTGACGAACAGATATTTCAATTGTATTGAATTTTAATTCATTGAAATTTAAATAGCCACGTGTGGTAAGGGGCTATTATATTGGACAGCACAAGTCTTAGACTTTTATATCTGCTTCAGAAAGCCTCCACTCTAGCCAAATGGAGTTTTTCACTTCTTGTTTTTTTGCCTCTGAGTCTTCATGCCTGCAGAGTGCTGCATATGGCTGAGTGGTTTGTGCACTGGAAAAAAAAGAAAAAAGAAAAAAAGAGTGGTGAGGGTGGCCCAGAGAGCCAGAAAGTGGAAGCTGAAATTAAGCCAGCTCTTGCAGGAAGGACAAGGCATTTTTTTTCTAATTCACCCACCCAGAAGGGAACCTTGCTCTAAGGTGCCTTTAGGTTGGCAGTGTGCCACTGCACCACTCCTCCTTCTTATCCCCTCTCTGGATGAAGCCAGCTTGCCTTTTGGGACTAGCCCAAACTCCTGCTTGCTTACAAAGCTTCTCCTTCCTCTGACCTTCCAGAACTTTCTTTCCTCTGTGAGACGTGGCAGAGGCCAGTAGTTAAGAGTTCAGTATGTGAAGCCACGTGCCTAGCTGGAATCCCAGCTCTCTCACTTACTTGGTGTGTAACCTTGGACACCTTTCATCTCTCTAAGCCTCAGTGCTCTCAACTATAAAATGGGAATGACAACAATAGTGTTTCTCTCATAGAAAGGAACTAAAGAGTTCTAATAAGTACATGAAAATATGGTTAGGTTCATAGCATGGTGTCTGGCACAAAGTGAGCATGGATTGCATGTTTATATACTCATTCTTTCTTTCAATAAATATTTACTGAGCATCTACCATATGCCAGATGCTTTGTCAAGCTCTGGAGATCCAATAGTGACTAAACATGGATAAGATCCCTCTCTATCTGGAGGTGTATCTTAAATGATGACTCAAACTGCAGAGCTGCAGCTGGGACAAGGCCAAAGGGAAGATCCTTAGTGCTATGAGAGCCTGTTGTAGGTTTTATCTGACACAAGGAGTTCAAAGAAGGCTTTGCTGAGGATGGCATGTTTGAAGTGAGAAAGGAAGGAAGATAAATAGGTGTTGAGTAATTGAAGAGAAGAGAAAAGGGTGTTTCAGACAGAGGGAACAGCATATGAAAAGGCCTTTGCTTGGTGGGGCTGGAAATTTCCCAAAAGGAAAGCAACAGAAAGAATTGGACGGGGCATGGCATAAGACCAGGGTATAGCGGTTGGAGGAACGCCCCAGGCAGAATCTTGTAGGCATGCAAGAAAGAGCAGAGGAATGACATGGTCTGCGTTGCTTCTCCACAAAATCTCTCTAGTTTCAGTGTGAAGAATCAATCTGACAGTAGACAGGGTGGAAGCAGATCTGGAAGTCACTGCAGCTCTCCAGGCAAAAGATGATGGTGGAGGAAAAAAAATAAGTCTGGATTTGAAAGTAATATGTTCCTCTCATCCAAGAATTAATGACATGCTAGCTTTTGATGGCTAACACAGTTTTGTATTTCTATTTATTCAAGTATCTTATCACCATCTGAAATGCCCTGCCCTGGTGCCCCAATTAGAGAATAAGATCACTGTAGGCAAGGGTTGTTTTCATGTTTCTTTGTAAAACTTGCATAAACAAAGCAGACCATGCTGTTCCTCTTCTCTTTCTTCCGTGCCTACACCCTGCTTATAGTAACTGCAAAAGGAATAATTGCTAACCCATTTTCTAAATTTCATGAACCAGTGAGAAGGACAATAGTATGAATGGATGAAGACATGACAGATTGTGAAGTACATAATAATGGAAACCTCTTTTTCTCTTTGTTGCCAGGGAAACCAGCGCAAAAACTAATAAGGGGAAAGAAAAAGACTCACAGCATCACTAGAAAAGGAGGAAAACTTCTTTTCCAGGTGGGCAAATCTTACCTGAGGGAGGTGAGCAAAGCAAGCATAACAGTACTCACCTCCCAGGGGTGTGTATACATACAATGAAAGACAGGATCTAACACTAATCTTCATGCATGTATTCTACATGCAAAAGTTGCTATTATTGTTGATAGAAACAACACAAAATAACTAACTGAGCTTTCTTCCTTATTCTCTTCTCAACTTCAGACTTTCACCTTAGCTTTTTGTTTTCAGGAGAGAGCAACAAAAATTCCAACATAAGGTAACCAGAAGGAAATTGCTCTGTCAAACAACAAGAGTGAAATCTGGTCCAGCATCCTGGTCTTCTCCAGGAATGTCCAGGAGCTCAACTATGTCATCAAGAATAAGATTGTTTTCTGCTCTCTGTTTTACACAGGACTAGGCTCAAATCCAAAATGATTCCCCTCAAGGTCATAAGGTAAATGGGGCAGCCCAGGCAGGATCTTGGCATGGAAGGGAAAAGCCCTAGAGCAGAAATAGGGTGACATCCCTTGTCTTTCCCCAGAGAAAAAAAAATGAAAAACTTCTTCCCATGCCATGGACTTAAAACTCATCCCCTTTAATCTGATTGGGCCAACAGAGGTCACATTGCATCTTCCCAGACCAATCATAGTCTCCATGAAAAAATGCCATGTTCTGATTAGCTTAGACTAAGAGTTACCACTGGGATTGAGGATACAGAGGTTTCCTGAACAAAATTGGGTGCATTCAGAAGTAGAAAAGGTAATCAAGTATGCCCTTATAGTAGTGAGCTACTTTCTAGAAAAATGAGATGCCTTATAACTGACCCAAGTTCCACTTCCTTCATCCATCCATTCACTCACTCACTCAGGGAATATTTATTGGGTGCTGACTCTGTGCCAGGGACCAGGCGAGCTTATTCAGGCACCTCAAGAATTTTTCAAATACCTCTGCACATATTTTTCATTCACTGGCCACATATGGAGGCAAGTAGCCATATAAATAGACAGATGTATTCATGTGGCACATTTTCAAAAATCCATGCTCCTAACACTCAGTTCTCACATTCAGATCTTCATAAATCTGGATTCCACTGGGACCAGGTCACGATATCATTTTGGGCCACTGTCAAGGAGGATTTACGATGGTTGTTTGCATGACCCAACCATATGCTGTGGCTGGGGAAATACTCTGGTTAGCCTGCTTTGACGTATGTATTGATGACAAAGAAAGTTACACCACACCACAGGAAAAAAACAACATGAAAACACTCCCAAATCTGTCCGTAAGCTCCCTGTAGAAATAATGACCTTCCTGGTAAAATCAAGAGATGATTAAAAGTAATTAATGGATACTTCTCAAAAAAGACATAACAATCAGAGGATCTGGAAGCCAGCTGTTGTAACATTTCTTGAGAACAAGGTGCATTTTATTGGCTTCATGAAATGCATGCCTTCGGCCCCACAGCAGAAGGCCAGGAAACGCAGATCTGACCCAGGGATAATGCCAGTTTTCTGTTCTTATATCCTTTCAGCACAGAGCTCAAGTCTTAGAAAACAAGGGGCAATTTTCTGAACTGACTTGATGTTTTCTTGTGTGTGACCTGACAAATGTGAGTGCCTTACTTGATGATCTGAGGGAACAGGCCCCTTATCTTCACAGACAGAGCAATCACTCAATTCTAGAAGGAAGCCAGGGAAAGAAGGAAGACAACAATCCATTGAGCCTTGGTTTCCTCATCTGTAAAGTAGAATACTACTATCTATACTGCACAGGTAGATATGAAGATTAAATAAAATACTGAACATACAGAATATTAGCAAGGGCAGGGAGTGGGGAGAGGGGTTGATCACAAAGCAGCAGCTTGAGGGAAGTTTTTTGAGTGATGAAACTATTCTCTATTGTGGTAATGGGGGTGGTTATATAGCTGCATGCATTGTCAGAGATCATAGATGTCTACATTGAAAAGAGTGAATTTTAATTTATACAAGTGAAAAAGTAAATAAGATGCCCTAACACGTACTTTTAAATTAATAAATCCCTAATGGAAAGCTAAGTGTTCATAATTTAAAAAAAATTACAGTGCCTAGCTTCAAAGATGTAATAGTTTTGGGGGACAGATGTATAAAACGTCAGCTTTCTCACCATTTCCATGAAAGGTCTCTTCATATACACTCAGCTCTCTTGACTGCAGACTTGTCTTGCTCCTGCTCCCAGGCTGTACAGATTTGCCTTGTCCCCTCCTCACATGCTGTTCCCATTGCCTGGCACAATTGTCTCTGCTATCCCCTTCATTTGGTTAGTCCTGACTTGCTTCTTATATCTCAGTTTAGCCACTTCCTCTTGGAAGCCTTCCTGGAGACCTCCTCCCCAGGCTCAGGTTCCTGCCTCTTTTCTGTGCTCCTCAGCACCTCCCACCTGGGACTCTGCTTACCTGCCTGGCATCTCCATAGATTGTGAGGTGGTGAGGGTGAGGAGCTCAAGTCTTGTTTGCTGTTGTATCCCAGCATCCAGGACAGTGCAGGGGCCATATGAGGGAGTAGAGAAATGCCTATTAGGTGGATGGATGTGTGGGCAGGTGAATGAAGGCTGGAGAGGTTATAAGTGAGGAACAGATAAGGCCCGCTTTGAGATCTCAACTTAATCAGGATTCTTTACCTTGACAAGGAACAGGAGCCGACTTGAACAAGCTTAAGCAAAATAGAAGATTTACTGACAGGATATTGAAAGAGTTCTGGAACTCATCATCAATGTGTTACATAAGAACCTGGAACCATAAACTAGATCGCCACTGGAAACCCAAGTGAATTGTGAATTGTTTTCTCCATCTCTAATTTTCATTTTTTTCCCCTGGAGATCACCTTCATCATTCTCTCTGTCCCAATTTTGTTCTGTCTTTCCCACGTGTACATTTTGGAAAAAGATCACCCAACAAATAGTTGTCTTCTCTTCCGTGAAGGAAAATAGCTCAGACTAACTGGCTGTTTGTAAACTCCAGTGCCCTAATCCTGGAAGGCAGAATTTGATTGCTTCACTTTGGGTTGGGTCTCTGCCTGCCCATCAATCAACTCTGGTCAGGGTACGGGGTCCCACAGCACACACATGGCTGCCACAGTTAACCCACGTCTTAGAGAAGTAGTGTTGTTTTGGGGTTGAGCAGACACTCTAATTAGTGATCACTGCTTTCACACACAAACTCATTAAGGTAATCCCCCTCAGGGTCATCTGGGGGTGCGCATGCCCTTGAATGTGGGCAAGACCTGTAATTTTTTTTTCTTTTTTGAGATGGAGTCTTGCTCTATTGCCCAGGCTGGAGTGCAGTGGCACAATCTCAGTTCACTGCAACCTCTGCCTCCCTGGTTCAAGCAATTCCCCTGCCTCAGCCTCCCAAGTAGCTGGGATTACAGGTGCGTGCCACCACACCCGGATATTTTTTTTTTTGTATTTTTAGTATAGATGGGGTTTTACCATGTTGGCCAGACTGGTCTCGAACTCCTGACCTCAGGCAATCTGCCCGCCTTGGCCTCCCAAAGTGCTGGGATTACAGGCATGAGCCACCGTGCCCAGCTCTGTGATTTTCTTTTAATCAAAAGAGCATGAAAAAGGGGACAAAATGTATGTGATTACATGTGTATGATTATATAATATAAGATTGTAGCACCAGTCTTGCTGGGGTCTCTCCCCAACTTGCTTGCTTTGATGTGCCATGTGATCATGTTGGAAGACCCATGTCAAGGAACTGAGGGTGGCCTCTGGTCAACAGCCATAAAAAATGGAAGTTCTCAGTTCTACAGCTTCAAGAAACTAAATTCTCTCAACAACCTCAATTAGTTAGAAAACAGATTCTTCCCCAGTCAAGACTCAGATGAGACCGTAGCCCCGGTCAACTCCTTGAATGCAGTTTTATGAGACTCTAGGCAGAGGACCCAGCTAAGTAGTTTCTGGACTTCTGACTTACAGAAATTGTGAGAAAATAAATGTGTGCTGCTTTGAGTGGCTAAGTTTGTGGTAATACTGTTACACAGCAATAGAAAACTAATAAAATTCCACAATACTTTTCAACTAAAAATACTCTGAGAAGATTCACAGGTTCTCAATAAAACCTGTATGGCAACTTCTGAATCAAGGTCACACTGCTCTTGGTAGTCAAAGGAAAGTATGGTAGCTATACCCAACAGTAAGTTGAAGGGGTGTCCGAAGCCCTAGGCAGGGAGTCTCCACTTATACAGTTTAGGAGATTTAGCTTTGATCCTCCAGCTGCTGCCAGGATACTAATATATTCTGTCGAGAAACTTGCTCTCAGGAGATCTAGAGGTGAGCTCATCTGGGGGCTTTAGGGTATCATATTTAAAGCGTTGACCTCAGGAATTCAAAAGAGCAGTGAGCCCAGAGGCAGCAAGTGAGTGGCTCAGAGAGGAATGTGAGAAGAGGAGGTGAGGAAGGGCAAGCAGACATCGACAACTGTGTCTACAGTGTAGCTTTGCTCTACCTGAACTAATTATGCCCCTAAAGATAATGAACTTTGGTGCTGCTAAGTTGGGTGCAGGGTAATGGGTCCTCATCTCTCATCCTCAACTTTAGTTACCATAGGTGGCTAGTACACCAGTCATGAAAGACACCTGGCTTCTTCTTCATGGGTAGGGAGCTTTGGCAATGCTGGAAACATCCACACCGTTGTTCCAGACTTTACTGATAAAAGTTGCCTGTGATGTTGGTCAAAAATCCAGATTTCTGGACATTTCATCTAGAATTTCTGCTTCAGTATTGCTAGATTGATCCCAGGAATCAGTTTTTTCACCATCAGGGAAGTTTGGGAAACTGCTGTACATTAGTGTTTGTAGAATCTGTCCCCTGTGATTGTAATAGTCCTTGCCAATGTTAGAGAGGCCACGGCACAGTGGTCTAAGATTGGGAAATGATTCATAACTGCATACTCTGCATTGAAGGCTCTGAGACTAGAAAAAGAACCCACTGATGCCCAAGCAATCATGTGGCTGGGCTCTCCAAGACTGGAACAACCTTGAAATCTTATTTGCTTTAGGGTGTTGATCAAGGACAGGCAGAACTTGAGAGTCTCTCTCAAACAAATGGGCCAGCAAGGTTCCTGGCAAATAGGTGTTCCATACCCCATAAAACCACATGGTTTTTTGGTCTCCAAGGAGCATGACTTGCACAAATACAATCAGTGAGCCAAAAGTAATAATAGAGGAATAGAGTTCTTTTACTCCTGTATTTTGACAACAAGAAAGAAAATGTAGATCCTTGTAATACTTACTTCAATCTTATTGTCTTATACCTTCCCTAAACCCTGAAGTTACACTGGAACCACCCCAGCCCCCAACACATACACTCACACACACAGCACGCACTCGCAAAACACACACATGCATGTATACCCAACATACACACCCTACATGCACACATTTGCATGCCCTTGCTGTGTTCTGAAGATGGCACTTTGCTTTCCCCCCTCCTTTTTCACTTGATGTTTTATTGTGGAGATTGACCTAGTTTTTCCCACCCTCTATGTCAGATTCAGTCATCCTGCTGATGGTGGCTAAGAGATAGAAATGGAGGCGGTACCCATAGGATTCTCTCTACTAGGCTAGGGGAAAAGATGAGCCTGGGAATACTCCTCAATCCATTTATCCTATTGCATGAGTATCATTACAGGCAGATGAGAAATCTGCCTGCTTAAAGACAGAATTTTCTGATCCCTTGGAGAAAAGAAAATTAAAACTGTTGTTCTTCTTTCCATTAGACTGTGAGCTCCACAGTAGGTGGCCCTGGGCCCAGTGATCTGCACCTCACTAGGACTTAAACCTTGCCTCATACTTAGCACAAAATCTCCTAGAAGGCATTATTTATTGGGTAGTTACTATGTACAGCTAAGTAATTTATATGTATTAATTAAATTTTGCTTCAATCCATATCATTGCAGAGTATAAGTTCTAACATAATACTAAGAGCACTCTTAAATAGTTACCTAGTTCTTACCAAGCACTGTTCTGAGTTAACAAATATTACCTCATTTGATCCTCACAGAAGCACCATGAGGCAGATCCCATTATTATCCCTGATTTACAGTGGGACAAGCCCAGAGAGGCTCTGTTGCTTGGCACGTTTGCAGCCTGTAAGTGATGGGAGCTTGCGGGGATCCAATCCAGCTCACAGTCCCTGGCCTCAGCTAATGTTAGCCTGTCTCTCATGGTATTGTGTGTCAGAACACATTCCTTGGATCTAGACATTTTGACCTGACATTTGACTCTGCATTTCTAGCTATATGAGCTGGGGCCACTTACTTAACTCATTCAAACCTTAGTTTCCTCAACTTGGCCGGGTGTGGTGGCTCACGCCTGTAATCCCAGCACACTGAGAGGCCAAGGCGAGTTGATTGCTTGAGGTCAGGAGTTCAAGACCTGCCTGGCCAACATGGTGAAACCCCATCTCTTGACTAAAATACAAAAATTAGCTGGGTGTGGTGGCACGTGCCTGAAGTCTCAGCTACTTGGGAGGCTGAGGCACGAGAATAGCTTGAACCCGGGAGGTGGAGGTTGCAGTGAGCCTAGATTGTGCCACTGCACTCCAACCTGGGTGACAGAGCAAGACTCCATCTCAAAAACAAAACAAAACAAAAAACAAACAAACAAAAAAACACCAAACCTTTGTTTCTTCAACTGGACAAGAAGCTAATTGTGATTCTAAATTCAAAAGTTGCTGTGATGACTAAGTTAATACATCTTTCTAGAATAATCCCTGGCATGAATTAAATCTTCATGAATATAGCTATTACTATTATCACCTTTTTGCAGATGAGAAAACAGGACCAGAGAGGTTAGTTCACTTGCCCAAGGTCACACAGCTCATCAGTGGTAGATATAAAGTGGAAATCCAGGTTGGTCTGTCTTTTCTCCTGTGGACGAGAGGCAGTCTAACACACCTTGTCACTATATTTTTCTTGAGCTCCAGACTGTGAAAGCACAGTAAATTTTTTTTCATCGTTCATTTCTTGTAAGCAACTACCACTCCTGGGTAGATCCAGCTCCCAAGGACACTGGACAATGAAGGAAGTATATTTCCAAATCTGCAAATCATCAACAGAATTAAATCTAAATGTCACATTACATCCTGTCTGATATCTGGTCTTCCCTAAACAGACATAAAACTAAAATCTGTTTGGACTGCTTTGCCATTTTCCAAAGCATTTCCCAGACTCTTTCTTCTATCCTGCCTTCAAAGTCCTGCATTAGCCCCTCTCCCTCAAGGGCAGCTTGGCATGGGCTATGGTTCAACACATGTGGTCTTCAGTCTACTTTTGCGAGACAGGTTTCCTTAGGCATTCTCTGCAACATATGAAGCTCCAGAGGGCTGAAACTCAAGTGCAGGAAGCCAAGGCTCTGAGGGGCACGTGCAGCTCATGAAGTAGGTGGCCGATGCGAGCAAAGGTATGTCCACCCTGCCTCACAAACTCCAGATTGCACAACTAGGAACTGGAAGGAGATAAACTGAGCCCAAATGAAAGGAGCCCTTTATTGAATTTAGTGGAGTAAATTAATCTAATCTTACCTCCCCTAAAAGTGAGATGGATTAAATTCTCAATTGCTTCAAATTAATCTCTAAATTGCCTCAAGAACATATTTTATAAATAAGAAATTCATGGTGCATTACACAGAAAGCAAGAGATGTTAAAAAAATCAAACTGGCATTTTTGTATATCTTTGATTTTTTTGTTGATGTCTGTCTTAATCTGCTGCTATAACAGAATACATGAGACTGGGTAACTTATAAAGAAAATAAATGTACTCGGCTCATGGTTCTGGAGGCTGAGAAGTCCAAGATCAAGGGGCCTTATCTGATGAGGGCCTTCTTGCTGTGTCATCCCATGGCAGATGGGCAAAGAGAGGGTGAGAGAGAAGGGGCCAAACTCATCCTTTGATCAGGAGCTTACTCCCACAATAATTAACCCACTCCCATGAAAATGACATTAATTTATTCACAAAGGCAGAGCCCTCATGACCTAATCACCTCTTAGTGGTCTCACCTCTCAGCACTGTTACATTAGGGATTAAATTTCCAACACATGAATTTTGGGGGACACATTCAAACCATAGTAATATCAGAAAAAATGGCCATAGTTTCCAACAAAGTTATCTGACATTATTTTGGTAAAAGTTTTCTGGCTCAGAGCGATTGTTTTTTCCATTGAGTAAAATTTCAGTGACACTCTATTTGCATAAAATTATTCATAAATACCATCTGTTTATCAATTAAAATGAAAAATACTGTTGTTACTAGATTAGAGTATTTGATTTTGATAAGACATGTAATGTATACACTGTCTAGAGGCTAGGAATATATCTATGTGATTTCTGCACTCAGAAATCAGGGCCATAATAAAGAAGATCACCTTGGCAAGCTCCACAGTATGGTTTTTATTAGTATTTCCTATGTTTGTGGTATAGAAGGAAAATACATCTATGCCTACAAATCGAATCTCATTGACCTAAAATATTGCTTGCTTATTAAAAAGTCCAAATTAAAACAAAACAAATTGAATTTACAGACAATTTTCTCAGTCATAGATTGATTCTGCCTTATTTTTCTTATTTGATGTGTGTTTTAACAAACCATTTAAAATTCCTAACACTATTAAGATGTCTTTTTACGTGCCTGTGACATTACCTGGGAGAATTCAGCTACATGAACATGAAGCTCTAATATTTTATAATTCAAGAATCCAAAAACAATTTTTTTCCTAAAAACAACCAAAAAGGGCATATTTTAAGAATAAATAAATAAAAATATCAGTGCATCATTGGGATATTTTATGTTAAAGCTAGCCATGGCAGATCTTTCTGTGATGTTAATAATTGGTTTCTGATATATCTTGTGTGTGTGTGTGTGTTTTTTTAACTCATTTTCTTGTATCTAAAATAAACTTATTTAAGACACAAATGTCCTGCTTAAGCTTAGGCACTTTGGGTGTTTTGAGTCAAACGTTGCATTATCAAATATTATTTCTCTACATCTCTGATAGTTCAATATATTTTTAAAATTACCTTCCTTGTCTCAGAGAGAAAACTCTTTCTCCTTACATTCCAACAATTGTTCTGTGAAAGCTCAGTGTTCACTGGAGACAGGATAAGGGTTTCTGATAGATCGACCTGGCTTGTACCCAGCACTGCAGGCTCTTGCCTGCACTGCTGGGACCTAGGGCTGGTAGAGCTGTAACTGCACAGAGAAGACTGCCTGCTTCTTATAGGTTGGTTGTCGCTGTCTGGAAGAGTTTAGCGCTGCTCTGCATCTTCTGCCTCACCTGAAATCCTACGTGTATCCTATGCCGTTCCTATGAAACCAGTTTAGAACACCAAACATACCACCCACAGTTTAACCCTTTTTGGCACTCTTAGAAGCCCAAGCACAGAGTTCGGAGAAATGTGAGCACCTGTATGAAGAGAAGATGGGTACAAAGGAATGAGTGGGGGTTCCTCTTCACCATCCCTAAAACTGTGGCAGTATTTAGCAGCATCATTGATGAGGCTGGTCTCAGAACTGTGCAAACATCTGCCCTGCCTGGCCTCTCAATGAAAAAGCTTCTACCTCTTAACAGGTATTTCCACCAACTCGCTGGCCACCTCCCTGTTACAGGTTAGTAAACTGATCAAGCCTTTTATTTGAAAACATGAGGAGACACCTCCTTAGTTAAATAATAAAGAAAAGTCAAGATACCAAACACATGCCGAGGAATGAAATAGCTACATCAGCATAACAGATTCTGAGGCAGCATTAGATTCTTTCTGGGCATGTACGCAGTTTCAATTGAGTGTTCATTTTCCCTGCCACTCAATTTTCCATCCTGAGTTAAATGTCTAAAGGTAGAAGACAGACAAAGATGATTTCCCAAGGTTGCTTCCAGCTTCTAGATCTTGGTGCCTAGAGTTTAAATTATTTTGTTCTTAAAGTGGAACAGCTTATTTCTAAAACATTAAATGTATGATACAGCAGAAGAGTTAATAGTCCTTGAATTTATTACCTCCTTCCCCCTTTCAAGAAATATCTGACATTCTCTTCCAGAGCAGGGGTAATAACCTCATTCCTCTCAGGATCCACAGTGCTAGGCTTAAAGTGGGGGTCTAGCATATTCTGAACTGACTTGAAATCACACATTTGGATCACTTAATAGTTAAGTTCCTACAAACGTTTGGCATCCAAAGAGGGCCGAGGATACATCTTCGAAACAGATTATTTTTAAACTATGTGGATCTATGCATCCTGATGCAGATAGATCTCCAAGAGATCTTGAGGAAAAGAAAGTGTGGAACAATACTTTCTTCATATGATTCAGATTATGTTGTTTAAAAGAGAAGCAACCCCAAACTATGTGTTTCTTTAGGTCTGTATCTCTGGATGCAGATGTATTAGAAAAACAGCAACAAAAGGAATGCTATCCAACGCACTGACGGCAGCCTCTAGGAGAGGATGGACTTGGAACTTCATCTGACCTTTGTATTTTTAACAACCAAAACTTATTAATTCAGGACTTGCGTTCCTAAAAGTAAGCAAAACGAAAAAAGGAGGTATAACAAATTTCTTATCACCAAGAGAATTCAGAAAAAATCAGCAGATAGGTCAATGTTGCATAGTTTATGAAAGCAAGGTGGAAATGCATAAAATCAGAGTGCCGTGGAAAGGATAATGTTGGGGCATTTTTCAAATGCATCTTGTTCGAATGTACTCTGAAAGGTGGTATAAATTAGCAGAAAGTCACCCTAATGCACAGCAAATGCAAAGGCAGAGAGGCATTTGAAGGAGTCACTTATTTTAAAAACAAATCTTAAAGGAACACGTTTAAGCATAGAAGTTAACATAGATGTATAATTACACTGAAAAATAATTTTCATTTTTGAAATACATTTCCTTTTTGGAATTTAACAAACAGGTGAAAGAGATTTAGACTATAAAAGGAAAATTCGATTTAAGTTTTAAAAAGTTTGATGTTAATGGTTTTTGTGGGGATTTGAAAATTATCTAAAGATTTTGATGAAAATCTCTCCACATGAATATTTAACAAAACATCTACAAAGAGAAATTTTATGTTGGTTGAAAATGGAATTTTTCCACCCACTCTATCAATATCTTTTTTCTTTATGATTTTGTTTAATTAGTATATTATTTTATTGTGAAACATTTCATGGCCAGTACAGAAAATCAGAAAGTACAAAAAGCAAAAAGGAAAAAATGAAAATATTCATAATTTAACCAGAAATATCTATCTTGGATTATGTCTTTGGCTAACCCTCTTATGCATATATGTATTCATATTAAAAACGATATTTTTCAAAAACAATGTTAACTTAATGTATTGGAACATTTTTCATGCTATTGATTATTAAATATTTTAAAACTTGGGGACAAGAAGGCATCTTGTTTATCAAAGTTTTCTAGTTGAAAATTCACTCAATAAAAATCATTTGTGATCTCAAATCACTCACTTCATTTGATCCTCCCAAAATCTGGTGAGGGAGGAGGTGCAGGCACAATTGCAGGGAATGGAGCCAGAACTGTTAACATTCCTGGTGAGACAGCAAAGTCAGAGAGTGTCCACGAACTCCCCAAGTTCATACTCAGCTGGTGAGTAAAGGAGACGGGACCTGACCCCGGGCCTCCTAATAATAAATCCCAAATCCCACCTTCTGGACTATCACACTCACATGGCTTTCTCCCTTGTACCACTCAGGATTCTGCTCAAATGGAACCTCCTCAAAACCCCTTTCCTTTCTCATCTTGTTCCTTGCCGTCTCTGTGAGGACCATGACACTAAGTTGGTTTCCACCTGTAGCCTAGCACCAAGCACAGCATCCAGTATATAGTAAATGCTCAACAAAGGTTTGCTGATCGAACACCACACCATGGTGCCACTGGATCTCAACACGACCACAGTTTGGAGAGTTGTCAAAAGAGATGATGAACATAGGCTCTGACAAGCTAGCATATCTGTTTAGGTTAATCTGAGTAAACAGACTGAATCAATGTACTGGTTGGATTAAATTAAGTTCATTATTTTCATCTCTGGGGAAAATCAATAAAACAAAAGAAGATTATGCGAAGCAGATAAAACAACCATTATTGAACTAAAAACAAACCCCAAAATAACAGCAGTTGATTTTTTAAAAAAATTCTGTTTAGTGAAGAAGCAAAAAATTAATCAATACTTTTATACTATCTAAATAACCAGATGATAGGATAGCCAGACTCTTGTCACTTCCTAATCAGCTATTTCTATGTGTATGATAGAAAATATTGGAGTACATCTTTGCAGTTTGTTTATTATTAGTTACTGTCCTTTTTAAGAATGGACCAATAGGAAAGCCCCCTAGTGGCCAGTTACCGATTACATCGCTTTTTGGTTGGCACATTGAAATTTTTTAACTAAAAACAGTCCTGTACACGGCTGCATTTCTGTTTAAGCACTGTTTGTCAAAAGCACTTTTTTTAAGAAGCCAGCTTTTCTCACAAATGTCTAAAAGTTCTACATTTGAAACATTTAGTCTCTAAGAATTCTTTGTCTTTCTCATGTTTACAAGCATAAGTAGTTCCTATATAAAGCTAAAGGAGGGCAAAAACTGTATTTCTCTATCTTCTTGACTACTTGGTCTATTTTAAACGTTTTCTTTTTTCTAACTATTTTCCCCAGTAATATTCACCCAAAGAAATGTGCAGTCAGTCTCTACTAAAACTACAAAAAATTAGCCGGGCATGGTGGCGGGCGCCTGTGGTCCCAGCTACTTGGGAGGCTGAGGCAGGAGAATGGCGTGAACCCGGGAGGCAGAGCTTGCAGTGAGCCAAGATCGTGCCACTACACTCCAGCCTGGGTGACAGAGCAAGACTCCGTCTCAAAAAAAAAAAAAAAAAAAAAAAAAAGAAATGTGCAGTCACAGTATATTACTACACATTTCATACTGAAATGTCTTTATTAATTATAAAGTTAGTCTCCAACTTAAGTTAGTCTCACTAGAATAGTAGTATAGTTTTAAGTTGATACATTTGAAAATAATTTATTTGAATAACTTCATTTTCAAAAATACATATATAATTTGAATACTGTTGGGGTAAATGTGATGTCACCAGGAATTATAATACTGAAAGAAGTTAGTTCTCAAATCTTAAAAACAAAGCAACAAAATCTCAACTTACAGTTTTTGAAAATATAAGATATTTTTATTTTGAAAAATAATGTCAAACTGTATATATTTTAAATATATTTAATATTTATTCTAAAACCCATTTTCTTAAAAGTGAAATGTAATATCTGAAGCCTTTCCTGTAATGATAATTATTGCTATCTGCATTGAGCAGAAACATTTTAATGATCCTTTTAAAGGATGCAGTAAAAACAAAACATGCAACCTTCAACCGATTCCACCTTTGTATAAAGTAACTCTTCTTTCGAGATTCACATTTCATCTGCAGACTGATACGATGCCATGGCATTTCAGGAAATGTAAATGCAAACGAAAGACAGTGATGAAAAATGAACGACTGATGGGTTTTATTTTGTTATTCCAGTACTCTTCCTCCAGTTTATGCAGTTTATTTTCACTAAGCCTTGTTATCTCTTTTTGTGTATTGTATTCCTTTCAATAAATGAGTGGCTTTGATCGTTTTTCAAAAATGAAAACACATATAGGCCATGTGTACTCATATTTTTCTGAACCTGTACAGAACTATGCAAAACAAAAAAGAACACATCTTTCTCTTTCCAAAACATGGCTGTGTTTCATTGCTAAATTTTTATACATCGTAATTTCTAGAGACCTCTTCTTAAATTGTCATTAGTAGAAGGTCATTCTGGCCATGTGAATTATTGTGAGATTTTTCATATACATAAAAAATAGAAAAAGGCTTCCCATTCAGGTATTTCAGTCGCTTTCCTAGTTTTGGTTGATATGATATACTTAACATTGGAGCCATTTAGAGATCACCTGTGACTCAGTTAAGGCAAGAATGAAAAACATTTCTTTAAAAGTTTCTTGAACTCAATTAAATGGTATCCCTACCTCCCCCTTCTCCCCTTGCCCTTTTGTAGGAGATGGCATGTTACTATGAAATATTACTGCCTTGCTTGGGCAACTTTATTTTGGGCTTTAGTTGTGGAGGAAGTGGAAAATTTTAAACATTTTAACCAAATGGATTAAAGAGATCATCTCTGTGCTTCCTTTGCGTGGGGTAAAAGGTCAGCTCTCACGCACTTCCAATCTCCTACTTTCCCCCAGCCAGTTGGCAGTCCCCATGCCATGCTGCATGTATGGACAACAAGCCTTGAGGTCTTTTCTGTTAGAACATATAATCGCCCCGAGTTAGAAGTGGAAAATGGAAGCCTCTGATCATATGCTCATAAAAGGCAATTTCAGTGTCAGAACACTGGACTGAATAAATATAGAAAGGATTTATTATGAAGTTCTGTAGTGATGTTGGCACCAGCAGCAAACTGCTGGGCAACATTCTATAGCCAAAATCCAGGAACAAGCACAAACATTGAACCACTGTGTTCTTAGTGACAATAAGGAGAGTGACTTTATGATTGGCTGGCATGGCCACAAAAGACACATGCTGGCATGTTTCAGGACATAAATGATAGACCTGCTGCTGGGAGTTTATAATTATTTAATCAAACCCAGACTGCAGGACCTGGAGACACATTGTTGTCCTCCCAAGAGTGGAAAAAGGACAGAACTAAAACATTGACAGGCTCCAGGGGGATGTGGAGGGGTCTGGGAGTGTGGAGGTGTGTGCTTTCCCTGGCCAGCCAGAGACCAGCACAGGCCCAATAAAGGGTCACTTCCCTTGGGCTACCTCTCCCTTGCAGCCAGGGCTGGTAGGAGGTGAGTTACCAATCATCCTCTTGATGTGCTGATGGAAGTGGAATTAATTATGTTTCCTTTCATGGAATGAAACTTATGTCCTGCTCTGAACAGGACACCACTCATTTGATCCAACTCTTTCACACACACACACACACACACACGCACACTATTACAAAGGACTCCTGCCAGCCTCTTGCATTGTGTGTGCGTAGTTTTAAATTCTTGAAGACTAAAAAGCTCCACCCATTCAACCTTCATCACTGCATTTGGAAAGTAAGATGATGGACATGCTGTGGTCACGAAACATCCTGTGGCACTGGCTGTTTAGAGACAAGGGTCTGGGATGCAACTGGACTTTGTGCTTCAAATCAGCCTGTAATTCCATCCCAGACTGATGGAAAAAGAAAGTTGGGGATGGGGATGGGATTGAGGCTTTCACAAGCAATGATAGTGCATTTTGGTGGAAAGAGAAAAAATTACTAAATTAAATTAGCATTACATTTCATTCCTAGCCCCTAATAGATTTGGAAATTTAAATAGCGTAGTCTCTTGAATTTGGTTGTTTCATGTAAACTTTAAGTTTCTATTTTAATGCACCAAGAAATAGTGCATGAACTGATGATGTCATGAGGGCATGGATTTTTAAAAGGGATATTAAGTTAAAGCAAACTGGCATCAGAGAAAATGAATTCAATATCATCTTCATGTAACTAATCAAAGTATCAATTCTTTTATTTCTCTTTCTGTACAGAAATGCTTTAAAGAGTGGATACTACCAGCCAAGCAAACAGGAATTCCTCCCTATTTCTTTCTCTTTGCAATCCTACGTGTAATCTTCACACTTGGGATACCATAAAACATTTACAATTATCCAAATTGATATTTTTTCTCTAAATATGATTTTTTTTCATTAAGTAGCTATGAAAATTGTACAAGTGGCACATGGATACACTTTCATTGTAAATAAAATG
This sequence comes from Homo sapiens, assembly GCF_000001405.40. NCBI lineage: Eukaryota > Metazoa > Chordata > Mammalia > Primates > Hominidae > Homo > Homo sapiens. The sequence goes on from NC_000003.12 coordinate 55,184,604, forward strand.
GTGAAAGAAGTGAGAGCCCCCTCATTGCCCCCACTTTGTGGTTCTACTCCCTAACCCCAGAGGTAGCCATCATAATAGATTGGGTGTGTAGATTTCTTCCCCCCATATGTTCGTTCTTTGAAAGGAACAAATTTCAAAAACAAAGTATGGAAAATATTTAACCTTCTGCCACGATTATTAGGTTTGATGTTTAAGAGGGAAAAATGCCCAAACACATAAAAGTGGAAAATCCCCAAACAATTTGGTAAGATATGCATTGTAGATTTCTTCATTCTGAGAAGTCCTCCAAAGGTTTGACAGACATACTTTTGAACATATGTAAAGACATCTCCACTTTTAGAAAATAAACTAAAAATGAGGTCGATTTTTTAAAAAATACAAAATCTTTTATCGGTTTCCAAAGGGGGGAAAAAGAATCAGAAGGAAAAAAATTAAACCATACCATATTTCAACTACTCATGTATTATGTTCAACCAGTTTTGTCTTTTTTTTTTTTTTTGTCTGCAGTGCACTGGCATAATTCTCAAACAGCTTCAGGAGTTTGGGGATTTTTAACACAGTCTCTTGCCATGATATAAATGCACATTTAAAAAATTGTTGTTTGTTTTTAGCTGGCATTTTAACAGAATAATAATCTTCTTTTATTCCTTCTTTATATACCTTCAGTAATGCTAAAATAGTTTATATAGAATCTATAATTAAACAAAGATGTGGGCTTACTTTATAGGTTGCAGTCAACATTCTAATTTTGTTTTATAAATGAATTAAGAGGAATTTAAGCTAGCAGAAGAGGTTGAGATGATGGTAATGAACAGTCTGCTTAAGTATAAAATGATCAAGCAAACACAGTAACGAAATTATCCAGAGCATCTTGAATCTTCCCTTTCATGCCCTATGAAGTTCCATGGGAATTTCCGTGCTCATGTTGCAAGCACCTCCCCTGACTAATAACTTATTGTTTACAGTTGCTAGCCTGTGCTGAATTTCTGTAAGGGCATTAATTATCAAGAATGCCATTTTCTATTGCCTGTCTGAGTAAGCTCAGAAATAGGACGACATTTTAAATACACCTTTAGGCTATACTCTGTCTTCACATGATGCTAAATTCAGAGAACAAAAGACAAACCAAACTAAAAAACCACCAAGCCATTTCCTTGGCACCACATAGTCAACTAACCCAGCCAAAGTATTGAAGCCTCACGTTTTATTTGTTGTGTTTTTTTTTTTAAATGAGATCCAGAGAGAGAGAGAGAGAGAGAGAGAGAGAAAAGAGAGAGAACTCTGTAGCAAGAAGACACATGGTAATTCTACTTGAGAGGGTGCTGTAGGTGAAATGAAATACTCAGTCCTTGACCTTGAAGAATACATACGGTACGGCCTGGTACGGAAGACTAGATAAACTGCATAAGATGAAAACATAATTCTGACCACAGTCAACAGAATGAGAGTCATACAGTAAAGTTCTAAAGAAACTTCATGGAAAGAACTATTTCTATGTTGTGTGTGTGTGTGTGTGTGTGTGTGTGTGTGTGTGTGTGTGTGTGTGTGTTGTGCTGTCTGTCCATCTTTAACAGGAAAATGGAATTGAGTGATAGTTCAGTGATTTTCAACTCAGCCATTTTTCTTCTTTTAAAGAAAGGTTTCTCTAAATATTAACAGCTTCATTAAACGCATTCCTTCAATAAGCATTTCTTCAACAATTGTAATGTTCCAGCAATATACTGGTGAGAGAGTTAACAATAATCAATAGGACAGGGACAGTTTGAAGGACATTTGATAGAAAAGGAATCTGAGGCCCAGTAGAACATGTTCTGAGAATAATAATTTTAATCTGGAAATCTTCCTATGCATTGTCAGTGTTGAAGGGGAGTTTGGAAATAACAGGGCAGTACAGGGATGCAGAGGGCTCACTCATCAGGTTTGGGAGGCAGAAGGTAACAGAGGGGGACACTCAAATGTGGCAGTAAGTGCAGGAATTCTTACAGGTGGACAGGAGTTATCAAGGGAAGGGATGAGAGGAGGAGCCAAGCTGGGGCACATTTAGAGGAATTCCAGTACTCACATCAATGGGAAATAATGTTTGACCAGTGTTATTGTTTTGTTTGCTTGCACAGTGTAAGTCGTACTTCTTTGTCCTTTTCTGGAAATCACGAATGTGAATGTCATTTGCAGCATGCATTCGTGCAGTGGATGGAAGTTCTCCAGGGACCAGGCTTTCTTCAAGGTAAATCGCTGCTATAACTCCAGGATAGACAACCACATCTGGCTCTGAATGGGTGTCAGTAAATATAAATGTGGAAGTTTATCCACTGAGTACAGTCAAAATGTGATTCCCTTTAGTTTGAATTCATTGTTGCTAAGTTTACTGAAGTAAAGGGAAAGAATTCTCTAGAATTTTCTATTCTGGTACCACACGAAGTAATTAAAACCCCTACTTGAGGGGAATGTCTGTTTTTGGCCTTGATCATGTCATGTTGCCTAAAAGGAGTTTGGCTTCAGGACGAATTTCAGAGGCCACAGGCCAGTGAGTGTATCCAGTCCCGTTGGTGGCCCTGCCTTGGGTGGGTGAATACACCTGTGGAGCTATCAGTGGGTTCCTTAATATCACCGGGCTTTTCCTCAAATGGAGAGAGACTTGTTGGAAAAGATAAGAAATGTTTTTGTAAAATTCTCCTAAATGTGGCTCCTTTCTTTATTAGAAATATAGTAGTTTCATTTCAAAGGAGAAAACTTTGTTGCCTATTCTTCAATGTTGAAGAGCTGAGGTGGCATTTATGGGTTCTATATCAATATTATAAAGTTAAACATGAACACTGATCATCTTCTTTTAGCTTTAACCAACCAGTGCAGCTAATTGGCTGAACTAGACTTTGCACTGAGTTTCCTTTAAGTTAAAGGAGAGCTGGGTGAATCTTCCCAATAGAAGAACATCTCGGATTTCTCCCCAAACTCTGACCTACCTCACTGCTGGAGGCTTTTAAAAGAACAGACAAAAATTTCAACTTTTACAGCACGAACTTCCTTTAGGGCTTCCAGTAAGACTGCTGTGCAATACCAGCCATAAAGGAGAGGGGGGAGGAAATTGGAAAATAAGGGCTAAGAAACTAGATAGGGGATGGCAAGTAAATATCAACTCTGATTGATTAATGGTTGCTGCTAGGAGCACCGGGTTGGAAGGATCAGAAAGTTACATCTGGGGTCATTGGAAAGACCACCATGATTGATGATCATTGTCTGCCTTAGCTACAGAGCGGGATATAGGCCCGGATGCAATGACTTGCCGTCACCAATAGTTGATAACATCCCTCTGACTCACGTGTCCTGTGAGTCTACATAGGCAAAATTTTCATTTAGAAATAATAGATACTTTTTCAAAGATATAAGGATATAAAAGATTGCAGATTATAGAAAATTAGTGGCCTGGACCAAGCTCTTTCTTTAAGACTGCAGAGTCTACTGGGGAGGCCAATAACGCACATAACTAAATAGACTAGAAGACCAAATATAGGGGTCCAAAAGTGACTAATTCTCAGTAGGTTTGGATGTGGTTTGTCCCTGCCAAAACTCATGTTGAAATTTAATCACCAATGTAGTGCTGTTGGGAGGTGGTACCTTTAAGAGGTGATTAGGTTTCTTTGTTTTGGTTTGTTTTTTGTTTTTTGATTTTTTGAGACGGAGTCTCTCTCTGTCTCTAGGCTGGAGTGCAGTGGTACGATCTCAGCCCACTGCAACCTCTGCCTCACGGGTTCAGGCGATTCTCCGGCCTCAGCCTCCCAAGTAGCTGGGACTACAGGTGCAAGCCACCACGCCTGGCTAATTTTTGTATTTTTAGTAGAGACAGGGTTTCACCCTGTTGGCCAGGACAGTCTTGATCTCTTGACCTCGTGATCCGCCCACCTCAGCCTCCCAAAGTACTGGAATTACAGGCATGAACCACCAAGCCCAGCTGGTGATTAGGTTTTTAAGATGGATTTCTTGAGAGGCTGCATTAGTTTTACTGGGAATGGATTCGTTCTCAGGAGAGACAGAGCTTCTCCTTTCTTCTGCTTTCTGCCATGAGTTGAAGCAGCTTGACGCCCTCACCAGATGGACTGCCAGATCTTGAACTTCCCAGCCTCCACAACCATGAATTAAATAAGCCTCTTTTCTTTAGAAATTACACAGTCTTACTTTGTGTAAGTCTTATTCTGTTATAGTAACAAAAATAGACTAAGGTGGCATAGGGAAAATGTTCTGGAAAGGAGGGAATCAGACCTTGGCTTTAGAGGTAGAATAGTGGTCCAAAAGGCACAAGGGACAGAATTCCCTGCAGCAGGAACCCAGATGAGCAAAGGCCCTGAGATGGAGACGGCCATGGGACATTTGGAGTCCTGGATTTGCTGAAGCAGCAGAAGAAAATAGTGAGTCTTAGAGGGAGGACGGAGGTGGAAGAGGGAGCTGCGAACATAGCCAGGACGTTAAGAACTACAAGAATTTGAATTTTATTCTCTAGGCAATGGGGAGCCACGGAAATCTTTGAAGCAGAGGAGTGTCCTATTCAGAACTCTTCTATTAAATGATTATTGTGCAGCAGGGTGGAAGCTGGATTAACAGGAGAAACACTGGAGACAAGGAAATTCAATTTAAAGTCTACTGCAAGAGGTAAGGAGGGCTTGACCAAGGTCAGGGTCAGGGGCTCTAGAAAGAGGAGGTTGGGCACATGCCCCTGTGGGAGGGGAAGCTGGGGCAGCAGTGGCAGCCATCTCTTGTGTTCCAGGCCAGCAAGGTCTCTCTCTCAGTCCCAGACCCACACTGTTCTTCAGTAGGGGGCAGGAGGGCAAGAGATCTTGCTCTGGGGGAATAGGTCAGCAGGCTTCTGTTCTGAGAAAAATATGCCGACCTTTATCTTTTTCCTAGCGCCTTGACACCAACATGACCCTGACCGACATTTTCCTTTTTCGTCATGGCTGTACTTTTCCATTTAAATAAGATGCAAGCCCATTTCCATGGGGATTCCAGGAAGTCTGGAAGGGTGAGTCATCTCCCGACTTGGGATGCAGCAGGCACATTATTGCTCTGTTTTCAATCCTAGAATCTGGAAGTTGGGGAGGATCTTAAATATCCCATCTGACTTCCCTTAGGCAAGAAAGAAAGGTATGCAAACAGACCATCAACAATGCCAATGGGCCTCTGATGGTGAGGAAGACACAGAGGTTTGATGTGGGGAGCGGGGGAATAAAACTTCATGCCCTATCCGCACTGTGGCTGTCCTTAAACCACAGCTACAACAAAGAAGCCCATGTTTATTATGCTGTATTTGGGGAGGGAAGCAAATTGGCGCTGGATTGTCTCAGGCCAATAAAATATTAAATTGCTATAGAAATAATACCTTGTCACGAAAGGGATCCCCTTTCATGTTAATACTTGTGTATCAAATTAGGCTAATGCTATATAAGGCTGTTACAATACTGTGCTAATCCGGAGAGTGAATGAACTTAGATATGCATATTAGTATTTAGCTAAATTAATAAAACCCACAGCCAAATGCTCCACCAACTATGAGCCTGATGTTCCTAACATGGTTGTAATTTACTGCAAATGTCTCCTCCAAGTCAGTGTCCTCCTTAGGAATTTTTATTGTCATAGTCCCTCAGTGTCAGGTCTTCCTGCTATTGACTTAAATCATGGACATTTTAACCTATATTCAGATTCAAAATTAAACACATTTTGTAGCATGCTCAAATGATTCTGATGTTGTACGAGGGAATGTCTTTATTCCTTTGAGACATCTGGAGCAGGCCACCAGTCCATGTGGCCGATCCCTTTCTTGCCCTGTCCAGATGTTCCGCCTTAAAGAGTGTTGCTATGTCTGAAGCACACCAGCGTGATTCAGGAGCTTAGTACGTGAAAAGAGTCAAAAGGGCTCTTTTCACAGTTCCGTTGTTCACTCCCCTTTCCCAAAGATCAGGGAGAGGCTCTGAGGAAGATAGAGTGACTGAGCCTGTCTCTCTGTCTCACTGACAGATGTGGATATCCATCCAGGCTTTCTTTTCTAAGCCCTCTGCAATCCTTCCTGGGGTGGGGGTATTTGTAGTACAAGGACATTATTCTGAAATCTGTCAGTCTTCATGTTAAGTGGATTCTTACATGTTCACGCCTTGCTTATTTTAAAGTAAATTTATGTGTGGTCATAAGAGTGTTCTGAGACAGGGAGATTACTCCCGGAGCCATTCACTCTCTCAGAACGAATGGAAAGGGGGGCAGTTTGGCTTGGCAGTTCCTGAGATGACAGAGTTCCTTGGGGGCATTAGCCAGCTGTCCTGGTAGATGAAGGGTCTGGGACTGGTTAGACCAATCCTAGTAGCTGCAGTCCTACAGAGGATTCACCTAGAACAGCTCTACCTGAACTATGGACTGTGGACCAGCAGCATCAGCATCAACTAAGGCTGGGTTAGAAATGCCCTGTCTCTGGTTTCATCCCAGACCCCCTGAATCAGAGTCTCCAAGCATCAGACCCAGGAATCTGTATTTTAACAAGCTTTTCCAGGTAGTTTTATGAATGCTAAAGTGTGAGAAGCATCAATCTAGCATGTGGAGTGTGTCATACCCTCAAACCATGGTTCAAACCAAACTTGCCCATCGCCCTGATATAGTCATTACCATGACAGCCTCTTTCACTTCCAACCTGTATGTTTTAGAAACTTAACCATGAATGAAGCCCAAGTTCACATCCTTTCTCAGCTCCTGACAGTCTTTCACAAGCTGCCGGGATACTTCAGAATTACTAGTTTAAAATATAGGGCTGGGAATGTAATATGGAATTAAACATAAATAGATTTCATAGTCAAAGACTCATGACACCCACAAATGTGCTGAAAAAGATTTATATTCAACCAACAATATTTTACATTTTGATAAGCTGTTTGAAAAATGTTTCCAAAGCTTATTATAAGAGATCATGTCATTTTCTCTGCTCACACAGCGGAGTAAAGGGTAGAGCTGACATTACTCCCATTTGATAGAAAAGGAATCTGAGGCCCAGTAGAACATGTTCTGAGAATAATAATTTCAATCTGGAAATCTTCCTATGCATTATCAGACTTCAGATTGGGCATGGCGGGCTGGTCAGGAGTTCGAGACCAGCCGGGCCAACATGATGAAACCCTGTCTCTACTAAAAAAAAAAAAAAAAAAAAAATTAGCTGGGCGTGGTGGCACACACCTGTAATCCCAGCTACTTGGGAGGCTGAAGCAGAAGAATCACTTGAACCCGGGAGGCAGAGGCTGCAGTGAGCCATGATCGCACCACTGCAATCCAGCCTGGGCAACAAAAATGAAACTCCATTTCAAAAAAAAAATTTTTTTCAAAACCTTTCTGGTGGAGTGCGTTGCTAAGGTCCACAGTCAGGAGGAATGTCTATCTATTGAATCAGATTAGTCTGTCCTCTGGCATTCCATCTATGGGAACTTTCAACCCCACATGAAGTGGGAGGTCCAGTTCCCACACAGGCAACAGGGACAGAAGGGATACATTCTCCATTTTCTGGAGTTCCACCAGGCACCAGGACCATCTTTCAGTGGGCAGATGACCCAATACCCCACTGGAAGCCCAACAGTGTTTTGATTTTAATGACTCCTAAGCTGAAGATGTCCCACTTAAACCAAAGCTGGGCAACCACTCAGCAGTTGGTTAATACTTAGACTATTTAGTCATTTGAAACAATGCAATTAAGGATGAATCATGGCTCAGTAACCTAAACAAAATCAAATTAACAAATGGGAAGCACTCCCTTTGGTCTGGGAGGCTAATTCATAACCTCTCACCTCAAAGTTCCCTGAACCTTTTATAGATTTCAGGGCACCCAGACTCCGAACTCCTTCCCCATTTCAGCACAGACTCAGTTGTGGCTCCTGGATTTACAGCTGATGACTGAAAGGAGAGGGCACTCTGAAGGGGCTGGCCATGGGCACCGGTATTATAGGGAAGTGGATATTTGTGCAGACATTGGGATCATGCAGACTACAACATGAGTCCCAGCTCTACCCTTTACTACTAGCAAAGTGACTTTGGATGAGTTATTTAATCAGTTTTCCTGTCTGAAATATTGAAATAAGAATAGTAACTTGCGTGTGTGTGTATACATGTGTATGTGTGTATGTATATATATGTGTGTGTGTGTTAGTGCATATATATCCATTTATATATAACCACACACATATACTACACATTATCTAGTAAGGATAACTATTAATTTGTTATGCTTTTGAATCAAGTCTAAAATACTATTGCAGAAGCATAACTCATTACCAGATAGTTTCCTATATTAGATGTAAAACTCCAGTTTTCCAACATGGTGAAACCCCATCTCTACTAAAAATACAAAAATTAGCCAGGTGCGGTGGCATGCGCCTGTAATCCCAGCTACTCAGGAGGCTGAGGCAGGAGAATCGCTTGAACCCAGGAGGCAGGAGTTGCAGTGAGTCGAGATCACACCATTGCACTCCAGCCTGGGCAACAGAGTGAGTCTCCGTCTGAAAAAAAAAAAAAAAAAAAAAAAAAAAAAAAAAACTCCAGTTTTCCTCTTGATATTAAACTATGATAATTAATGTATTTGAAATTCTGGAGATTTCAATAGGATCATAGGAACCTGGAATGTAAAAGAAGTTTACCTGGTATTTTGGGTTTTTAATAATTTCTATATTTTAATTTTTGTGGGTACATAGTAGGTGTGTATATTTATGGGGTACATGAGGTGTTTTGATATGGGCATGCAATGCACAATCATCATATTATGTAAAATGGGGTATCAATCCTCTCAAGCATTTATCCTTTGTGTTACCATCATCCAATCATACTCTTTTAGTTATTTGAAAATGTACAGTTAAATTATTATTGTCTATAGTCACCCTGTTGTGGTATCAAATACTAGATCTTAATCTTTCTATTTTTTTTTTGTACCCATTAACCATCTCCATCTCCCTGGCATCCTCCCACCACCCTTCCCAGCCTCTGGTAACCATCCTTCTACCCTCTGTCTCCATGAGTTCAATTGTTGTGATGTTTAGATCTCACAAATAAATGAGAACAAGCAATGTTTGTCTTTCTATGCCAGGCTTATTTCACTTAGCATAATGACCTCCAGTTCCATCCATGTTGTTGCAAATGACAAGATCTCATTCCTTTATTATGGCTGAATAGTACTCCATTGTGTATAAGCACCACATTTTCTTTATCCATTCATCTGTTGATGGACACTTAGGTTGCTTCTAAATCTTGGCTATTGCCAACAGTACTGCAACAAACATGGGAGTACAGATATCTCTTCAATACACTGATTTCCTTTCTTTTGGGTACATACCCAGGAGTAGGATTGCTGAATCATATGGTAGCTCTGTTTTTAGTTTTTTGAGGAACCTCCAAACTGTTCTCTATAGTGGTTGTATTAATTTACATTCCCACCAACAGTGTATGAGAGTTCCCTTTTCTCCACATCCTCATCAGCATTTGTTATTGCCTGACTTTTGGATATAAGCCATTTTAACTGGGGTGAGATGGTATCTCTTTGTAATTTTCATTTGCCTTTCTCTGATGATCAATGACGTTGAACATCTTTTCATGTGCCTATTGGCTACTTATGTCTTCTTTTGAGAAATGTCTATTCAAATATCTTTCCCCTTTTAAATTGAATTATTAGATTTTTTACTATAGAGTTGTTGAGCTTCTTATATATTCTGGTTATTAATCCCTTGTCAGATGGATAGTTTGCAAATATTTTCTCCCATTTTGCGGGTTGTCGCTTCACTCTGTTTTTTGTTTCCTTTGTTTTGCAGAAGCTTTTTAACTTGATGTGATCCCATTTGTTCATTTTTGCATTGGTTGCCTGTGTTTGTACGGTATTGCTCAAGAATTTTTTGGCCCATACCAATGGCCTAGAGAGTTTCTCCGATGTTTTCTTGTAGTTTCACAGTTTTACAGTTTTTTAGAACTTGATCCATGGAAACATGCTGACTTGTCCAAGTTTGTGCCATTTGAGACAAAAGTGTGAATGGGATCTGTCCCCATCCAGTAATCAACTTCTCTTCAAAACAGAGAGAAGCCAGCTTTTCCCATCTGAAAAGATGTGTTCTCTATAGCAGTATAATTCAGCAGAAATATAATGTGAGTTATATAAGTAATTTTAAATTCTCTAGTAGTCACCTTTTAAAATGTAAAAACAGGTAAAATTAAGTGTAAAAATATATTCTATTAAATCCAATATACCTAAAATACTACCATTTCAACATATAATCAATATAAAATTTATTAGTGACATATTATACATTATTTTTTGTACTCCATCTTTGAAATCCAGAGTGTGTCTTACTCTTAAAGTACCTCGCATTTCAGATGCCAAGTTTTCATCAGACATATTTGACCTGTATTTAGATTTCATAAAATTTACAGGCAAAAAGATATATCTCCATACCCAAGTTATTCCAAACATACTTAAAGCTTTCCAATATCTAATTTAGTATTAATTTTTAAATGAAAATTAATTAATATTAAATAAAATTTAAAATTCAATTCATCAGTTGCACTAGCCATACATTTCAAGGCTACATTTGTATGGCTACATTTCAAAGGCTTAATAGTCACATGTGGCCAGTAGTTGCCGTATTGGAACGCACAGCTCTAATCTCTTCCAGCCCTAAGATTCTAAGCCTTGAGGAACATTGCTACAGTCTCCTACATAAAGATGATCTAAAGATGGTGATGGAGGCTGGGTGCAGTGGTTCACACTTGTAATCCCAGCGATTTGGGAGGCTGAGGCAGGCAGATCACCTGAGGTCAGGAGTTCGAGGCCAGCCTGGCCAACATGGTGAAACCCCATCTCTACTAATAATACAAAATTAGCCGGGTGTGGTGGTGCATGCCTGTAATCCCAGCTACTCAGGAGGCTGAGGCAGGAGAATCGCTTGAACCTGGGAGGCGGAGTTTGCAGTGAGCCAAGATTGCGCCACTGCACTCCAGCCTGTGTGACAGAGCGAGACTCCATCTTGAAAAAAATAAAAATAAAAAAATAAAAACAATAAAGATGATAATGGAGGAGGTAGATGGCTTGCCTGGAGAGATGACAGATTCACCATTAAGAGCTCTGGCCCTTGCTTGGGTGAACTTGGGTGAATGTCTTGTTTAACCTGCCTGAACTTCAGTTAGCTCGCACATGAAATGGGGATTATAACAATTACTTCATAAAGTTACCAGAATGGTGCACATGCTAGTGAATGTAAAGTGCTGAGTCCAGGACAGGGATAGTAAGTGCAGAATAAAATCTAGTCCAACAGTTTTTGAACAGGCAGCTCTACATTTCTAGTTGTTTCCATTTAACGAACATAAACACTTTACAAAGAGCTTGTGCTTGATAGTGGAGCCACTGCACTTGCCTCTTAATCTCTAGTCATGTTCCTTAGACCTTTGGAAACATTCCCCTGATATCTCTGCAGTTAGAAAGAATCACTACTAGGTGATGTGATGAGGCCAAATGCTCTTTTTTGACACCACGCTTTTGCATTTGCTGTTCCCTTTTCCTGGAATGCCCTTCCTGGTTCCCTCTTTTTTGCCTGGCAAATTCCTACTCATTTTTCAGAACCTAGTTCAAAGACCCTCTTGGGACTCTGTCAAACAGAATTATTCAAATCTTCCAAGCATTCTCTCATTTATATACTTCAAAGAAATGGAATTTACTTAAAAAAAAATGCAGTTTCCCAGGGGCAGGGAGGAAGAATAGTAGCAATAGTTAACAATAACGATGTCTGTTAATGTCTGGCACTTTACATGGATTATTTTATCCAATCCTAATAACAACCCTGAGAGAGGTTATATGATTCTCCTTCAGAAATGAGGAACCCTGGCCGAGTCAGTCCAATTTTAGAGTCCTGTTTTCAACCACTGTGCAGCACACACTTGCCATTTTGGATAATGTGACAGACCTTGCTATTGCCTCCCTCAAAATCCACTCTCCTTTTTTTCTCAATAAGAGAACTCCAGATTTGTCTGAGGTATCAGTGTGCCCAGTTAAAGAAATTCATTTCCCCAGACTCCCCTGAAGCTTAGTCATGTGACTCTCATCTGGCCAATGAAATGTAAGTGCAAAGTCCACTGTGAAAGGCTCCTGGGACAGATGACTCTGGAGAGGACTTTGTTCCTTATCATTTTTTTCTTGTTCTAGCCTAAAGTTTGCACCCGATGCCTGGACTCAGAGCAGCCATCTTGTGGCTGTGAAGTCAAAAGAGACACTAGAAGGATTACAAGACAGGGAGCTAGGAGGAACCATGGTCTTTGAAAGACTTTCTCTTAGGTTACCAATATTAAATCTATTTGATTCAGCCACTACAGTCAGATTTTAGCTACAAGCAGCCAAATGCAATCCGAGTTAATAAAGAGAATTTAGAGCCAGCCAGGAAACCCATCAGGCTACATTTGATTCCTTCCTCTTCACAGATTGCTAATTGTTAGAATCTCTTCTAATGTGGCATTTGATGCAGGGACTTAGCTTTGTCATTTCCATGGACTGGACAAGTATCTTTTCCTCTTTGTACAAACTGATTCTGTCACCACCAAGACATTTCCCAAGGAGAGAGATTTTCTTGGCTGACTGAGGTCATTCTTCCTGGACGACCTGCAGAGTTTCCCACAAATAGCATGGAGATTCATCTGGCAAAACTAAAACTTACATGACCAGAGTGGCACAGATTCCTGCCTATCCTTCAGGCCAGAAGCCATGCTGCGTGGAAGCCAGGGGCTCAGAGTTTCCAAAGCCATCAAACAGTCACCTACAAATGAAGTCTGTGACAGGGGTTGGCAAACTACAATCAGCAAGCCAAATTCAGCCTGCAGCCTGCTTTTGTAAATTAAGGTTTTTTTTTTTTGAAACACGAACATGCTCATTTGTTTCTATGTTGTTTGTGGATGTCTTTGCACTACAATGGCAGAGTTGAGTGGTTTCAACAGAGACTATACAGCCCATGAGGCCTAAAATCTTTGCTCTCTAGATCTCCACAGAAAAAGTTTGCTAATCCCCACCTTTGGAGCAACTAGTTACGGAAGAAAGACACGAAAGAGACTAAACAATAAGAAGAAATGACAACTCCAGCCCCCTTTTACCCATGGCAGCCATAGTGCCAATTAGATTCTTGCTACATTCTGGAAGGTGCATTTGAATGGTCCATTTTGTGAGTATTCTGAGGGCCCTTAACAACTTTCCTGAGGTGACATCTAGTGACTGATGAAGCCAGGATCATAACCCAATTCCGTCTGCATCTAAAGACCATGATTTTAATTATTAATCCTTAATCATTACATTATATTCCTCCTCTTAAGCTTAATTCAATCTCTACAGTAAATACTGAAGGTGAAAACAGAGAGCATTTTTTTATGTATGTATGTATGTTTGAGACAGAGTCTTGCTCTGTCGCCCAGGTTGGAGTTCACTGGTGTGATCTCAGCTCACTGCAACCTCCACCTCCCAGGTTCAAGCGATTCTCCTGCCTCAGCCTCCTGAGTAGCTGGGATTACAGGCACCTGTCACCACATCCAGCTAATTTTTTGTATTTTTAGTAGAGATGGGGTTTCACCATGTTAGCCAGACTGGTCTAGAACTCCTGACCTCAAGTGATCCACCTGCCTCAGTAACCCAAAGTGCTGGGATTACAGGTGTGAGCCACCATGCAGGCCTGGCCAGCCAGAGAGCATTTTAAATTTCAAAATGACTATGTGGAAGAAGAAAATTTACTTAGCTCAGACAGGTCCACAACATAGAAGGGTACGTGCCTCCAAAGATGAGGAGAAGAAAAAGAGATATGGGATCCCAAATGGGGGGAATAAAAGTACTTGTGAGAATAGAGGGATCAATTTCTCTGCTCAAACAGGGCTACCTTCAGTGTCAGCTCAGGTGGACGGGCTCCCCAAATAGTGCACCTTTCACTGGGTGACATAGCAACTGAAGTGCCACCATTAGCCCTTCAACTGAAGGATGTGCTATCACCAAAGGATAGTGCCAATCTAGTGGGAAGCCGCTGTGGGTCTGAGTCACAGGACTTAGTCTTCACTCCTCACCCTAGCTCCTTGCAAGATATCAGTGACTACGATAAGAATGAGATGACTTCATGCTTGAAAAAAAGAGAAGTATTCAACAGATGTTAAGACAGAGGATCTGTGCTGAGGCCTCGGAATTTGTAGCATATTTTTAGCCCAGGCAAGTCATACTGTAGGGGAGTACATGTGGAAAGAGCTGGCAGTGTTTGAAGACTTAGTGTTAGTCTAGTGTGAGCCCAAGGTAGGAGGCAGCCACTGGAAAAGGTAATTTAGTCTCTGGTGTGAATCGAGATATGGTATCCAGGGCATAGGAGATAATAACGTCATGAGGCAGAGCACACCTATTGTGTGTGTAAGTTCCAGGAACTAGCAGTTGAGAAGGTGGAGGTGAAGGATGTGAAGGGTCTGGAGACAAACAATTGTCCCTTCATCCCAAAATTTTGAGAGCAGGCTATATGCAAGGCATAAGGGTCTTTATTGGATATGCAATCAATTTGACTTTTGAGCAGGGGATACAGATATTAAACCAATTCTCACACAAGCGTAGAATTAGGAAGCATGGGCTGTATAATAAGGGAAAGGGCAGAGTGCTGAGGCAGGGGGTAATAGGAACCCTAAGAGAGACTAGTTGTCTGGGAAGGCCTCTGAGAAGGTGACAGTTTAAACTAAGACCTAAGAGGTCAGTGGGAGGCAGCCTCTCAGTAAGTGATGGAAGAGCATTTCAGGAAGAGGGAACAGCAAGGACAGAGGCCTGGAGGTGGGAAAGAGCCAGTTGGGAATGGAGAGGAGAGTGTAGCTGGAGCTTCGTGAAGAAAAGGCACTGTTAAATTTTCAGGTAGGGAGGAGGAGGACGTCTCAGGGCATTAGGCCAATTTAGAGAGTTGGGTTTCAATCCAAGTTCCATGAAGAACCACTGAAGTGTTTTAAGTAGGGACAAGATAGGATTATTTATATTTTCTGCTTTGGCTGCCATGGACATTAGAGGAGTCAAAATATCAAAGGCTAGCTATGAGGCTACTGCAATAATCCAGATGAAAGGGGATGACAATAGCACTGAGCAAAGGCTGGAAGGCCTGGAGAGTTGAGTCCTGGATAAACAAGTCTTAGGAAGGAATAGAGTGCTTGCCTTCTCATCTCCAAGGAGCCTGGATGTGAAAGAGGGACTTACTAGACTTACCCTCAGTCTTGCCCAGGAAAGAATAAGTAGCAGTGGCAGGAAGCTATTGAGGAGGAGGTTCCACTCAACACACAGAACTTCCAAGCAGGCAGGCATATCTGCTCACAGCTTGGGCTTCCTGGAGAGCAGGAAGTGTCCTAAGACTGGAGATCTTCACCCACAGCCTGGATCCTGCCTTCCAAAGCATATTGTAGGTTGGGGCTTCCAAAATCTTATTCTACAGCCTTACAAAATCAAGAAATGCTCTGGGAGCAAACAGTTCCGTAGTCAATTAAACATGAGACATATGGTATGCACTGTACCTGTGGTGGGTCACCTCATGCCTGATCACGTTCATCAACAGCACTGAGAAGTCCTGCTGCTAAGAAATTAACTCAGCAAAGTTTAAGCCACCATTTTTCAAACTTATTTGGCCATGGAACTCTGTGTGTACCTGCCTGTTAATATTCTGTGAAACTAGTGGTCCCTGGAACATCCTTTACGGAACATTACTGTAGAGAATTTATATGTAAGTTGAAGGGTGGATTCTAACATTTCTCCCAAGCCTACAGTCTGATGTTCTGTATTAGGTCTCATTGATTCTTACAGTTTCCTTTCGCAAGTCAGATATTTCTGATAGGAGAGGAGTTCCAGTGTGGAGAATCGTAATGCATGTAAACAGTGTTGTCTGTGGATTTAAACCTTATTCTCACATTGACTAGGTCAGTGTTTTGAGTACTCTTTAATCTCTGAATATCTGTTTCCTCATTTGTAAAATGGGAAAAATATTAGTACCAACCACAAAAGTTGTGGGAATGCTTAAATTAAATTAAAGGACAGCAAGCATTCAATTATCGGCAGCATAAAATCAGGAAGGCATAGCCCTGGGGGTTACCATTACCTAGTAAACCAGGCCAGTGATTTTGAAAATACAGCATGCATACCCACATCAGCACCAGCATCCTTTGGAGGACATGTTACAGTACAGGATGCTAGGCCCTCACCAAGACCTTCTGATACAATGGACCTGAGGTGGGGCCTGAGAATTTGCACTTCTAACAAATTCCCAGATGATGTTGATGCTGCTGCTGGTCCAGGGACCATACTTTGAGAACCACTGGACTAGATGGGTGCTCAAAATATCTGCAAACTCCTTTCCACTCTGGCCTACAGGATCAGGCTTAATTTATAGGTTAGTGAGACAAACCCAGAATGACTTTATTGTTATGTAATTTCCTTCTTGGGGCCCAAGCTTGTCTCTAAAAGAGAGCCCCTTCCCCACCCCACAGGTGCATTAGTGTGTATTGGGGAAGGATACAGGAAGTGCGAACACATTCTGGAGGGGGAGGATCATGCTGGCCTGCACATGGTGAGGCCCCTGTGGTACAGATGCGCTGAATCAAAGACCTGTCTCCCATTTTCCCTCCAGGCCTGGCTTGGCTCCTGGAGAGGCAATTAAACTTTGGTTCCATTTTGAGCCTTTTTCCACCCAGTTAGGAGCCTCTCTGGAGGATTTTCCTCCTTTCTGGGAGCTCCTGAAAAGACAAGCCCTTTTCTTTGGCTTGTCTCCATTATTCCCAGGGGTTTATGCATTGAATTTTTTTTTTAATACCCACCCTTTATTTGTGGATTCAAAGTGGTTTTGCAAGTTCTGACACTTTTCCTGGTACCATGTTGAAGACAGAGGCTGAGGAGATGATCTGAGGGGATGCAGTATTTATGAACTATGATATTTTCTAAAAACACCTGGCATTTATATGAACTAGGGTTTTTAATAAGGTAACCTCTCTGAGTTTGGCATTCAAATAGAAAACATGCGTATTGTGCTTTCCTTGCATGTGAGGAATCTCGTTGAAAGTACCCAGCACTCAGATAGTGTTTTTGTAAACAGTGATGATTTTAGTCTATGGTGAATCCTAAATTAGACACAACATATGCGATATTGCAATATTTAATAATTTCCCTCTGTTTATTTTCGTTCAAGGAGTTTAATAAATGGGAATGTCATCTTTGTATCACATCACCCCGAAGGACTTTGCTGTGACAGTTGTAATGTGGTGCCCGGAAGGGTGAAGGAACCACATAAAGTGCCCAGAGCAGATGGCTGATGGCCGGCTCCTCACTGGTGCATGCCCAGTCTCCCCAGCCCCCAAGTCCCTCCCCGCTAGCTGGATTCCTGTCCTACCATAGGAGACTTGGAGCTTCCAACAACATGCTAATATTTTCTTTTTAAATAAAAACGTCACTTTTCTGGAAGGCCTAATATAAACAGCTTCTACTCTTAAGTCTCCAAGAAGAGATGCTGGAAGAATGGTTTCTTCAAAGGCAAAAGAATCGCAAAAGGGTTTATACAGCAACTGTATGTAAACTTGGGCAAGTTGTTTAGACTCTCCACCTTCGTTTCCTCACCTGTTAAGTGGGTGGTGGTTGCAGTGGGGTTGCTCACAGAGAATACTTTCCTGCTGGGTCTCCTGAGAGGGATGAAATGAGATGTTGTCTGTGATGTGTCCAGAACACAGTGGAAGCTCAGAAAATGGTAACTTCTTTCCTTGGCATTTCATTTGGTTTCTCATTTCCTCACCATCCTCTCATGTGCTCTGAAATCATGGCCAGAGTTTTCATAAATGGTTTTCCTGCCTAGTTTTAAGAAACAGCTTCTTTTCTGAGCTTTGAAGTTCCCAAGAGACACACAATCCTCTAGCAAACCTCATTCACTAAGACTCATCCATATGAGTCATGGATTTTCTCTCTAGGACCTGAGCATGGTGAGTTCATTTCAACATCATCTTAATCCCATGTAACTAACAGCGGTAGAATCAATAAAACCCACGTGTAATGGGAAGACCACAAATCTATTTACCTGTTTGAATCAGGCAAGTACCTACCCTGTTGGTGCTCTCATTAAACTGGGAAAACACTTTCCACACCTGGAAATATGAACTGGAAATCTCATCATGAAAGATTTTCTCAATAAATCCCAGGCGTCACTACATTGTGATTCTCAGGAAAATTTGACCCTTCTTTGTTTTGGTCTGGACTAGAGTCAAAAGCATCTCATAAATGAAAAATCATTTTCAGAAGGCCTGAAAATGTAGGGCCATTCATTCCAATTGCCACTGGATCCTTTTCATTGTGCTAGCTTCTTTATCGGTAGCATTTTCTTAAAAAAAAAAATCAATGCTCAACTGACATGAGGCCAAGTTGGTTGACTATGGGAAAAGAAAGTATTGTGTGAAAGAAGAGATTACAGTCGTTGAGAGCTGAAAAAAGTGTAGGAACTGAAAATCAAGAAAACGGCCTGGAAATTATGCTTGTCTATTTTTTTTAAAGACAGGAATGAATGAGTTTTCCAGGCCCTTGAGTTTAATTAAAGTCAAAGGAATATTTCAAAGGTGAGTCAGAAAAACAGCAGGCGAGACATTGCAGTGGCCGGGATAAGAGACTATGGAGAGTGTTGTGGATAGACAAAGCCAGAAACAAGGAAAGGAATGGACAGGAAAGCAGGTGGAAACAGAGGGGCAGGGTGGGGGAAGAGGGAAGCAGAGAAGAGGGAAGGGGAGAGGAGGAGTGAGAGGAAGAGTTTAAAATGTTTTCATATATAATATTAATATATTTTTCTTCACACCAATGCAATCATAAAATATATTTTTAATGGACAAAGGGGCCCCTTATTAAGCTGATTGCTTCCTACCTCAAACCAACCCACACCCCATCTGCTTCCTCAGGACCATGGGCCTCTGTGAGAGACCAAAACCGGTACCAGACAGACTACTCCAGTGGTTCAGAGCCACTTGGCCCTCCAACTGCAAAACTTGAATCCATTTTAAAAGCTTTACCACACATTCTTTATACAACGGCTTTGAGAAATTCCATAATAGGCTAAAAAAATTGCTTTTATCTACTGATGCTTATAACCCGTCTTGCAAAATGACTCAACCTTTCTCTCGGGAGTAATTTATCCTCCAACCTTTTATCCCTGATAAATTAACCATTTTAATCAAACTATCTAGCTTGAGCATTTTGGGTTGCTGTGTTTTTTTAAAAAAGCAGAGGGAGGGGTGGGGGAGGACCAACCAACAAACCAGATGTGGTTGTCTCCAGTTTCAGTTGTTAATGTACAATAAGTTGCAGGTTTCTTATAGTTTCTCGGGGGTAAATCACAAACAAGAATTAGCACATCACCAGCCCAGCTTCCTCTCCCCAGCCTGTCTGTTTAAAGTTAAAGTGAACGACGGATTCAAATATCAAAGGCATATTGCCCCTAAATGAGCCAATCAGCTCCACATACAGCTGGAAACAAGAGCAGGGGATCATGTTTTTCGATCAATGGACAACTCTTTGAAAGTTTTAATTATACATGGTAACCGTTTATTTTAAGCTAAATAATTTTTGCCACTTCTATGTGGGTGACACACACTGCATGTCACCCAGCCTAATCTCTGTCTCAGTCTGCAACGGGTGGTATAAAAATTATATGGATACTATGTTCTAGCTTCTTTTCTGTCATTGTGTCCATCTTTTAAGGGAATGGCAAATGCTTGCTATATAATTGTTTGAAGAAATCAATTTTCTGAGAAAGAAATCTGTCTGGGTTGACCTGACAAGACAGATTAGAATTGGTGCCCTTGGAGTTGGCAATCTTGTTACTCATCTATGAGGACTGTTTTCCAGGGAAGAGGTGGGCAGTTTGAGATTGGTTTCAGGCATCAGTTGTGGGGAGAAACAAGTTTGTTATCTGTTCCTGTCAGGGAGATGATGGCCTGGATCCCAGGGGTTCAGGCTCTGGAGATCACTGCAATGAATCAGTTGTGAGGCAAGCCCTTGAAGCTTCTGCTCTGTGTGATGCAATCTTCCTCACCCATTTGATCTCCCACCCCCAAGTGATAAATCGCTTCCTCACATGGGGAGATATAGTGGACAGTGTGGATTTGTTGGGCCAGAACACAATCACCCTTAGGAAATCCCTCCTCCTTCCCTCTATCCATGTGCTCTACCCCTTCTCCCTACAGGATGAGGTGTGATGACCGGCCCAGTCATGGTCAAGAGCCATCCCTCAGGTGAACTTCTAAGTGGGATTCAAGGTGTAGCAAGCCTATCCTTCCACAGGACTCCTGTATCCTTTGGAATCAAGCCCAGGATTGGAAATCGGGGATACAGCTAGTGAGGAGATGTAGCCCAGCCTTTGAGAACAGACACACCTACCATTCAAGCAGTTGAGTGACATTGTGCAAATTACTCAACACTCTGAGCCTCACTAATCCTATAAGTCAAATGGGGACAATATCTGCCTGGCAAGGCTTTCTTTTTGAGATGGAGTCTCGCTCTGTCACCCAGGCTGGAGTGCAGTGGCATGATCTCGGCTCACTGCCAGCTCCGCCTCCGGGGTTCTCGCCATTCTCCTGCCTCAGCCTCCCAAGTAGCTGGGACTACAGGTGCCCACAACCACGCCTGGCTAACTTTTGTATTTTTAGTAGAGACGGGGTTTCACCATGTTAACCAGGATGGTCTCAATCTCCTGACCTCGTGATCCGCCCGCCTCGGCCTCCCAAAGTGCTAGGATTACAGGTGTGAGCCACCACGCCCAACCCTGGCAAGGCTTTTTTAAGAACCAAGTTACTGCATGTAAAGTTCTGGAAATACTGCAGTTAGAAAAAATTAATAAATGCAGATATAGTCATATACCAAATTAGTAAGCCTCCTCAGTCAGTGATGGTAAAATGGGGTCACGTTTATGTTTAACTCCCAAATGTCCAGGATCCTAATTCTGAGTACTGTGTTGATTCTACCTTTCCAAATACCCTAAAATTTTCTCTGAATTTCCCTAATTGCTCTCTCCTGTGTGTTCACAAAATGATCTGAGAACAACTCCAGTTGGGATCCTCATCAGGTAGAATCCACTACATTTTTCTCTCTTTCATTGTCACTGCCAAGGGTGCCCCTTCTTAGGTGACCAGAGTCCAGGCCAGGGATATTGTCCCTGATGTTCTCTTTATCATTGCTCCCTAGGGTGACCCAGTGATGCTGGGTCCTGGAGGCAGTGAGGAACTACCTGGGCCTCCGATTCATTTCTTATTTCCTAAAGCAACTCAGCAAACTCCAAAGAATCAGCAGCATTCAAGAATAATCCCATCTCCATTATTCTTCACCCTTCAGAAAACAGAATCTGCCCAACATGACTGAATAACACCAGCTCTAGAGATAGACAACATCTTCAAATTTGTGGCCATTTCTCTCTACACTCAACAAAACCTCCATGGCAGCCTCACATGTCAGAAACCTGAGACTCAGTCTCGGTCAGGTCACACATGGTATTTGAGCCAGCTCTTCATTTATCAAAACAAACACAGAGTGTAGAACCCACCCACAACCAGTGACCACATGCTTGGAGGACAGAGAGATGGATGACATATGGGTTTGCAGAGGTCAAGTGGCCTCCAAGGAAGAAGGTGAATATGATTTGTTGGAGAGCAAATAAATCAGCTTCTTCCCTCCTCCCTTTCTTACACATGTCATGTGATATATAGGTTTTTCTAACAATAAAAACAAATTATGATGATAACAAGGTCAAGGTATAGCATTTATTATAACTCAGTTTGGCTTTATAAGGAAATACAGGTATTAGGTCAATAAATAATTTGGGTATGTATTGAAATTATCATCAATTGATATTACATCTTAGTATTTAAAAATGTATAAAAATTCCTTTTTGTAATATCAAACTTTAGACACATGTAAATAATTAAGCCTCTGTTAATGTAGTGGGGTCAAAAGGTATGTGCTTTGGGAAACCTATTTAATTTTTACAAACAAAACACTAGCAATAAACACTAATACAATAATATATTAAAACTCCCTTGGAGTTATCTTTCCAGCCCTTCGAAGCTAACTTTGTGCTGTGGTTGAGAAAATCTGCCCACTAAATCTATCAGTAAATGGCTAGTTGTGTACCAGTAAGATTTCAATAAAATCTTGCATGAAATGGGTCTCACACTTACAGCAAAATGAATCTGAAACAATTAAGAAGGGATATAAGGTCCATGGTGCTATGAAAGGCTAATTTCAGGAGGCGGCAACCAGGCACCCAAGGAATATAAGGGACATTTCATGGAGCCCACCCCTTCCAGCCACAAATGGCTGCTCTGTGTAGATGCTGCTGAAGGTTCTCCACTCTAATGGTGAGCCCCAGACATTAATACCTCACCAAACAACAGTTTTTAATAAATTATTACTGCTTTTCCATTTTCTCTTAATTTTATTAGTCTTCCATATCCTTCTCTGCTAAATTAATACTTCTCTATTTGTTGTATTTCATCTCTATTGAGGATGTATGACTGCTGACTGCTTCACCATTTCAAATGAATGAAACTGGATTATGTCTGTTTCCTTAATTACCCCTAATTTTAGTAGAGAGGTGGCCTCCAGAATGCCCTCCAGTGCTGTATGATAAGGGAAGAAAGCTCTGAGAACTGAGTCTGGAAATCTGACCAGGCCTACTGAGCAGGGGAAGGCTGAAAGTGCCCAGGTAACTTTTTCCTGAAAGGGTCTAGGGTGAGGACAGAGTGGTGGAGAGAAATGCAGCAAGTCTGGAAGAAACCAGATGTCCTCACTGACCAACTCAGTTCAGAGAAATTATTTAGTAAAAGTAATTTAGGAAAAGAAGCAATAAAAGTTCTATTAATATTTTGATGTGAAGGGTCTATTGTGTTTATTGTTGTTTCAAACTTTTATTTTGAAATAATATAGATTCACATGTAGTTGTAAGAAATAATACAGAGTTCTTTTAGTACCCTTTGCCCAGTTTCCTCCACTGGCAACATCTTGCAAAACATCAGTACAAAAAAGCAGGATACTGCCATTGATACAGTCTAGATGCAGAATACTTACATCACTACAAGGATCCCTCACATTGTCCTTTTTCTAGCCTCACTTCCTTCTTTGCTGTTCCCTGGAAACTACTAATCTGTTCTCCATTTCTATCATTTTGTCATTTTATGAATGTTATAAAAATGGAGTCATACAATTTGTAACCTTTTGAGATTGGCTTTTTTTTTCTCTTCCACTCAGCATAATTCTCTGGGGAGTCATCCAAGTTCTGTGTGTTGATAGTTAATTCCTTTTAATTGCTGGTATGATATGGATATGCCATAATTTGTTTAAACCATTGAAGGACATTGGGGTTGTTTCCAGTTTGGGATTTTTACTGTGAATAAGAATGCTATAAACATTCATGCACAGGTTTTAGTGTCAACATAAGTTTTGATTATTCTGGGATAAAAGCCCAGGAGTACAATTGCTGGGTCAATGGTGGTTACATGTTTAGTTTCTAAAAAAACTGCTGTTTTCCAGGTGGCAGTAACATTTTACATTCCCTCCAGTAGTTTATGTGTGACTCAATTTCTCTATATCTTCAACAGCATTTGATTTCGGCATTATTTTTTATTTTGCTGATTCTCATAGGTATGTTGTGATATTTCATTGTGGTTTTGTGTTTTCCTTATGGAGAATGATGCTGACCACTGTTTTATGGGCTTATGTGACATTTGTATATATTCTTCAATATAGTGTCTTTGCATATATTTTGCCCATTATCTAATTGAATTGTATGTTTTTAGCATTTTTAAAATATTCTAGATGCCAGTCATTTAGTGGGTATGTAGAGTGGAAGTATTTTCTCCAAATCCATACCTTGTATTTTCATTATTTTAAGAGGGTCTTTTGAAGAAAGAAAGTTAAAAATTTTGGTGAAGCTCAATTTATCAATATTTTCCTTTTATATATTATGCTTTCAGTGTTCGATCTAAAAACATTTTGCCTAGTCCTCGATCTTGAAGATTTTCTTTTATGCTTCTATTCTGAAAGTTTTACAGTTTTACATTTTATGTTTAAGTCTGTGATCCATTTTGAATAAACTTTCGCATAATGTGTGTGGTTTACATCAAGGTTTTGTTTCTGTTTTTTGCCTGTGGATATTCAATTGCTCCAGTACCATTTGTTGACAAGGCTATTGCTCCTACACTGAATTGCATTTACATCTTTCTTAAAAATGATCAAGTTGTACTTATATGGTTCTATTTCTGGGTTCTTTATTCTGTTCCATTGATCTATATGTTTATTCCTTTACGAATACTACCAGTCTTGATTCCTATATCTGTATAATAAGTTTTGAAATTGAGTAGACTGATACCTCCTACTGTATTCTACCTTCTCAAAATTGTTTTGGATATTCTAGCTCCTTTGCCTTTTCATGTAAATATTAGAGTAACATTGTCTATATCTACAAGAAATCTTGTCGGGATTTTGAATTAAACTTAACATTAAATGGAGGTGGAGCCAAGATGGCCGAATAGGAATGGCTCCAGTCTACAGCTCCCAGCGTAAGCGCTGCAGAAGATGGGTGATTTCTGCATTTCCAACTGAGGTACCAGGTTCATCTCACTGGGGAGTGCTGGACAGTGGGTGCAGAACAGTGGGTGCAGCGTACCATGCGTGAGCTGAAGCAGGGCGAGGCATCGCCTCACCCAGGAAGCACAAGGGGTCAGAGAATTCTCTTTCTAGTCAAAGAAAGGGGTGACAGATGGAACCTGGAAAATCGGGTCACTCCCACCCTAATACTGTGCTTTTCCAATGGGCTTTACAAATGGCACACCAGGAGATTATATCACGCACCTGCTTCAGAGGGTCCTACACCCACGGAGCCTCACTCATTGAAAGCACAGCAGCCTGAGATCAAACTGCAAGGCAGCAGAGAGGCTGGGGGAGGGGCGCCAACCATTGCTCAGGCTTGAGTAGGTAAACAAAGCGGCCGGGAAGCTCGAACTGGGTGGAGCCCACCATAGCTCAAGGAGGCCTGCCTGCCTCTGTACGCTCCACCTCTGGGGGCAGGGAACAGACAAACAAAAGGCAGCAGAATCCTCTGCAGACTTAAATGTCCCTGTCTGACAGCTTTGAAGAGAGCAGTGATTCTCCCAGCACTCAGCTTGAGATCTGAGAATGGGCAGACTGCCTCCTCAAGTGGGTCCCTGACCCCCGAGTAGCCTAACTGGGAGGCACCCACCAGTAGGGGCAGACTGACACCTCACACAGCTGGGTACTCCTCTGAGACAAAACTTCCAGAGGAATAATCAGGCAGCAGCATTTGCGGTTCACCAATATTCGCTGTTCTGCAGCCACCGCTGCTGATACCCAGGCAAACAGGGTCTGGAGTGGACCTCCAGCAAACTCCAACAGACCTGCAGCTGAGGGTCCTGACTGTTAGAAGGAAAACTAACAAACAGAAAGGACATCCACACCAAAAACTCATCTGTACGTCACCATCAACAAAGACCAAAGGTAGATAAAATCACAAAGATGGGGAAAAAACAGAGCAGAAAAACTGGAAACTCTAAAAATCAGAGCACCTCTCCTCCTCCAAAGGAACGCAGCTCCTCACCAGCAATGGAACAAAGCTGGACAGAGAATGACTTTGACGAGTTGAGAGAAGAAGGCTTCAGAAGATAAACTACTTCAAGCTAAAGGTGGAAGTTTGAACCCACAGCAAAGAAGTTAAAAACCTTGAAAAAAAAATTAGACAAATGGCTAACTAGAATAACCAATGCAGAGAAGTCCTCAAAGGACCTGATGGAGCTGAAAACCATGGCACGAGAACTACGTGATGAATGCACAAGCCTCAGTAGCCAATGAGGTCAACTGGAAGAAAGGGTATCAGCGATGGAAGACGAAATGAATGAAATGAAGCGAGAATAGAAGTTTAGAGAAAAGAGAATAAAAAGAAATGAACAAAGCCTCCAAGAAATATGGCACTATGTGAAAAGAGCCAATCTACGTCTGATTGGTGTACCTGAAAGTGATGGGGAGAATGGAACCAAGTTGGAAAACACTCTGCAGGATATTATCCAGGAGAACTTCCCCAATCTAGCAAGGCAGGTAAACATTCACATTCAGGAAATACAGAGAACACCACAAAGATACTCCTCGAGAAGAGCAACTCCAAGACACATAATTGTTAGATTCCCCAAAGTTAAAATGAAGGAAAAAATGTTAAGGGCAGCCAGAGAGAAAGGTCGGGTTACCCTCAAAGGGAAGCCCATCAGACTAACAGCTGAGCTCTCTGCAGAAACTCTACAAGACAGAAGAGAGTGGGGGCCAATATTCAACATTCTTATAGAAAAGAATTTTCAACCCAGAATTTCATATCCAGCCAAACTAAGCTTCAGAAGTGAAGGAGAAATAAAATCCTTTACAGACAAGCAAATGCTGAGAGATTTTGTCACCACCAGGCCTGCCTTACAAGAGCTCCTGAGGGAAGCACTAAACATGGAAAGGAACAACCGGTACCAGCCACTGCAAAAACATGCCAAATTGTAAAGACCATGGAGGCTAGGAAGAAACTGCATCAACTAACAAGGAAAATAACCAGCTAACATCAAAATGACAGGATCAAATTCACATATAACAATATTAACCTTAAATGTAAATGGGCTAAATGCTCCAATTAAAAGACACAGACTGGCAAATTGGATAGAGTCAAGACCCATGAGTGTGCTGTATTCAGGAAACCCATCTCACCTGCAGAGACACACATAGGCTCAAAATAAAGGGATGGAGGAAGATCTACCAAGCAAATGGAAAACAAAAAAAGGCAGAGGTTGCAATCCTAGTCTCTGATAAAACAGACTTTAAACCAACAAAGATCAAAAGAGACAAAGAAGGCCATTACATAATGGTAAAGGGATCAATTCAACAAGAAGAGCTAACTATCCTAAATATATATGCACCCAATACAGGAGCACCCAGATTCATAAAGCAAGTCCTTAGAGACCTAGAAAGAGACTTAGACTCCCACACAATAATAATGGGAGACTTTAACACCCCACTGTCAACACTGGACAGATCAATGAGACAGAAAGTTAACAAGGATATCCAGGAATTGAACTCAGCTCTGCACCAAGCAGACCTAACAGACATCTACAGAACTCTCCACCCCAAATCAACAGAATATACATTTTTTTTCAGCACCACACCACACCTATTCCAAAATTGACCACAGTTGGAAGTAAAGCACCCCTCAGCAAATGTAAAAGAACAGAAATTATAACAAACTGTCTCTCAGACAACAGTGCAATCAAACTAGAACTCAGGATTAAGAAACTCACTCAAAACCACTCAACTACATGGAAACTGAACAACCTGCTCCTGAATGACTACTGGGTACATGATGAAATGAAGGCAGAAATAAAGATGTTCTTTGAAACCAATGAGAACAAAGACACAACATACCAGAATCTCTGGGACACATTCAAAGCAGTGTGTAGAGGGAAATTTATAGCACTAAGTGCCCACAACAGAAAGCAGGAAGGATCTAAAATTGACACCCTAACATCACAATTAAAAGAACTAGAGAAGCAAGAGCAAACACATTCAAAAGCTAGCAGAAGGCAAGAAATAACTAAGATCAGAGCAGAACTGAAGGAGATAGAGACACAAAAAACCCTTCAAAAAACCAATGAATCCAGAAGGTGGTTTTTTGAAAAGATCAACAAAAATGATAGACCACTAGCAAGACTAGTAAAGAAGAAAAGAGAGAAGAATCAAATAGATGCAATAAAAAAGATAAAGGGGATATCACCACTGATCCCACAGAAATACAAACTACCATCAGAGAATACTATAAACACCTCTACGCAAAAACTAGAAAATCTAGAAGAAATGGATAAATTCCTTGACACATACACCCTCCCAGGACTAAACTAGGAAGAAGTTGAATCTCCGAATAGACCAATAACAGGCTCTGAAATTGTGGCAATAATAGCTTACCAACCAAAAAAAGTCCAGGACCAGATGGATTCACAGCTGAATCCTACCAGAGGTACAAGGAGGAGCAGGTGCCATTCCTTCTGAAACTATTCCAATCAACAGAAAAAGAGGGAATCCTCCCTAACTCATTTTATGAAGCCAGCATAATCCTGATACCAAAGCCTGGCAGAGACACAACAAAAAAAGAGAATTTTAGACCAATATCCTTGATGAACATTGATGAAAAAATCCTCAATAAAATACTGGCAAACTGAATCCAGCAGCACATCAAAAAGCTTATCCACCATGATCAAGTGGGCTTCATCCCTGAGATGCAAGGCTGGTGCAACATATGAAAATCAATAATTGTAATTCAGCAGATAAACTGAACCAAAGACAAAAACCACATGACTACCTCAATACATGCAGAAAAGGCCTTTGACAAAATTCAGCAACACTTCATGCTAAAAACTCTCAATAAATTAGGTATTGATGGGACATATCTCAAAATAATAAGAGCTATCTATGACAAACCCACAGCCAATATCATACTGAATGGGCAAAAACTGGAAGCATTCCCTTTGAAAACTGGCACAAGACAGGGATGCCCTCTCTCACCACTCCTATTCAACATAGTGTTGGGAAGTTCTGGCCAGGGCAATTAGGCAGAAGGAAATAAAGGGCATTCAATTAGGAAAATAGGAAGTCAAATTGTCCCTGTTTGCAGATGACATGATTGTATATCTAGAAAACCCCACTGTCTCAGCCCAAAATCTCCTTAAGATGATAGGCAACTTCAGCAAAGTCTCAGGATACAAAATCAATGTGCAAAAATCACAAGCATTCTTGTACACCAATAACAGACAAACAGAGAGCCAAATCATGAGTGAACTCCCATTCATAATTGCTTCAAAGAGAATGAAATACCTAGGAGTCCAACTTACAAGGGACATGAAGGACCTCTTCAAGGAGAACTACAAACCACTGCTGAATGAAATAAAAGAGGATACAAGCAAATGGAAGAACATTCCATGCTCATGGGTAGGAAGAATCAGTATCATGAAAATGGCCATTCTGCCCAAGGTAATTTATAGATTCAATGCCATCCCCATCAAGCTACCAATGACTTTCTTCACAGAATTGGAAAAAACCACCTTAAAGTTCATATGGAACCAAAAAAGAGCCCGCATTGCGAAGTCAATCC
Source organism: Homo sapiens (assembly GCF_000001405.40). NCBI lineage: Eukaryota > Metazoa > Chordata > Mammalia > Primates > Hominidae > Homo > Homo sapiens. The sequence goes on from NC_000003.12 coordinate 55,213,808, forward strand.
TAAGCCAAAAGAACAAAGCTGGAGGCATCACACTACCTGACTTCAAACTATACTACAAGGCTACAGTAACCAAAACAGTGTGGTACTGGTACCAAAACAGAGATATAGACCAATGGAACAGAACAGAGCCCTCAGAAATAATGCTGCATATCTACAACTATCTGATCTTTGACAAACCTGAGAAAAACAAGCAATGGGGAAAGGATTCCCTATTTAATAAATGGTGCTGGGAAAACTGGCTAGCCATATGTAGAAAGCTGAAACTGGATCCCTTCCTTACACCTTATACCAAAATTAATTCAAGATGGATTAAAGACTTAAATGTTAGACCTAAAACCATAAAAACCCTAGAAGAAAACCTAGGCAATACCATTCAGGACATAGGCACGGGCAAGGACTTCATGTCCAAAACACCAAAAGCAATGGCAACAAAAGCCAAAATTGACAAATGGGATGTAATTAAACTAAAGAGCTTCTGCACAGCAAAAGAAACTACCATCAGAGTGAACAGGCAGCCTACAGAATCGGAGAAAATTTTTGCAACCTACTCATCTGACAAAGGGCTAATATCCAGAATCTACAATGAACTCAAACAAATTTACAAGAAAAAAACAAACAACTTCATCAAAAAGTGGGCAAAGGATATGAACAGACACTTCTCAAAAGAAGACATTTATGCAGCCAAAAGACACATGAAAAAATGCTCATCATCACTGGCCCTTAGAGAAATGCAAATCAAAACCACAATGAGATACCATCTCACACCAGTTAGAATGGCGATCATTAAAAAGTCAGGAAACAACAGGTGCTGGAGAGGATGTGGAGAAATAGGAACACTTTTACACTGTGTGTGGGACTGTAGACTAGTTCAACCATTGTGGAAGTCAGTGTGGCGATTCCTCAGGGATCTAAAACTAGAAATGCCATTTGACCCAGCCATGCCATTACTGGGTATATACCCAAAGGATTATAAATCATGCTGCTATAAAGACACATGTACACGAATGTTTATTGTGGCACTATTCACAATAGCAAAGACTTGGAACCAAGCCAAATGTCCAACAATGATAGACTGAATTAAGAAAATGTGGCACATATACACCATGGAATACTATGCAGCCATAAAAAATGATGAGTTCATGTCCTTTGTAGGGACATGGATGAAGCTGGAAACCATCACTCTCAGCAAACTATTGCAAGGACAAAAAACCAAACACCACATGTTCTCACTCATAGGTGGGAATTGAACAATGAGAACACATGGACACAGGAAGGGGAACATCACACACCGGGGACAGTTGTGGGGTGGGGGGAGGGGGGAGGGATAGCATTAGGAGATATACCTAACGCTAAATGACGAGTTAATGGGTGCAGCACACCAGCATGGCACATGTATACATACGTAACAAACCTGTACGTTGTGCACATGTACCCTAAAACTTAAAGTATAATAATAATAAAATTTAAAAAAAACATTAAACATATTTAAATTCATTAAATATGAATTAAACATGCATATAACTTTGGAGAGTATTGACATTTTCACTATTTAGTTTTTCAATTCATGAGCATGATCTGTCTCCTCTTTTATTTGAAATTTTTTTGGTTTATTTCATCAGTGTTTTTTAGTTCATTGATTTCTGCTGTTATCTATATTATTTCTCTGTTTCTGTTTGCTCTGGGTTGTTTTGCTCTTCATTTTTTACATTTGGGAGTTTAAATTGTTTACAGTTTTCTTGTTTTCTAAATTAAGTATTTAGTTCTATAAATTTTCTTCTCAGCACTGTTTTAGCTGTGATATACAAATTTTGATGTGCTGTGTTTTCATTTTTATTTAATGTTTTAAAAAAATTCCCTTGAGACTTCCTCTTTGACCCATGAATTATTTGAAGCAAGTTGGTTAGTCTCCAAGTGTTTGGAGATTTTCCTGTTATCCTTCTGTTATTGATTTTTAGTTTTATTCCATTGTGGCCAGAAAATAAACTATGTATTGTTTCAATTATCTTAAAATTGTTAAAGCTTGTTTTATCTTCCACAGTGTGATGTATCTTGGTATATATTCCATAGGTGCTTAAAAAGAATGTGTATTCTACTGTTAATGGGTGTTCTACACATGTCAATTAGATCTTATTAACTGATTGTTGCTGAATTCTTCTGTATCTCTGCTGATTTTTGGTCTAGTGTTCTATTAAATGCTGACAGAGGAAGTGTTGAAGTTTCCAGCTATAATTGTAGATTTGTCTGTTTCTTCTTTCATCTCTATCAGTTTCTTGCTCACGTATTGCAGCTACGTTGTTTGGTGGATGCACAATTAGAATTGCTATGTCTTCTTTGTGGGCTGACTCTTTTATTATTATGTAACATTCTTCTTTGTCTCTGGTAATTTTCTTTGCCCTGAAGGCTACTTTATCAGATATTAATATCTGATAAGTACTCTATCAGATATTAATAGAATTGAAGAAGCTACTTCTGCTTCTTTTGATAAATGTTTTCATAATATCTTTTTCCATCCTTTTAATTTCAACCTACTTAGATTGCTATGTTTGAAGTTTTTTCTAGAGAGCATATAATTGGGTCATAATTTTTCATTTTAAATTTTAAGATGATAATAATATATATATTTGTGGAGTATGTGATATTTTGATACATACAGATAATGTGTAATAATACAACTAGGATAATTGACATATTCATTATCTCAAATACTATTTTTTTTTTTTTTGAGGTGGAGTTTCACTCTTGTTGCCCAGGCTGGAGTGCAATGGTGTGATCTTGGCTCACAGTAACCTCCGCCTCCTGGGTCCAAGCCATTCTCCTGCCTCAGCCTCCCGAGTAGCTGAGATTACAGGCATGAACCACCAGGCCCGGCTAATTTTGTATTTTTGGTAGAGATAGGGTTTCTCCATGTTGGTCAGGCTGGTCTCGAACTCCTGACCTCAGGTGATCTGCCTGCCTCGGCCTCCCAAAGTGCTGGGATTACAGGTGTGAGTCACTGCACTCAGCCTCAAATAATATTTCTTTGTGTGAAAACATTAAAAATTCTCTTCTAGCTATTCTGAATTATAAATTATTGTTAACTGTAGTCACCCTGCTGTGCTACAGAACACTAGAACTTTTCCTCCTAACTGCTATTTTGAACCCATTAATCAAGCCCTCCCTACACCTACTTATCCCCCTACACTTTCCAGCTTCTTATAACTACTCTTTCACTCTATACTTCTATGAGATCAACCCCTTTTGGCTCCCACATATGTTAGAACACGTGGTATTTGTCTTTCTGTGCCTAGTTTATTTCACTTTACATAATGTCCTTCAGGCTCATCCATGTTACCACAAATGACAAGATTTCATTCTTTCTTATGGTTGGATAATATTCCATTGTGTATACATACCACATTTTATTTGTTTGTTGTTCTATTGATGGGCAACTAAACATGGAGGGCCAGATATGTTTTTGATATACTGATATCCTCTCCTTTGGATATATGCCCAGTGGTAGAATTGCTGGATGATATGGTATTTATATTTTTGGTTGCTTGAGTAACTTCCATACTGTTTTCCATAATGGTTGTACTAGTTTACATTCCCATTAGTGGTGTATAAGACTTCTGCTTTCTCTTCATCACCAGCACTTGTAAACTTTTATGTTTTCATAATAGTCATTTTAACTGGGATGCTATGATATCTCATTGTGGTGTTGATTCACATTTCCATGATAGTTAGTGATGTTGGGCATTTTTTCATATATTTGTTGTCATTTGTATGTCTTCTTTGAGAAATATCTATTCATATCATTTGTCTGTTTTAAAATTGGATTATTTATCTTTTTGTTGTTGAGTTATTTGAGTTCCTTATACATTCTGGATATTAATCCCTTGTTGGATGGATAGTTTGTAAATATTTTCTCTCATCCTGTAGGTTGTCTCTTCACTTTGTTGTTTCCTTTGCCATGAAGAAGCATTTTAGTTTCACATAACCCCATTTGTCTATTTTTGCTTTTGATGCCTGTGCTTTTGAGATCTCATCTAGAAAGTCTTGGCCTAGACCAATGTCCTGAAGCATTTTCCTTATATTTTCTTCTTATAGTTTCATAGTTTGGGGTCCTACATTTAAGTCTTTAATCACATCAAGTTGATTTTTGTAATGGTGAGAAATAGGGATCTAGTTTCATTCTTCTGTTTATGAATATCCAGTTTACCCAGCCCCACTTATTGAAGAAACTGTCCTTTCTCCATTGTATGTTCTTGGTGCCTTTTTCAAAAATCATTTGCCTGTAAATATGTAAATTTATTTCTGGGTTCTCTATTCTGTTCAGTTGGGCTATGTATCTGTTTTTATACCAGTACCATGCTGTTTTGGTTACTATAGCTTTGTAGTATATTTTGTGTGTGGTGCCTACAGCTTTGTTCTTTTTGCTCAAAATCCTTTGTCTATTTGGGGTCTCTTCTGATTTCATATAAATTTTAGGATTGTTTTTTCTATTTCTGTGAAGAATATTATTGTTATTTTGACAGGGATTGCATTAAATACGTAGTTTTCTTTGGGTAGTATGGACATTTTAACAATATTAATTCTTCCAATCCATGACCATAGGATGGCTTTCAATTTCTGGCGTCCTCTTCAATTTCTTTCATCAGTGACTTATAGTTTTCACTAAACAGATCTTTCACCTCTTCGGTTAAATTTATACTTAGGTAATTTTTTTGCACCTGTTGTAAATGGGATTGCTTTCTTGATTTTTTTTTCAGATGGTTTGCAATTGGTGTATAGAAATGCTACTGACTTTTGTGTGTTGATTTTCTATTCTGCAGCTTTACTGAATTTGTTTATTCGGTCAAACAGATTTTGGTGGAGTCTTTAGGTTTTTCTAAACATAAGATTATGTTGTCTGCAAACAGGGACAAGTTGACTTCCTCATTTTCAATTTGAATACCCTTAATTTATTTCTCTTGCCTAATTGCTCTGAGTGGGAGTTTCAGTACTATATTAAACAGAAGTGGCAAAAGTGGGCATTCTGGTCTTCTTCCAGATCTTAGAGGAAAGGCTTTCAACATTTCCTCTTTCAGTATGATGTTAGCTGTGAGTTTGCCATTTGTGACTTTTATTGTTTTGAGGTACATTTGTTCTATGCTTAATTTGTTCAGTTTTTATCAAGATGTTGAATTTTATTAAATGTTTTTCCTGTGTCTATTGAGAAGATCATATGATTATTGTCCTTCATTCTGTTGATATGATCTATCACATTTATTGACTTATGTATGTTAAACCATCCTTCCATCTCTGGAATAAATCCTACTTGATCATGGTGTATAATCTTTTTGATGTGCTGTTGGATTTGATTTGCTAGTATTTTTTTTAGAACATTTGTGTCTATGTTCATCAGTGATATTGGCCTGTAGCTACCTTTGTTTGTCCTTTTCTGGTTTTGAGATCAGGGTAATGCTGGCCTCATAGAGTGTGCTTAGAAGAATTCCCTTCCCTTCATTTTTTGGAAAAGTTTGAGAAGAATTAATATTAATTCTAAAAGTTTGGTGGAATTCAGCAGTGAACTATCCAGTCCTGAACTTTTCTTTGTTGGGAGTCTTTTTATTACTGATTCAATCTCATAACTTGTTATTAGTCTGTTCACATTGTATGCATACAGGAATTTGTCCTTTTCTTCTATGTTTTCCAATTTTTTGCATATAGTTGTTCATAAGTCTCTAACAATCATTTGTATTTCTGTGGTATTGATTGTAAAGTCTCCTTTATAGTCTCTGATCTTATTTATTTAGGTCCACTTTTTTATCTTAGCCTACCTAAAGGTTTGTCAATCTTGCTTATCATTTAAGAAAACCAACTTTCATTTCACTGATCCTTTGGGGTTTTTTTAGCCTCTATTTTGTTTAGTTCTACTTTAATCTTTATTATATTTTCTCCTATTTATTTTGAGTTTGGTTTGTTCTTACTTTTTTCATTTCTTGAGCTGCATTGTTAGGTTGCTTATTTTCAATGCTTTTTTGATGTAGGCATTCATTGCTATGACTTCCCTCTTACGATTGCTTTTGCTATATCCCATAGGTCTTGGTATGCTATGTTTTCATTTTTATTTGTTTCAATAAATTATTTAACTTTCCTTCCTAATTTATTGCCCATTGGTTGTTCAGGAACATGCTGTTAAACTTCCATGTGTTCATATAGTTTCCAAAATTCCTTTTGTTACATATTTTTAGTTTATTCTACCCTGGTCAGAAAGGATACTTGATACAATTGATTTTTAAAAATTTGTTGAGACTTGCTCTGTGGCCTAACATATGTTCTATTCTGGAGAATGTTCCATGTGCTAATTAGTAGAATGTGTATTCTGCAGCTGTTGGATTAAATGTTCAGTAAATGTTGGTTAGGTCCATTTGGTCTAGAATGCAATTTAACTCTGATGCTTCTTTGTTGGTTTTCTGTCTGGATGATCTGTTGATTGCTGAAAGTGTGGGTGCTAAAGTCCCCTACTAATATTGTATTGCAATCTATCTCTCCCTTTAGATCTATTACTATTTGTTTTATATATTTGATGCTTCAGTGTTGGGTGCATATATATTTACAATTGTTGTATACTTTTGCTGAATCGACCCATTTATGATTATTATATAAATACCTTCTTTGTCTCTTTCTACAGTTTTTGACTTAAAGTCTATTTTATCTGATATAAATATAATTACTGCTATTCTCTTTTGGTTTCCGTTTGCATGAGGTATCTTTTTCCATCCCTTTAGTTTCAGTCTATGTGTGTCCTTCAGGTGAGGTGAGTCTCTTTTTGGCAGCATATACTTGGGTCTTGTTCTTTAATCATTCAGATGTGTTATCATTTTTAATCCACCCTGCCAATTTCTGTCTTTCAGTTCCTGTTTTGCAGGCCACTCACGTTTAATGTAATTATTGATATGTTAGAGTTTAAGTCTGCCATTTTTTGTTTTGTTTGTTCTGTTTTTCATTTCTCTTTTTTTAAAATGCCTTCCTGTGGATTAGTTGACATTTTAAAAATAACATGATGATTTATCTTTGTTTTAAAAGTAAATTTTTGTATAGATTTTGAGTGGTTTCCTGAAGTTTTACATTACATATACATAACTTATTACAATCATTGTAACAGTTCTAGTGGAATATGGAAACCCTACCCCCTTTACCTCCACATTTATAATAAAATTGTCTTAATGTAAAATAATTGTCTTAAATATTTCCCATACAAACATTTAGAACTGCATTGAATAGTATTAGAATTTTTGCTTTTCTGTCAAGCATAATTCACAAATCCAAGAGGAGAAGGAACATTTACCCATATTTTTACTCTTGCAGTTGTTCTTTCTTTTTTCTTCATGTTTGGAAACCTCTCTTATCATTTCCTTTCTGTTAAGAGAATTTCCTCTACTTATTATTTCAGGGTAGGTCTTTTTGGTGACAAAATTCTCTTAATGCTGGCTTCCTATGAAAATGACATGATGTCCTATCCATTCCTGGAAGAGTATTTTTGCGGATATATAAATCTATATTGGTATTTTTTTTTCCTCCAGCACTTGGAATATTTGGGGCCACATCCTTACATCCTCCATGGATTCTGATGAGAATTTACAGTCATTTAAATGGTTTTTACTCTGTAGGTAAGATGGTGTTTCTTTCTTGCAGCTTCTACAATTTTTTTATCTTAGTTTTCAGAAGTTTTATGTGTCTTGGATTTCTTTGGGTTTATTCTCTGTGAGATTCTCTTAATTTTTGAAACTGTAGGCATATGTCTTATGCCAAATTAGAAAGTTATCAATCATAATTTTTGGGACTATTTTTAAGTCTTGTTGTATTGTCTTGTCCTTCTGGGACTCTGATGACACAAACAGATCTTTTGTTATAGTCTCACAGGTTCCTGAAGTTCATTTGTTTTAAGCTTATTTTTTCTCCATTGTCCAGATTAAGTAACTTACATTGTTCTACTCTTAAGTTTGCTGATTCTTTCCTCTGTGCCCGCTAGTTTGCTATTAAGCCCATCTGTTGAAATTTTTGTTGTTTGAAAATTTCAGTTATTGTATTTTCCAGTTCCAGAAGTTCCATTTGGTTCTTCTTTGTATTTCTTTTCTGAGACTTTTCTATTTCTTCACTGTGACTTTTCATTTTACATTAAAAAAATTGTTTATCAACATTTGTAATTGCTCTTTGAAGCATTTTTATTATGACTGCTTTAAAATCCTTGTGAGATAATTCTAATACCTCTGTCATATTCATATCTCTATCTATTGATTGTCTTTCTTCATTACAGTTGAGATTTTCTCAGTTCTTAGTATGCTGAATAATATTTTATTGAAACAAGGTCATTTTTGGTATTATGATTCTGAACTTTATTTAAACCTTCTGTTTTAGCTGTGTGTGTGTGTGTGTGTGTGTGTGTGTGTGTGATGCCACTTCAGCAGAGGTACAAAGGGACTGTCTTCTTAGTGCAAGGTTGGGTAGGCATCAAGATTTCCCACTTAGCCTCTGTTGTCACCTGAGGAAGTAAAGTCCCCTTATGACTGCTCCTGGCTCCTCACCAGGCCTCTGCTGATACCACCCTGGTAGGAGGAACAGGAGTGCTTCACTACTGCTCCCCATGTGCCCTCCACTGACATTGTGGGAGAGTGACCTCTTTGCTGCTGAGTGATGGTGAATGTCCTGATTCTCCTCTAGGCCTTCTCTGATACCACTCTAGTGGAAAGGAGTAGAGGTGCTTCATTACAAGGTTTTCTTTGACATCATGGCAGGGAAGAAGGAAGGTGTCACTGGCAGGAGTTCTGGCTTCCTACTCAGTCTTCTCTGACTTTACTTCTGCAAGGGTGTTGAGGTGTCTTGTTACTTCCTGGTAAACATCTAGAGTCCCCACTCAGTCTTTCCTAGCAAGAGTGGAGTTGGGGTCTCTGTTTTTACTGTGATGTTTGGCTAGAGTAGAACAGTTATTGTCTTAAAGTATTCTGTCTTGGTAGGCTGGCTGTCCCTTTTGTGATATCTTGGTTAGAAAATGGGGCTTTTGTTTAGAATTTTTTAATTTTTTGGGGGCTGTGTCTATTGATTATTGATGTTTCCATGCTGCTGGTTTCTTCAGCTACAAGTCCAGGCTAAATGAGACAAAGAGAAAACCCAGGGAACTCACTGCCTTTTGAGACCCAAGGTCTCCAGCTGGTTTGTCTTCTTATCTTCACCTTATGCTTATTTTACATTCAGTTTTTATTTGACTTAATTGGGGAAATAATGAAAAGTATCTATTCTTTTTTCCTGGAAGTGAAAGTCTCCTGATTTGTTCTAAAATAAATATCTGCTTTGCCAAATGGAAGGGTCACTTAAATGCAGATGGTGAAACTAAATTGGAAAACAAAACCAAGTTGAATAAAAACTTAGCTATAAGATGATTTTGTAAACTTAAATGCTATGTCTCTAATTTCTCTAATTTTAACATGCAATGAAGGACTTACTTTTTATTTTATAATCTTTTTTTCTGAGTTCTGATGGCTAAATTTAAAAGGGCAGTTTTTAGTGCTGAGATATAAATTGCATCCTGGGATTTAAGTAGTTCAGCTACATCCTGATTCTGGTGCTAGTCTTTCATTTGAATATTTCTTCCTCAAACCAGTATGTACTGATGGTCTATTTTGTGCTCAGCTGTATGGTAGGTTCTTGAGATTCAACTTTGAGATGGCCAGATAGTCACTGCTCTTCTGGACCTAAAAGTCTAGCACCGTGTACTTCTGAGCTCTGCCAACAACTTCCTGTGACATCCTAAATAAATATCTCTCTCTTTTTTTTTTTAATTTTTGCTTTCGGTTTAAAATCTTTAAAATGAGGTGGATGGATTAAACTAGAATCTGTTTTGGGTTATTAAATCCATTGAGCGTATGATTAAAGCCATGTTCTTCAGAAAAATGTTGCATGCCTGTCCAAATATATAACATGTACACATAGTGTTACATAAAATTCTGCAGGATTCACAGTGAATCATTAGGTTAGAAACTTCTCTATTATTTGTTGTCCAAGAGACCTTTGAATTATATCGTTTTATGTTTTTAAATATTATACAAATTTCTTGAGACCAGAAAGCAATCATAAGAAAACTTGCTGGAATTCAGGAGTTGTTCTAAACAATTTATATGAATTTTCTCACTTTATCCTCATAGCAAATTTTATTAAGCAGATATAATAAGTGAATAAACTGTAAAGGAACATTAAAGAGAAGATCTTTTCTCTTATATACTTAAATGAGTCTAAAGGGATATATTGTGCCTTATAAATTCAAAATTAACAAAATTCTAAAGTTGAAATTTCCTACAGGGGTGATATAAAAATAGGAATTGAGGGAGACTAAAGTAGGTAAGGGGATATTAGTCATTTGTAAAGGAGAAGATATAAATATTTATCAGCTTGAAGCATTGTAAGAAAAAATAAATAAAAGTGTGAGTCCTAAAAAGTTTGAGGCTTACTAGTGGGAAAACAGAAATAGAATTAGTAACTTTAAAAATAAACTGCTCATGAAAAATAAGAAATGATCTTTAAAATAAAAATTTTAAATGATACATTCAAGAATCATAATGTTAAATGGCAGAAATGTGCCTCAATTAATTCAATATTATAAATAATATGAATAAAATGAACATACTTAACAGAAGACAGGGATTCTCAAATTAAATTAAAACAAAAATCAAAACATCACCCAGCTATATAATTTGGAAAAAGATACACTTCAAATAAAAGGACAGAGAATTGAGAAAAATAAAGGATAGAAGAAGATATGCCACACAAATATGAATCAAAAGAGCATTTCAGATATGCAAGATTTTAAAAATCACAGGGAATGAAGAGAGACGCTGCATTTAAATTTAAAAAATAATCTACAAGCATTCACAATTTTGAGAGCAAAATGCACAAAGCAATGGATGACAGAAACAAGAGAGAGAAGTAAAAAGTTATTGGAGATTTTAAATCATTGCTCTCAGAAACTGACATACTATATCCAATCAACATAAACTGAAATGGAGAAGATGACAATAAAATAATTACCAAATTATACACACAAATTTATATAGAACTTTGCACCCAAACACAGAATATACATTTTTGTTCTAGAATAAATTTATCAGTCACAGAAACAGATCATATGCTACAGACCAAAGTCTCAGTATATTCCTATTGTCTGAATTCTAGACAATATTCTCTAACTTCAATGTAATACAATTTAAAATTAATAGAGTTGACTGAAAAAAAGATTAGTGTGTCTGAAATCTAAGAAAAAGCAAAACAAAACAAAATCTACTACCAGGTAGACCGTGGGTAAAATAGAAAACAAAAGGAGGAATTGCAGCAGACTTCTTGCTTAATGACAATGAAAGCCATTTATGTCAGCATTTGTGGGATGTAGCTAACACAGTTCTCAGAGGACAGTTTATAGCTTTGAATATATTCTCAAAATAAAGATTGAAAATTAATAAGCTAAGTGGTTATTTAAAGATGGTAGAAAAAGGAAAATAGAGCAAGCCTCCCCAAATAAGAAATATGGCAATATGAAGAGGCATAAATCGATAAAATGGAGATGAGTATAACAATAAACAAATACAGATCTTAACACACAAAAGTCAGACTTTTTAGATGACTACTAAATAACCCTCTCTGGTAACAGTTTTTTTCAAAAAACAGGGAAAAAGGGAGATGAAATAAAGAATACGGAATAAATATAGGGACAAGTTAAATAATATCAGTCATATTCTAATATATTTGCAAACCTAGAAAAAACAATGTTTATAAAAAATGTTAAAATGTACATAAACTTGTATTATTTAAAGAAATTAAAGTGATAATCAATTCGCTCCTACTCCAAAATGACACGCATAGAGGGTTTTAGAGATGAGGTAAGGAATATGCAGTTGTTATACATGTTGTCCCAAAAAGTCAAAAATGACGAAGTCTGGACAGATTATTTTGTGAGGCTAGTATAATTCTTTTTTTTTTTTTTTTTTTGAGATGGAGTCTCACTCTGTTGCCCAGGCTGGAGTGCAGTGGGACAATCTCAGCTCACTGACACCTCTGCCTCCCAGCTTCTAGCAATTCTCCTGCCTCAGCCTCCCGAGTAGCTGAGATTACACATGCACACCGTCACGCCCGGCTAATTTTTTGTATTTTAGTAGAGATGGGGTTTTGCCGTGTTGCCCAGACTGGTCTCAAACTCTTGAGCTCAGATAATCCACCTGCCTTGGCTTCCCAAGGTGCTAGGATTACAGGGGTGAGCCACCGCGCCTGGCTGAGGCTAGTATAATTCTAACAGCCAAGTCACACGAAACAAGTACATGACAAAAATAATAGCACAAGTCAGCTTCTAAACTTAATTTTTTAAATCTTCAATAAAATACATCCTATTTATTTCTGAAAGTATATTAAAATGACCATGACTCAAGGATGGCTTAAAATAAGAAAACCCAGCAATATAACTTCTTTTTAATAGACTAATAAAGTTTAAGGTTGCAATAGTAATAGAGAAAGCATGCAGTAAATTTCAACATGGAGAGATGAGGATGGTTAATGGGTACAAAAAATATTAATAGTTAGAAAGAATGTATAAGGTCTAGTATTTGACAGCACAACAGAGTGACTATGGTCAATAATAATTTAATTATACATTTAAAAATAGCCAAAAGAGTATAATTGGATTGTTTGTAACACAAAGGATAAATACTTGAGGGGATGGATGAACCATTTTATACGATGTGATTATTTCACATTGCATACCTGTATCAAAACATCTCATGTTCCCCATAAAAATATACACCTACTATATACCCATACAAGTTAAAATTAAAAATTAAAAAATTAAAAAAGCCAAAAATAAGTTCAACATCCATTTCTGGAAAAAAAAACTTTAGAAAACTAGACTATAAAGGAATTTCCGTAATCTGATAAAGTTTATCTATCAAAATTCATTGAAAACATCATTTTAATGAATACGCTTTACAAGATTTTAGAACTATTTTTTTTCAGGTCAGGACAAAGAAAAGAATTATCACCATAACAACCATTATTCAAAACATCTGGGGCTGCACGGTGGCTCATGCCTGTAATCCCAGCAGTTTGGGAGGTCAACATGGGTGAATCACTTGAGGTCAGAAGTTTGGGACCAGCCCAGCCAATGTGGTGAGACCCCGTCTCTACTAAAAATATAAAAATTAGCTGTTAGTGGTGGCACACACCTGTAATCCCAGCTACTAGGGAGGCTGAAGCAGGAGAATTGCCTGAACCAGGAAGGCTAACGTTGCAGTGAGATGAGATCATGCCAATGCACTTCAGCCTGGGTGACAAAGTCAGTGAGACTCTGTCTCAAAACAAAAACAAAAACAAAAACAAAAAAAAAATTTGGAAAACAATAAGAGAATAAAAATCAATAACACTACTAATGTGCACCTACTAAAGCAAATTTCTATTCAAAAGTATAAGATAATTTGAATTGTCAAATTTTCTACCTTGTGGCTGGGTCCGGTGGCTCACGCCTATAATCCCAGCACTTTGGGAGGCTGAGGCTGGCAGATCACCTGAGTCAGGAGTTCAAGCCCAGTCTGACCAACATGGTGAAACTTCGCCTCTACTAAAAAAAAATACAAAAATACTTAGCCAGGTGTAGTAGTGGCACCTGTAATCCCAACTACTTGGGAGGCTGAGGCAGGACAATAGCTTGAACCCAGGAGATGGGGGTTGCAGTTAGCTAAGATCATGCCACTGCACTGCAGCCTGGGCAACAGAGTGAGACTCCGTCTCAAAAAAAGAGAGAAAAAAAAATTCTACCTTGAATTATCAATTAAACTGGGATTATCTCTTAGCTAACTTAATAAAGACTACACAGGATCTTTATGAAAAATGTTAAATTTTATTCTAGGACATAAAAGGAGGCCTACATAAGGATCATGCCCAGGGTTGGGGTAATTCAACATTAGAATGTTATCAATATTTCTCAAACTAAGTTGAAAATTAATGCAATTCCAATTAAATTTCAAGGTTTTTTTTAAAAAATAGATTCTAAAATATGTATGGATAAATAAAGGTCTGTAGATATTAAATAATATTTTGAAAGAGAAGAGCACGAAGATTCTTCCTGCCAGGTATTAAGAAATATTAAAAAGCAGTAGTAATTAGGATAGTATGGCAATAAAATAGGGGCAGGACTGAAGACAAAGGTAGCAGATCAGAATACTCATGTGGACTCCCGGGTGCCTCCAGGAACTTGGCATATTACAAAAATGGCATCACGAATCAATGAGAGAAAGAACTGATTATTTGGTAAATAACCTCACTCTATGGCAAATTAAAATTTAATTGCTACTTCCCTTCAAATAAAAAATAAACTCTATATGCAATAAGAATCAAATGTGAAAGTTAAAAGTATAGAATTAATGAAGAAAGTGTAAATAATATCTTTATGACTTTGGAATAGGAAAGGATTTCTTAATCAAGACTCCAAAACATAAACTCTAAAGAGAAAAACCAATGACTTAGCTCGGGCATCAAAATTAAACATTGATTCTCAAAGGTGACCAAGTTAACAGGCAGGGGACACACAGCCACTCCAAGAGGTGAGTACTACCCTTACTCCCACTTTACAGATGAGGACAATGAGGTTAATTAACTTGTCCAAAGTCCCACAGCTAGTTAAGTATAGGGCTGAGATTGGAACCCCGATAACCCGGCTGAATCCAGTCTGTGCCCTTAACTACAGTTACACAGCCTTCTAGGATTTTTCTTGCTGATGTCAAAGGAAGAGAGAATGTCAGGGAAGAAAGGGTCAATGATGTCAGAATACTGCAAAGACAGCAAGGAGAGGCTACTGAATTGAATACTCCAGTGATTTCTGAAAACATCATTTCAGGGAGGGGCAAAGGTGAAGGCTATAATGGGGTTGTAGGGAAATGACCAGCCAGTGGGAAAACTCAACCTTGTAAACTCTAACTCTAGAAAGTTTGAAAAGGAATCATCTTTCTTCTTAATATGAGCCACTGTAGTGTTTTGGGGTTTGCATTGTAATAGTATATTTTAAAAATTTTTTGGATAATGCTATTGATTGTGAACAATACAACGCTTATAAAATTCATGATCCTTACTCTCTAGAACAGATTCTCCACAAATTCAGGGTGTCTGGCGAGTTATGGCCAAAGCCATTCTCAATAAATTAGTTTTCAAACTAGCATCTCCAACTAATATTTTCCACAATGTGCAACCCCCATTCTTCTTTGCAGTAAGGCGTTGGAATGAAACCATACTCTGTTTGTTCTCTAGCTCACATTATGACCTGCTATAAAAAGAATTAATATTCATAAATCTTTTTTACTGCACTAATCTCAGTGTTTTAAAGTGGTGATTACCACCTGACATGGGGGCAGGCCAAAGACTAAAGGAATCTTCAGAGAGCACAAGACCCTATTCCCTCATGAGTGTTCAAAGAGGAAAGTGATGGAAGGATTCACATGTTGAACCTGGGCATAAACATGAACATTTTGAGGAGGCTTTCTATAAGTTTTCTAGATACCTTGGGGTAAAAGTGTCCTGAAATTTTTTTGGTAATGTCTGGGAACACAAGCAGCAGTATTAAGCATGGGTTATGTAACATGGAACACACCACATGGCTAACCTTTCTGAAATTGTCCAGATGGGTCCTACAGTTTGAAAAGCTTAGAAATGTCGCCCGTGATATCCATGTTCTCTGTAATTAAAGCTTCCTCAGGCTCTGACAGCTGAGCAGTAGATTGGTTTTGACTATCCATAGCCAAAGCTACTAAAAGAGCCCACTGGCTTCATAATCCTAGCCGAGGAGAGGTAGACCTTGTCCAACAGGAAACTGAACATGCTGGAAACCAGAATAAAATGGCACATAAAAGCAGGGCAACTGGGGAGAGAATCATTACAGGCTTTGCATATGATTCTACTGGGTTAGTGCAAATGTGATTGCAGTTTTTGCAATTACTTTTAATGGCAAAAACTGCAATTATGTTTGCACCAATCTAATAATTAGAAGAATAAAAAAGTAGGATGGTGCATGTTGTTGAAGATCCTTGTTTTCAAGTTCAAGGTCCAGGGTTATCAAGAGTGGGGATGTCAACCAGGAGGAGGGCTCATTCATTCAATAAATATTTATTGAATTTCTATTATGTCAGAGAGCACCAGGCAAGGCACTGGGGGATGTAACGGTGAGCATAGCAGAGCTTAAAATTGAGTGGACAAGATGGATAAAGAGTGAGAAGAAAGAAAGTGCAATCTGAGATAAATGCTTTTAAGAAAAGCAATAGCTTTAGAGAACTAGTGAAGGAAGCTAATCATGTCTTGGGCATCAGGAAAATTCTAAAGAATTTGAAGGAGTTCAGAAGATGAGTGGGATCGAGAAGCCATTCCAGGCAGAGGAACAAAAATGTGCAAAGGCCCTCTGGTGGGAGGGCACAAAGAACTGGGAGGGAAAGGGAGTTCTCTCTGGGGTCAAAGAGGGGAAGGAGTTGATGAGTAGTGAGAGGAGGAGAAAACAAGGTGAGCATCTATATTTGCTCGGATCCCTCAACTTACCACAGCTTGAATTCTTCCACATCGCTTTTCTGACACTGCTGCCACCCAGTTTATCAGTGACCTCCACAATGCTTACCTTGGTAGGAGCAGTTCGGTTCTTATCTCACATGACTGTATGGCTTGGTGGAATCAGACAATGCTGCTCACTGTCAACTCCTGAGACTCCCTTCTCCCACTTCCTAGACTGAGCCTTCTTGGATTCCTTTCAAGGAATGTCTCAGCCCAACCCTTAGTTGTTGACCTTCTCCTGTGTCCTGTTTAATAGATTCTCTTTGTCTTTATGTACTCCACTGTGTCCACTGGAGACAGTGGGACAACCCCACTCTGTCCCACAGTTGTTCACATCCATGGGCTAATGTCTTGGTTTGAATTATTCCCCAAATAGGCCCTGATCAGGAAGTGAAGACAACATGACTGTGGAGAAGAGAGCCGGGAAGGGAAGAAGCTCAATAATGAGTGCATTCTAGGCCAGCTTCCCCAGTGAGTGAGTAGAGTTAATCCTGCTGAGGATCTCTGGGAGGGGGTGGAGAACACACCCTTCGGAGTGATCCTGCCTGAGGGGTGAGGGAGCCGGGGTATTTAAACACAACTACCAACCATTAAACATCACTGGTTAGGATGTGCTCCTGGAATATGTTAATTCCAGCAAGAGGAAAGCATCAGGCACAGCAATACAGATGTTGGCTATTGGGAGTTGAGTCTATGTGTCTTGAGTGATGAGGATGGGAAAGTATGGGTTGAGCTGAACAAATTCACTCCAGCCCTTTCAACCAAATGTTTTAAACATGGCATTGCCAGGAACACTCACACAGATAAAAGGACATTGGAGGAAGCAGCGTGAGAGCATGCTGCAAACTGCAAGCTGCAAGCACCAACTGGCTATCGTCACTCATGAAGATCAGATGGTTAATTCAGTTGACAGAAACGCAAGATCATGTCCCGCCCCACTCTCACCTGCTTCCTGACTTTCTATTGCAGTGAATAGTCCCATCCTCTCACAGTTGTCTAGATCAAAACTCTCAGTGACGTCCTTGACTCCTCCCTGTAACTTGCCTCTCACATCTATTCAGTTGCCAGATTCAATCAACTGTAGTTCTTGAACACTTTTGAAATCCATCCACTTCTTTTCATCCCCGTCCACCACCCTGGTGAGACTGCACTCATCTCTCACTTGGACCTCAACAGCTGACTCCTCTTCTCCCATCCCCATTGCTCTGTTTCCAAAAGTGAGCCTCAATCCATTCTCCGCTTGGTAGCCAAAACTACCTTTTAAAGTTCAAACATGATCAGATTTGTTCCTTGCTCAAACCCCTTCAAAGTCTGCATCCCTGCCTTTCCAGAACCCACTTTCCCTCCCTGGAACCCACCTCCCTTGTATGAGGAGTCTGCATGACCTGGCCTGTCTTAACTTCCTGGGACACACATCTCATTTTCTTCTTTGTGAATTCATGCTCCAACCAAAGGGAATTCCTGGATGGGCTCCTTCCTTCTGTCCTCTGGACCGGGTTTATGCAATTCCCTCTGCCTGGAATGGTCTTTTTTCCCCCTGGCCTCTCTGAATCTGGGTAATCCTACTCACCTGGTCAAAACTCACAAGGGACATCACTTCCTTCAGGAGGATTTCACTGATCCCAAGTTCTGGGCAAGGTGTCCCTTGTCCCTTTCACAAGTCTATTGAGTGTGGACTCTGATGAACAAAAGGGGCCATGAGATTCTCCCTAGGGAGCTCATTTCCTGATGCTCAAGACCTCTAGTGTCCTCAACCCAGAGACAGGTCTGTGGCACATACTTGAGAGTGAGAGAGCCAGCTGAGGGTAGGGTCAGCTCTGAGACGTTCTCAAAGCAGGGAGGAGGCCTGGGGTGCTGATTGAGGAGCTACAGATTCCTCTCCAGGAAAGGGAAGAAGGTGTTGTGATGGTTAATATTAGGTGTTAACCTGATTGGATTGAAGGATGCAAAGTATTGTTTCTGGGTGTGTCTGTGACAGTGTTGCCAGAGGAGATTGACATTTGACTCAGTGGACTGGGAGAGGAAGACCCACCCTCAGTGTGGGTGGGCACCATCCATTTGGCTGCCAGTGTGGCTAGAAAAAGCAGGCAGAAGAGAATGGAATAAGCTGGGTTGCAGAGTTTTCTGGCTTTTATCTTTCTTCGGTGCTAGATGCTTCCTGCCCATGAATATCAGACTCCAGATTCTTGGGCCTTTGGACTCTTGGACTTACACCAGTGGTCTGCCAGGGGCTCTCAGGCCTTTGGTCACAGAATGGAGGCTGCACCATTGGCTTCCCTACTTTTAAGGCTTTGGGACTTGGATTGAGCCACTACTGGCTTCCTTGCTCCTCAGCTTGCAGACGGCCTATTGTGGGACTTCATCTTGTGATCGTGTGAGTCAATTCTCCTTAATAAACTCCCTTTCTATCCTATCATTTCTGTCCCTCCAAAGAACCCTGACTAACACAGGGGCCCATCACAGTTGTGCCTCTATGGTCCCTGCAATAGTTCTACGTCAGGTGGCAGAGCTTCTGCAACCTGGAGCTTCTTTCCAGAATGCATTTCCTTGACAGACAGCGATGCACCTACTCTGACAGGGATGGGACAGGGCCAGGAGTGTTAGAAAAAAGAGTCAGGACAGAGCTGAGGGAAGCAGCAGTACCTGAGCCCTCTTTGCCAGAGAGACCCAAAAATGGCCATTCCCTCTGCAGTATCAGAGCAGAGGCTGGAGTGGGAGAAGCCGTGTAGTCAGGAGAGTAATAGCCCCAACCCCGCTCAGCACATTCTCCAAAAAAGATGTCTTTTCAACAAAATGTTTTAAACACTGCATTCCCAGGAGCATCAAGGTTGATGGAAGAACATGAGGGGAAGTGGCATGAGAGCAAGCCCGTGCTCTCCTCTACAGAGACAGAAGCCAGACATGCCTTTTCCATGTGCTGATCTCCAAGTCCCAGCTAGTAGGTCACATGACATCACAGTCCTGCTCTTCCTCAATGGTAAGTCCTCACTTGCTTCATTTTGGTAGATCTTCAATTTAGAGCTTCACCAAGCTGGCTTTCCTGGGCTACAGACTCAAAGAGCCTTCTGCCTAATGACAGTTTTATTTGCCCGTCTTGTAGATTTCAAATAGAAAAGATCCTACATTGGGCTTGTCTTCCAACACTAAGCCTGCTTCTCCTCTGCTTTGCCATTCCAGTGAATGTCTCCACCATCTACCCATTTGCCCAAGTGGGAAACCTGGCCAGGGATCCTGAGTGCCTCCTGTCTGTCTCACCTCCCCGTATCCAACTGTCCCCAAATAACTTCCAAACCACCCACTTGACGCTCTGCCTCTCCCCTCTTCCTGTGTTGAGAACACCACCTCCCCTCACCTGGAAGATTCCAATCACCTCTGTTCCCAGCCTGGCCTCTCTGTGGTGCCTGTGGCTCCCCCATCTCCAGGCTAGTCACCACCAGAGATCTGGAGGGGTCTTGGGTATGTGAACCTTCAGAGAGAAAGAGGGGGATGAGGGTGGAGAGAGAGGGAGAAAAAGAGTGAGAGTGCATTATTACTGCTACCCTCAGGGTGTCTCCGGGGACTGGGAAAAGCCTTGAGTGGCTGTTGACAAATGGTAGCAGGCCCACTCAGGAGGCTGGTTTTCAGAGGAGAGGTCATCATCACATGATGTTTAGTGAAGATGAGCTCTAAGAAGGAAAGCCTCAAGAGAACTGGGGAAACTGGTGTTTTGAATGCTCTAGAGCCTTGCTTTTCTATTATTCCAGAAGCCTCTAAAAAAAATAGCATACTAACCATGAACAACAACACTAATAAGCTGTGGCAGAGAAGGTCAGTGCCGTACCCGGATTTCTTAGGGCCTGTTATCTCTGCTGATCATTTTCTTGCACTCTGTTCCCACTGTGCATTCACTCCAAGCAACCTGAACCTGAATGTCTTTATAGGTGAGCCTGCTGGAGCCTACCTTGCCTGAATGCACTAAGAGCCAAGGTGTCTGGGAGTTTATATCCTCCAGGGACAGCCCTTAACAAGCCACCTCCCTCTGAGCTGGGTCTGCATTGTTTCCAGAGCTCCCTGGGGGATTCAGCCAAAGTCATTTTTGGTGTAACTTTCTTAATATCTTTGATTCCCTTCCTTCTGGCTTCCCTTTCTCTGGCTTTTCCTGGGATCACCTCCCAATAAATCTCTTTCCCACGAATCCTGGCCTCAGGTTCTGCTTCTGGAGAACTCAGCTCTGGGCACCAGGCACAGACTAAGCACTTTCTATTTTTTTAAAAAAAAGTCTTTTTATTTTTAGACTTTTTAAATTTCAATGGCTTTGGGGTATAAGTGGTTTTTTATTACATGGAAGAATTATATAGTGGCGAATGCTGAGATTTTAGGGCACTTGTCACCCAAGTGGTGTATGTTGTACCAAATATGTAGTTTTTTTAATCCCACATCCTCCTCCCACCATCCCCCTCCTGAGTCTCCAAAGTCCATTATATCACTATGTATGCTGTTACATATTCATAGCTTAGTTCCCACTTATAAGTAAGAACATACTGTGTTTGGTTTTCCATCCTTGAATAATATACTTCACTTAGAATAACGGCCTCCAGCTCTATCCAAGTTGCCACAAAAGACATTATCTTGTTCCTTTTTATGGCTGAGTAGTATTCCCTGGGGTATATATACCACATTGTTTTTATCCACTCATTGGTCAATGGGCACTTAGGTTGATTCCATATCTTTGCAATTGTGAATTGTACTGCTATAAACATGCTTGTGCCGGTGTCTTTTTCATATAATGACTTCTTTCCCCTTGGGTAGATACCCAGTAGTGGGATTGCTGGATTGAATAGTAGATCTACTTTTAATTCTTTAAGGAATAGCCTTACTACTTTTCATAGGGGTTGTACTAATTCACATTGCCACCAGCAGTACTTAAGTGTTTCGCTTTCACCATATCCATGCTAACATCTATTGTTTTTTGACTTTTTAGTGATAGCCATTCTTGGAAGACTGACGTGGTGTCTCATTGTGGTTTTAATTTGAGTTTCCCTGATGATTAGTGATGTTGAGCATTTTTTCATATACTTGTTGGCTATTTGTATATTTTCTTTTGAGAAATGTCTATTTATGTCATTTGCCCACTTTTTGATGGGATTGTTTCTTTCTTGCTGATTTGCTTCAATTCCTTGTAGATGCTGGATACTAGTCTTTTGTTAGATGCATAGTTTGCAAATATTTTCTCCCATTCTGTGGGTTGTCTGTTTACTCATGATTATTTCTTTTGCTGTGCAAAAGCTTTTTAATTTAATCAGGTCCCATTTATTTATTTTTGTTTCTGTTGCATTGGCTTTTGGGGTCTTAGTCATGAATTCTTGAATTCTTTGCTTGGGCCAATGTCAGAAGCATTTTTCCAAGGTTGTATTCTAGAATTTTTATGGTTTTTGGGTCTCAGATTTAAGACTTTGATCCACCTTGAGTTTATTTTTGTATAAACAAAAATGTGAGAGATATCTAGTTTCTTTCTTCATGTGGCTAGTCAGTTTTCCCAGCACCATTTATTAAATAGATTTTCCTTTCCCCAATTTATACCTTTGTATGCTTTGTCAAAGATCAGTTGGTTGTAAATATTTGGCTTTATTTTTGGGTTCCCTATTCTGTTCCATTGGTCTGTGTGCCTACTTTTATACCAGTACCATGCTGTTTTGGTAACTATAGCCTTGTAGTATAACCTGAAGTCTGATAATGTAATGCCTTCAGACTTGTTCTTTTTGCTTAGGATTTATTTAGCTATTGAGGCTCTTTTTTGCTTTCATATGAATTTCAGGATTGTTTTTTTTCTAATTCTGTGAAAAATAATGTTGGTATTTTGATAGGAATTGCATTGAATCTGTAGATTGCTTTGGGCAGTATGGTCATTTTCACAATATCGATTCTTCCAATCCATGAGCATGGGATGTGTTTCCATTTGTGTCTTGTATGATTTCTTTCAGCAGCGTTTTATAGTTCTTGTAGAGATCTTTCATCTCCTTGGTTAAGTTTATTCCTAGGTTTTTTTTTCTTTCTTGTAGCTGTTGTAAAAGGAATTGAGCTCTTGATTTGATTCTCAGCTTAATCATTATTGGTATATAGCAGTGCTGCTGAGTTGTGTACACTGATTTTGTAACCTGAGACTTTACCAAATTTGTTTATCAAATCTAGGAGATGAAACACTTTCTAGACATTATTTTCTCCACCGCATACAGCCTATACCACAAAGTATTCCCACTTTACTGATGGTGAAACACAGGTTCAGAGACATTTGGTAACGCTTCCATCTCACAGCCAGTGCTTGGGAGAGCTTGGGTTCGAACCCAAGTCTGAGTGAGCTCTCGGGCATTTTGTTGTACCACGTTTTCCCTGGGGAACTTCCTTCCACACACATACCACGAGTGCGGTTACTGTGGGGAGTGGTCCCAGGAAACAGGTAGGAGGAGTGGGGAGAGTGCCACAGGGAGAGGGTGGGTTCAAGCAGGCCTCCACAGTAGGGCTTGCCCACATGTTAGCAGGGGCTTCTGAGGAGTGTGTAGAGAGCATCTCAGAATTGTGTGCCTGAAGGACAAAGGAGGGGAGTATTTATCTTCCAGCTCTGTCTTCTGCTGGTTAAGCGATACCCGTAGGTTACCCATAGGTGTTAACTTCCTCTCAGTGAAGGGAGCATCCATGAAGGGTGTGTGCAGGAGCTCCCAGCAGGCAGCATGTGAGAGTGCTCTCAGTTACACCTGTGTTGCATGGCTGCCACAGTGGTGACTGGATTGTCATGTGGTCAAAAGGATCTGGGCCTGGACACAAAGGGCTTCCAGAACACACCTTTTTTTACTGTCTAACAAAATCATTGCCTTTTAAAAAGCACCTGCATTTTTGGATCACACCAAGCCCCGGACTAAACACTTTCCACACACCAGCTGGTCAATACCTGGGCAGGTACTGCTATTATTCCCATTGTACATCCGTGGAAACTGAGGCTCAGAATGGTGATGTGACTCGCTTGTGGCATGTGGCATTGCTGGGACACGAGCTTGGCCTGCCCATTCCAAGCTTCTTTGCCTCCCTGCCTCTCCCTGCTCCTCCGCAGAGGCCAGGCAGCCACTTTCACAGCCATGGCAGCCTTCCATGGGCTGGGTGGGCGTCAGCTCCAGGCTTGGTTCTTACATGGGGGAATCTCGCCAGAAATCCAGCCAGGGACCGGATGGCATCTTATAATTCTCTGTATCCCCCAAGCTGCCTAGCACTAAATAAATACTTGCTGACTGATTGACTCATTCCGGCCCTGCTTCCAAGTTTCCTTGGGCCCCTTCTTGAGGCAGCCTGGCCCCCACCCTGGCCTTTTGGACTCCCCTATTCCTACCAGCTCCCGAAGCCTGAATTGGCAGTGGAGGGAGTGTTGCGTTTTGAGAGATATGAGCTGGTGACAGAAGGGGCTTGGCAGTGAGAGTGGGTGGGCAGTTGAGCTGTGAGAGGGGTCTTGACATTCCTTGTCCCAGAGGCCTCAAAACAACCTGAAATCAAGAAAAATGTGTGTTGATAACTGCTGAAATATTACTGGGAGACCACATAGTGTAGCAGTTAAGGGCACAGGCTCCAGATCAGGCATCCTGGGTGCCAATGCTGGCTCCAACTATCCAAGTATCACTTTACTTATCTGTGCCTCGTCATCTTCAACTGTAAACTGATCATAATAATCACCTTGTAGGGCTATTGCTTGGGTTAAAAATGAATTAATATAATGCCTAGCAAGTGGTAAGTGCTCCATAGATACTAACTGTCATGGTTGCTATTACTGCGTTACCAGCATTTATAACCCTGCAAGGTCAATTTACCACTTGCATTCTACAGCTGAATAAACAAGGTTCTGAGAAGGTAAATGTCTCGTACGAGTACTAGAGTTTGAATTCCAATGAGGGTTGGACTGACTCTGATGTCCATGTACTTACACTAAATCTGTGC
Organism: Homo sapiens; assembly: GCF_000001405.40. Lineage (NCBI taxonomy): Eukaryota > Metazoa > Chordata > Mammalia > Primates > Hominidae > Homo > Homo sapiens. Next base: position 55,238,336 of record NC_000003.12, read on the forward strand.
TTACATGTTTTAATCATTTATCAATTAGTTATTATTTCAGTACTAATGAGATCTATTTATCATTACTGTCCATCATACTTTTTTTTTTTTTTTTTTGAGACGGAGTCTTGCTCTATTGCCAGGCTGGAGTGCAGTGGTGTGATCTCGGCTCGCTGCAACATCCACTTTCTGGGTTCAAGTGATTCCCCTGCCTCAGCCTCCCAAGTAGCTGGGACTACAGGTGCATGCCACTATGCCTGGCTAATTTTTTTGTATTTTAGTAGAGACAGGGTTTCACCATGTTGGCCAGGATGGTCTCAATCTCCTGACATTGTGATCCACTCGCCTCAGCCTCCCAAAGTGCTGGGATTACAGGCGTGAGTCACTGAGCCCAGCCTTTCTTTTCTTGTTTTGTAGAGTTGGGGGAGTCTCACTATGTTGGCTAGGTTGGTCTTGAACTTCTGGTCTCAGCCTCCCAAAGTGCTGGGATTACAGGTGTGAGCCACCACACATGGCCCAATTGTCCATCATACTTTGAAAACAATCATCAGGAGAAGGCTTCTTGAGGGGAAAAGGAATCAAGCAGCAGGCAATAAAGAAGCAGCTCATCTCTGATTGGCTAGTAGGACACTTAAGTGGCATCAGTTGAAATCAGGTTGTTTAAAATCAGTTCAGATATTCCAGTATAGTCATTTCATAAACCTGCAGGATTGGGTATGATTGTAAAAATCTCATTTGTAACAGTAAAACTGTTTTGGCTTGAAGATCTATCAACATATAATATTTGAGTTCTTGTTTGAGATTTAGATAAGGTATGTCATGTTCAGGTCAAAAGTAGCTTGGTTAAACCAGCTGCTCCATTCTCTAGAAAGTAGTTGATCAGAGAAATGGCATCTTGTCGACAGTAGGGGGATATTCTAAAACTATAAAAATCCTGGAAGGCAACCTAGGCAATACCATTCTGGACACAGGCGTGAGCAAAGATTTCATGATGCAGACACCAAAAACAGTTGGAACAAAAGCAAAAGTTGACAAGTGGAATCTAAACTAAAGAGCTTCTGCACAGTGAAAGAAACTATCAACAGAGTAAATGAGCAACCTATGGAATGGGACAAAATTTTTGCAAATTATGCATCTGACAAAGGTCTAATATCCAGCATCTATAAGGAACCTAAAGAAATTTACAAAACAAAACAAAACCAAACCCACACAACCCCATTAAAAAGTGGGCAAAGGACATGAACAGATACTTCTCAAAAGAAGACATACATGTGTCCAACCAGCATATGAAAGAAAGCTCAACATCACTGATCATTAGAGAAATGCAAATCAAAACCACAATGAGATACTATCTAACACAATTCAGAATGGTTATTATTAAAAAGTCAAAAAAATAACAAATGTTGGTGAGGTTGTGGAGAAAAAGGAATGCTATACACTCTTGGTGGGAGTATAAATTAGTTCAGCCTTCGTGGAACACAGTGTGTCAATTCCTCAAAGACCTAAAAACAGAAATACCATTCAACACAGCAATCCCACTGCTGGGTATATACCCAAAGGAATATAAATCATTCTATCATAAAGACACATGCATGTGTATGTTCATTGCAGCACTATTCACAACAGTAATGACAAGGAATCAACTCAAATGCTCATCAGTGATAGACTGAATAAAGAAAATGTGGTACATATACACCATGGGATACTATGCAGCCATAATAAAGAACGGGATCATTTCCTTTTCAGGGACATGGATGGAGCTGGAGGCCATTATCCCTAGCAAACTAACACAGGAACAGAAAACCAAATACCACATGTTCTCACTTATAAGTGGGAGCTAAATGATGAGAACACATGGACACATAGAGGGGAACAACACACACTGGGGCCTATTGGAGGGTGGAGAGTGGGAGGAGGGAGAGGATCAGGAAAAATAACTAATGGATACTAGGGTTAATACCTGGGTGATGAAATAATCTGCACAACAAACCCCCATGACACATGTTTACCTATGTAACAAACCTGAACATCCTGTACATGGACCTTTGAACTTAAAATAAAAGTTTAAAAAAGAAACCAAAACAGCAGAGGTATATTATGATGGTTGCTTGGGATTTACAATTATGAGAGGTGCAGGAGTGAGTCTGTAGTGATACAGGAAGTCTCCTTGTAGTGCTCTTTCTACCCCTACTCATTGACATCCACAGAACATGCACGACTTTCTAAGTGTCCTACTTCATCTTCAGAACAATCCTGTGAAGAAGGGAATTATCCCCATTTTACAGATCAGGAAAACAAGGCACAGAGAAGAATAGTAATTTTCCTATGACCACCCAGCCAGTGAGTGGCACAGTCACTACAAGAAATCCGACTCGGCCGGGCGCGGTGGCTCACGCCTGTAATCCCAGCACTTTGGGAGGCCGAGGCGGGCGGATCACGAGGTCAGGAGATCGAGACCATCCTGGCGAAAACGGTGAAACCCCGTCTCTACTAAAAATACAAAAAATTAGCCGGGCGTAGTGGCGGGCGCCTGTAGTCCCAGCTACTTGGGAGGCTGAGGCAGGAGAATGGCGTGAACCCGGGAGGCGGAGCTTGCAGTGAGCCGAGATCCCGCCACTGCACTCCAGCCTGGGCGACAGAGCGAGACTCCGTCTCAAAAAAAAAAAAAAAGAAATCCGACTCCACTTTTGTGCCTTTGATGCCTACCGCCACTTTATTCTTCACGCTGAGGTTGAAAATGGACCTCCCTGTGGTCCCCAGCAGCTCAATGGGGATTACACATAGAGAAAATCTCCTAGAGTGGGATTTATAAAACTCGAGTAAGGAAGAACGAGATGCTTGAGGGAAGTAACATCAGATTTAATTTCCTTCCTAACACATGCTATGTATTTCATGTATGCAAACCCATGTGACCTTTATTGCAATGCCTCAAAATTAAAATTGTACATGTTGATGGTAGTGGAAATGTAACCCTAGCAACATCAAATGGTTTGGACAAAACACTTGTTATGCATCTGGTACAGTCAGGGCTGGGTTTCCTGACCTCCAATCTCAGGGCCACAGATCCATTCAGATCTGTGTTGAGGCTCTGAAGGAAGGTATATTGATTCCACCTGTTTAAAATATAGCTTTTATTATTATTGGTATGGTGAGGCCAACAGAACAAAAGCGAACAGCCATTGAAAAGATAGTTTGTTACTCACAGTTCTTAAGAGGAGGGGCATGCTGCACCACAGAGGGCCACACAGGAAGCACCAGGGTCCATCAAGAGGCAAGAGGAGCAAGGGGAAAATATGGGCAAGAATCTTTATTGTGGCTTTTGCAGGAAGCAATGTGGGAGGCAGGTTAAGCAGGTTTAGCACTGGCTGGCTTAAATAATTTTGGTAGGCTCTGGGGACTATCTCTTGGTACCCTGGTACCTGGACCTAGAGAGATTAGGGTAAGAGGATAATGGCCCAAGTTTGAGAACCCAGTGAGAGTCTGAAAAAGAAGTGGTTGTGTTAGGTTGGTTCGCATATGGAAGATATTCTCCTGGGGGTGATATTTGCTGTCTGTCGAAATTAACTAACCCTGAGGGGGCAGTTTTTTCCAGTTTCCACAAGGCCCCAAGATGTCAAATATCAAAATAAAATACATGCTTAATGCACCATCCTTGAAGAGAGTAGAATTATGGGTGTCCTTATAAGAAGAAACAAGCAGAGTACACAATAAGGATGGATGGATAGATGGATGGATGGATGGATGGATGGATCAATGCACCAACAAATATATAAGGTTTATCCTCCCTGACGTTGATCATACAAGTTTAACATATACGATTGTTTCAGAGAACACCTCCTATTTCAAGATGAGGGATAAAACACAGTCACAAAGCAGCCTTCATGCAATGCTGGACAGGCCTTCATCCATTGCTCCAAAATGAAGACCCTGCTAAATGATGTGCAGGGAGAGTTGTCAGCATGCAGCTGGCCCTCTGGGATTGCCCATTAGTCGTTATTCCCCATAACTCTACTTCCCAGACATCAGAGCACTGCTGGTTATACATGTGAAGTCAGTTCTTTTCCAAAATCAATAAGAAACTTTTGACCAGGGTATCCACATTGACTCAGAGAAAAGAATAAGGATGCTAACCAAAGCTAGAAAATAAAAATCTCTGAATGGGTGCTTTCATTCGTCTGTTGGCAAGAAACACATTTAAGGAAACCAGGTTGGTTCTCAATTCCCTTTTTAATAAATTAAAAATAGCTTCTTCTGATACTTAGACACGAGGGTCCCAAATGGCCCGGATAATCCATTAGCTCAGATGGAGAAAGCATATTTCTCCATCAATAAGTTAGACTCATCTTGCCATGACCTCCAAACTTGTAACTAACTCATAACTACACTGGAAAGAGTGTTGTGTTTAAGCCCAGTCCTGCTAAATTCACAATTTGAATCCCCCTGAACCTCTGCAATTGGTATTTTTCCTCATGGGGTATTTCTATAGAAACCCATCCCCAAGACTAGCTATTAATTGGAGAAGGTTTATTTATCCTATAGGTTTGATAATCAGTCATCAGATTTCAGCACTTGTTTTGTGGGATTCCATTTCATCACTTGCTACAGTATATATTATTATTCATTATATAAATTTGTTAACGGTGTATTTATTTGAGTGAGTCTCCCTCTAAATAAAGGGGCCTTATAAAGTTTTTTTTTCAAATAAAAGGTTTATTTTTACATCAGCTATTTGCTTTCCTATGCTAAACCTCCGTTGAAGGCTCTGAGCCGCATGCAAACCAAATTCCTGCCTTTCAGGCCAGGATGGGGCTATTGGAAGGGTGATAAAAGCAGCTGCATGGGCCCTTCAGCAGATTTGGTTTTTTTCAGCCCTGTCAGTCACTTTCTCTTTGAGAAGGGAACAAGACGGCTGGTAGAGATTAGGAATGGTAATGTAAAGGTTTCTACCTACTGCATACAATTCTTTCAAATTAATGCAAGCATTAAATTGTGAATGATTTTTCACATAAAGCAGATATTAAACTGTGCATGCCCGCTGGTGTTGATATAAAGTTTTGTCAACATTTTTGGCACATGGGGTCTGAGCCTGCGGGTCAAAAAGTGTTTTTAACCAAATTTTGTTGTTTCAGATGCTTTTTTTACACTTGTGTGTTATAACTCAAACGTGGATTCTTTTCCCAAAAATGAAATTTGGCAGGCCATTAGTCCATAATGTGGTCTAGTGCCTTTGGGTATTTTTTTTAAACATGTAAATGGCCAAGATATCTAGGTCTTTGAGGTTGAAAAACTGTGCATGCACTTTTAACAACTTCTTTTTCGTCTGTATTTAGTATGCATATTTACTGCACACATATAGTATGCGGCATGCCGATTAGACTCAAGATTAGTTGGGAAAATATACAAACGCCTGTTCACAGGGAGGACTTCTTCGAGGAGTCTGAGCTGATATGTCTCCTTGTTTTTACTAGGGACTAAGGGCTGAGGGATCAGTGAGTGCAGAGGTGCCAGCCCATTTCCACTCCTCCTTAGCGCCAGAAAACCCTGACTGTGACAGCCATCCCTGAGCCTGCTGGCCAGCTCCCTAGCGGGACAACATTGAAAGGGAAAGGGTGAGCATCCAGGTCTCTAGTCTCTGTCTCAGTACCGTAACTTGTACCGATGCCCTGTGAACACTAATCCTCGGCTGTTCCCTACACTGAAGGACCCACAGACAGAATCTGTAGCAAATACGTTGAGCATAAAGAAAACACATTAGAGCTGAATCCACCGTTCAGATCATTGAAAACTAGCAGTTATTACCTCATTTGAAAGTAATTTTTAACAATTAGCTTAGGAAAGTATTTTATAATTTTTTGCTAGCCTTACACAAACTAGAAATTTCTCATATAATCAATTAAATCTGGCAGCATAGCATCAGGCACTCATTAGGCTGGGCTGCTTGAAATTCATGTACAATTTCTTCCTTATGGTGATCTGCAGGAGTTTTTAAACTTGCACTGGGATGCTGGCAACATCCCCCAAACATCTCAGACACATTGTCTCTCTGAACCTGAACTTCTTAAATGGTGGTTAAACATGTTGTCTGCTTTAGTTTCCTGTCTATCTTCATCATGAGCCAGCACCTGTTTCCAATAAATTATACGCAGAACTGTATCAGCAACACCTTGGCAACAGCTGCCACCCTTAAAAGCAGAGTGCCCTTGAGGACAATACACCTGTGAACACACAGAGTGTTTATTTAGCTGAAAGCCAAAACTCTAAGTTACATAAAGCAATTATCTAAAGCCTAATGTATGCCCATTATTAACACAAAATAACCCTGTTCTTAAAAACCAATAAAAATCTATTTAAAGGATTTTTCCAAATCCCACTGAAATTTGTAAGCAACTAGAGACCTAGTTTTAACCTGGGACTTAAAATTCTAATGGTGGGCAAGGCAGAGGTTTGTGTGTGTTATAAGATGCTTAGCTCATGCTTGGAATTTGGGGCATGGGCATGCATGGGTGGCATAGCCAAAGCTTCAGACTATCGAGCAAGGACATGTCTATTTAAAATAATCCTTGTTACAAGCCACTCAAAAACATTTTTGACTATGGTCTAGAGGTTAAACAAAAGAAATGGATTGTTTCATTTTGTATTTCAGTAGGGGACTAGTTCATCTTAGATGGCTTTCTTTATTTGTACAATCCACCTTAAACATACAGTTCAGTACCTAATAGTATTACCTTTGGGTAATGGGGTTAGCACTACACTAAATGAAAATGGAACCAGCGTCAGGTAAAGACCTTCAGACTTCCATCCTGCCATGTGAAATATATGAACAATGCAAATACCAGCCCAACACAGTATCTACAGCACACAGTTCAGTTTCTAGAGTGTTTAACTGTGGCCCTTTCGAGAAATGGGACCACAAAGTGTATATTGTTGAGCAATAAATACGAACAGCGTATAGCTCTTGTCTCTCCCACCTTGAAGCCTCACGAAATCTGAATGATTTTTTTGCTTAGAGTCTATAATACGTTAATCCCTGTCTGATACTTCCTGTTGATGTTTAACTGATGGACCTATAGTCACTGAGGTGCAAATGTGTTTTAGCACTTCTGTTTGGCTGAATGCAAATGCTGTGGAAGTAACTGCTAATGAGTATTACAGCTTCCAGCTTGGACCATGTCACTGTCGGTTCACATATAGTACACATGAATAAGCAGATGCCTGAAGCCTTAGAATTGGACTCCACAGAAGAAAGTTTCCAAACAGCAGGTCTGTGTCTTATGACAAAGACCATCACATGCCAGGCTTTCCCAAAACTGGCCATATGGGTGACAATGGGTGAGGCCTCATAGGTTGGGGAGAGGCCTCAGAATGTGACACACCGTGGCCATAACTGGTTTATTCTCCTCTTTGCAACTTGTTGGTGCTTTAATTTATTTCCTAGCTATTTTCTTAGCTCCCATTCCACACTAAAAGCTAGGGATGCCGAGATGAATTAGACGAATGACTGTTTCTTCTTGCTGGATTCCAAAGACCTCTTGCATGTGTCTGAAGCATCGGTGAGGTGAGATCGAGGTCCTAAGAGTGACCTGTCACCACTGGTATAGTTAATCCGGAGCAAGTCACCCTCCCTCTTTCCGGCAGTTTTTTTTTTCCCCCTTGTAAAACATAGAGATCGATTCCTGTGGCATCTACATCACAGAATTGACGTGAAACTCAAATAAACAAATGCAAATATATCCTGCCCATTTCAAACTCTGAGTCCTTTTGGGAGCCCTTCACTTATTGAGCTGTAATAGCACTATGGTTCTTTCTTTAGGTGAATTCGCTTGTTGTAAGTTTGAAGACTCAACATGAAACTCACAAAACGCAGCCACAGCAGTGGTTTCATTATCAAAACTCCAGCAAGCATTCCAGCCAGACTAATTCCCCGCTGGATTCACTTAATGTGTAAGAAGATCTTTTAGCCAGACTTCGCTGGGGAAGAAAAAAAATATGTATATATATATCTGAAGAAAGTTAGGAAAAATGTGTTTTTCTTTTCTAACCAGTACTGTATTATGCAAATTCGAGGCTCTCTTTATACAGATTTAAGACTTCCTTCTTTGATTTATTTTCTTGATTAGAGATCCTCACAAACGATTACATGTAAACGTGAGAGGCACCCAGTTTGGATTCCAGACCAGAAGAAATCCAGGAATGGATTTAAAAAGGAAAGCTGGTTCCCATCTCCCTGGAGAATTTATCTTTATTAAAGGTCAGCAAATTTAGAGCTGCTTTGGTAATTTACCACGTGTATGGGAAATAAGTTGTGAGTACAAGTTTGCACAGAAGATAAGATTTGCTATGTTTTAGATAAACTGGTTTTTGATTATTGAAAGGGTAATTCTAAAAACATTTTAAAATCCTATTGGTTTCTCTGCCTGCTTGTCAGATTTCCCATTGGTGATGAAATCCTGCCAAGTGTAGATTTAGTGTTGGTCATGAAATGAGACCTGGCTTGCGGTTATTTGATAATAACTGTGATAATAAATTCATCCATTAATTTCTTTCCTGTTTCTCTACATGAGTAACATTAAACTAAGATGTTATGCTATTGGACGGAGAGAATCATTTTATTCATACGTGTGTGTGTGTGTGTGTGTGTGTGTGTGTGTTCACTCACATCCTCTTTGGAAACTTTATTAGGTTGATAACTCCCAAAGACTACATCTATTCTTCCTATATAGTATGTGGAGGATAATGCTAAGGTTTGAAATGAGATGCCTGATCTCAGATCAACAAGGGTTATTAGAGACAGTGACAGGTTCTGTGACCATGGACAAATACATTAAAACTGGATTAATAATGAACATAATAAACACAGTAGCTTGTAAATGAATGATGAGGCAAAACTTGCTCTCATCTTCAAACTGTCCCACAGATTAATGAAGCTGGGACCATAGAGTAAACAATCGCTAGCTTTGTTGTTATTGTTGTCTGTATGGTTTCTGTTTCTTTTCCTTTTTTTTTGTTTAGGTTATATTCATGTTTAAGAAGAAAAAAATAGATCTTTATAAAATACTTTGTTACTTTTGGCCTGAGAGAATTTATGCACCTTCTGAGGCATATCTAGATGGGCCATGTTCTTCTTCATGAATGGCTGAGAGGCTCACATGTGACACTTTATCAGATTTAATGCAGATTTATCAGCATTTTAATGCTTCAGATTTATTATGTCCCACACGTAGCAATGAGACGAGCCTGGCCTTTCTGCTTGCATGTCTTGAAACAGGTCAATGAATCAACGATGATTTGTTTCCTCCTCCTTTCTCCTTCTCTTTACCTTGAAAGGATGGAGAGGATCAAGAAGAACAGGAGTGATTTTTAACTGTGATCCTTTTGTGTGAGGGTGATTTATTGAAACACTCCAAGCTTGAGGTTCTCAATGCCTTTTTGCTCTACACAAAGCAACGAGGGCAAACAACAGAATGATCTTGGTGTGTAAAACTGTGCTTGTTTATGTGGGATTTGGTTTAAACTTGTTTTGAACTACTGGTTCATTGTTTAAAAATGCACACCTGCACAGAACCAGTTGTGGTTGAAAAGTTTATTAGCAAAGAACGTTGGTCAGTACCTGGAAATCCTATATCAAGAAGTGTCATGGTTTTTGTTAAGAATATGATTCCCCTTTAGTTACCAAAACCAGTCCGACATCCACCTGCAGCAAGGAGGTTTGGAGGAGAAAGAACTCAAGATGGGAAGAGTCCAGGAAAATACCCAGGAACACAGGGAAGCAAGGTCAGGCCCAGGCCTGTACTCTGAGCTTAGTATCAGTGTAGGGTTAGGGCATGAGAAGGCTCTAAATGTTCTCCCCAGGAATGAGAGCTGATGTCTCAGGTACAAGGAGATAATGAAGGTGGGAGATGGTTTTAAAAACTGAGATGTAGCCAGGCACAGTGGCTCACACCTGTAATCCCAGCACTTTGGGAGGCCAAGGCGGGCACATGACCTGAGGTCAGGAGTTCAAGACCAGCCTGGTCAACATGGTGAAACCCTGCCTCTACTAAAAATACAAAAATTAGCCAGGCGTGGTGGCATGCGCCTGTAATCCCAGGTACTCGGGAGGCTGAGGCAGGAGAATCACTTGAACCTGGGAGGCAGAGGTTGCAGTGAGCCAAGATCACATCATTGCACTCCAGCCTGGGCAACAGAGCAAGACTCCATCTCAAAAAAAAAAAAAAAAAAAAAAAACACTGAGATGCTTTATGACTGCAAACTAGGCATCCTAAATAAGACTCAGCCCTGATATTTTTCAAAGCTTGATGGGTAGAAATGGGGGAAAATGGCCTTTTTAAAGCTTCAAGCTGGATCCCTGTTACTATCCCCAAGTTCAGAGACAGTAGGCTTAAATTCATCTTTGTCTTGGTATAGGAGGTAGCATGAACTATTGCGGGATCTGGCCAGCAGCCTGCAATGCAACAGGGCTCTCTCTTTGTTCCCAGTTGAGTGCCAGATATTGCAGGATCTGGCCAGCAGCCCGCAATGCAATGGGGCTCTTTCTTTGTTCCCAGGCGGATCGGCAGGTCGAGAAATAATAGACACACAAAAGATAGTGAAAGCTAGGTCTGGGGGATCACTGCCTTCCGGTCCCATGGTGCCACTAACGCACTGAATATACCAGCATTTATTGTTAAGCTTAGTGAGGGCAGGGGTAGGTTAGTGAGGGATTTAGGGTCATTTGATTATGAGGTGAGATGGTCGTATGTGGATGAAGTAATTCTTTAACATAACAACTATATGCAGAAGTACAGTATACAGAGATAAGAATTTACAATATAGTGTGTGCATCAGTAATTTCTAACAGAGCCTTACAACAGAAACACAGTCTTTCCATAACCTATGATTAGCCAGATATTAATCAGCAGTAACAGTTGCAGCAAAAGCTGGTTACAAACAATCCACAGATACAGGACGTGAAGCTAGACAACCGGTTAGACCAGAAATTCTCAGAAGGGAGTATGCCTTAATCCTAAAAAGGCCTAGAAGAGCCGCGGCAAGATGAGGGAGTTTATACCCCTATCTTATCCATATGGACAGGTGCCCCTCACGCATCTGTTTATAGGCTCTCCACAAGGGTCGCATTCCATTCCCAGAGCTATGAACATCTGCTTTTCTGGGATAGGAATCTTGGTAATGTGAAACCTTCCTGACTGCATGTCCATTCATAGGCTCTCTGCAGGGGGAAGCACATCACATGGTGTTGGCTCATTCTGGCAGTCCAACCTGGCATTGTCTTTACACAATCCTGCATGCAATTTTGTATTTACAATAATCAGGAGCATTTCATCTTTTATTCCGTAGCAATAGTTTCAAGGGGTCTCCCTACAATGAACAATTGTTTAAAGGGCATTTTTTAAAAGTTTTATGTTCAGGGGTACACGTGCAGGTTTGTTACATAGGTAAACATGTGTCATAGGGGTTTGTTGTACAGTTTATTTCATCACCCACATATTGAGCCTGGTACCCATTAGTTATTTTTCTTGATCCTTTCCCTCCTCCCACCCTCTGCTCTCCAACAGGCCCCAATGTGTGTTTTTCTCCCCTATGTGTCAGTGTGTTCTCATCATTTAGTTCTCACTTATAAGTGAGAACACATGGTATTTGTTTTTCTGTTCCTGCATTAGTTTGCTAAGGATAATGGCCTCCAGCTCCATCCATGTCCCTGCAAAGGACATGATCTCATTTCTTTGTATGGCTGCATAGTATTTCATGGTGTGTATCTACCACATTTTCTTTATCCAGTCTATCATTGATGGGCATTTAGGTTGATTCTATGTCCTTGCTGTCATGAATAGTGCTGCAATGAACATACACATGCATGTCTCTTTATGATAGAATGATGTATATTCCTTTGGGTATATACACAGTAATGAGATTGCTGGGTCAAATGGTATTTCTGTCTTTAGGTCTTTGAGGAGTCACCACACTGTCTTCCACAAAGGTTGAACTAATTTAGACTCTCGCCAATAGTGTATAAGCCTTCTAAAGGGCATTTTGGTTCCGCAAAAAGCAACCGAGCCCTGCATCGGATGTGGGATGTTTAGAGACCGCATGGGGCCAAAGGCTCTGCATAACAATATCAAACTTTCTTCGGAGATGGAGTTATAGGAACAGATTATGCTTTCTTTTAGAAGATGATTTTGGCGTGATTTTGTTTGACATGGGTTTTAGCAGAGTAGGGGTTCAGGGTAGAGGTGCCTCCCAATAGCTGAGATGCACTGGCTCCTTCAACATGGTGACTTGCAGGAAGTCAGTGATGGGGGACCGTGGGAAGTCTGTGGATGGGTTCTGCCGTGTGCACTTTAATCCCCTTCTGTTTTCCAAAGGCTTTAGTAATCTCTTGTTAAATCACGTGGTCTGGACTTAGCTGTGTGTCAGGGAATGAGAGATGGGCCTGGCTTCATATTTGGGGGAATAGTAGGTGGGACAAGAAAAGTAATCTGGGCAAAGTTGGCTGCCACATGAAAAAGGAAAGTAGAGATTCTGGGAGAAATGTGTCTCTCAAGAGGAACCTGGAAAAAGGTGAGAATCCATAAGGTTAAATAAGATCCTCATAATTTCAGTGTGGAAGGGAAAAAGGATGCCTGATGCCGGGTTTATGAGGCAGGAGAGAGGCAGGTGGTTGTTATAGGCACAGACTAGAGGCAGATTTCCTGGTCCCCATCCTGACATCTCTGCTTCCTACCCGTGTGGCTGTGGGCAAGTCACCTAACCTCTCTACTCCAGTTTCTGCATCTGTTAAAATGGAGATCATGTAAGTACCTACCTCAAGAGGTTTAAATAAGGCTTAAATTAGATAATGTATGTTAAGTAGGCAAAGCATTTGGCATAGTATCCAGAATGTCAGAAATGCTCAATAACTTTTATTATTTTATAATAGAAGTTAATAGAATTTAAATCTTTACCACTGCAACAGAAATAGGCATGACTGTGGGACTTGAGAAGGGAGTTAGGAAGAAGACAAGGGTCTCCTACCCTGCACACAATGCCTGACATATAGTAGATACTCAATAAATTTTTCCCAGGTCATAAATCATGCAGAACAGCTCTTTAACATAGTGAGCTGGGACTCAGCTTCACTTACCAAGCCATTTTCCAACCATTTTCTGAAATACCCAGTAGAAATAGTTTGATTATCTCTCTAGGTCTGTTAGGCCAAGATATATAAATAGACATTCTAGAATACAAGATATAATCAGATCGATTCTAGATTGTCACTACACACCCCTCTTAATTTGTATCCTGACCTGTACCCTTGCCTAGAACCCCTACAGATACTGCTCTGGTTTGGCCTGTTTATGTCAGAGGGCACCCCATTAGCACAGAAGGATCTGTAATAGTCATAAATGAAAGTATCACATGCAGCTAGGGTAGCTGGCTTCCTTGCCAGACCCCATGTGAACATTCTGGGGTGATAAGGTCAAGGGAAAAATATAGAGATATAAGCAATAAACAGAGGCAAGATGCCACCATGTTCTCCACGCCATCCCCTGCCAGTGGCATGGGACAGGAACCAGAGGTAAAGCAAGGGCTACTCTTTAGAAGACCATGAAGATAAATTTGCACACCATCCAATACCATAAAGAAGGGAAGGGAAGAGGGAGGAAGCAAACTTACCTTTACAAAGCCAGGCTATCACTGAAACATTTTTATGCACCTGTTGTATGTCCTACACACTCAATTGTCAGGAAGGTATTATTGTCCTACTCCAAACGCATGAATAAATGGAGACTGCACACGCAGCCCAAGTCAGACAAGCACTGGGTTCAATTCATGTCTACCTGTTCCCAAAGCCAGGGCTCTCTCATTGCTCTGTGCTGCTGTCACAGAAATTTGAGTCATACAGACACCCTCATCTGGGCAGTCAATCTTTCTCCCACACTTTTCTCCCCACTCATCTATGACCCTACCTCTCACTGTCTCATACTTATAAGGCACACGTAGTCACATGACCTTATACTTTTGGCTGATTGTTATCAACCAAGTTTTTAACACTTTTTATGCCATAAACTCTTTGAAGGCGAGGACCATTCCTTACTGAGAGATGTGTCCCCTTGAGAGTCTGTCATAGTACTTTCAAAATAGCAGGTGCTTAATAGGTAATTGTTATCTGAGTAGTGATACATTCAAATAAGCAATAATTATTGAGCTAATTGTCATTTTATGCCATGAGATTTCATAAAACTGGATTGGATAATGAGACAGATAAAGGAATTATGGAACAGAAGCTATTCTCCCTTACCATGGGCCCCTATTCTGCATCTAAAATATATGAAACTTTGTCAGGGTAAAAGAGGAACAATCCTAAACCCCTCTGGGGAAGAAGGAGGGTGCCAGAACATGCAAAGTGGAATGTTCATTCTAAAGGGACTTGTCCAGGCCCTATTCTTTGGGAGAGGGTTGGGTGTGGGTCTTAGTTGACCTATGGGGAATATCTGGATTTTCACATGTATATTTGGTTCTAGTAAGGATCATTGTAGATCCCAATTAGAGTTATTGTGTGAAATTAAGTTGTATCTCTGAACCATACGTGTTAATTATATTATCTCCAAATGTAGAGCTTTGACAGTTAAGGAAAAGGAGTTAGTATATTTTAAGTATCTCTTGTTTGCTAGACACCAGGCTAGATATATCTCATTTAATCCATCAATAGCACTGGGAAGTAGATGTTATTTCCATTTTACATAGGAAAAAATTGAAGTTTGGAGAGGTTCTTGCTGCTAGGGAGTGAGTGGTAGAGCTAGGATTATGAACTGGCTCCTTCCTGGAAGAGTGAGTCAGAGATTGGCTGGATGGTGGTGAGGTGTTAAAAATAAAGTTGTGATCATTATGAAGAGCAAATGTGAAACAGGAATGTGGATAAATTGTGATTAAGCACTGAAAACAATTAGCCAATGATGGTGGGGCTTTTGTCCATATTGGAAGCATGTAGTTCATATATAAAATTTGAAAATACACATATACTATGATGCAGCAATTCTATTTTACATCTCAGTATTTACTGCAAAGTATTTATGGTGCAGAAAGACTTACAAATGAGCATAAGACAGTATACTCAAGGATTTTTGTGGTAGCATTTCTGCAAGAGTGAAAAACAAATCAACCAACTAAGCTAAGTCAACCAACCAAACAAAAATCCTTAAAGGTCTATTGATAAGAAAAATGAGAAGACAAAATTTTCAAGGAAATAACAAGAAAAATCTCTTAGTTCAGTAGGTCATGAGTTTTCAGATTGAAGGAGGCGTCAAGCTTCCAGCAAAATGAATACAAAATTACCCAAAACTAGGTGTATTATCATAAAAAGTTTCAGAATACCACTACATTAAACAAAACAACACACACACACAGAAACACACACACACACACACCCCTTCCCAAAAGCCCGTGGAGAGACAAATGAGTCTTTTATAAAGGATCAGGGTTCAAAATGGCATTGGTCTTCCAAAAGCAGCACTGGGAGATTACACAACAATTTAGCATTGCTGACAAGTGTGACCACGTTGAGATAAGGTAAACAGTTCTCTTGGAAAGTTTGGGAACAAATTATTGCTTGGTAGATGGAAGTCTAAAGATAGGAAAATGTGAGGCAATTATCAATTCCAAGAAAACCAAAAAGTTGTATAGAAAAAGTCATATAATTGACCAGGCATGGTGGCTCACACCTATAATCCCAGCACTTTGGGAAGCCCAGGCAGGCCATCATCTGACGTCAGGAGTTCAAGACCAGCCTGGCCAACATGGCGAAACCCCCTCTCTACTAAAAATACAAAAATTAGCCAGGCATGATGGTGCACACCTGTAATCCCAGCTACTCAGGAGGCTGAGGCAGGAGAATCAGTTGAACCTGGGAGGTGGAATTTACAGTGAGCCAAGAACATGCTGCTGCACTCCACACTCCAGTCTGGGTGACAGAGTGAGACTCTGTCTCAAACAAAAAAAAAAAGAAAGAAAAAGAAAACGTTATATATTCATAGTTCTATAAATGTCATGAATGAACAGCACTTACAATTATAATTTTAAAAATATTTAACCATACATTATTACTTTACTATATTGGTACACTGGAGAGAGGAAAATATTCACGTATAGAATGGGGTGAAGGTGGAAAGTGAACTAATTCTTTTTCTATTATAGAAAGTCAATCAATAACATCTAAAACTAAAAAAATCAAGCAATAGCAGTATATGTATATTATGTAGAACACCAGAAGAAATCATCTTTGTGGGAGGGGGATGCAGGGGTGAGGCGGGGAGCTGCAGAGAACTGCTGCTTTTATCTGAAACCCTTATCTGAAAGCCTTGCTGCTATTTGCCTTTTTAAACTATGTATGTCTATTACTTTGATTTAAAAAAAATTAAACTAAAATGAAAATCTATTCCATGTTTATTAGAAACATTTGGAAAATAAAGTATAAAGATGAAAATAAAAATCATTCATTATCTACCACCAAGACATAGCCACTCTTAGTACTCATGCATATGATCTTCTAGTCTTATTTTCTTTCTAGCTAAACACACTTTGATGAGCTCACAGCATTTAAGTTTTGTAGGCTCCTTTTACTATTTGTCATTATTAACACATTAACACATTCCTATACATTAAAACACGTTTTGTAGATACCAGTTTTGATGGCTTTATAATATTCCAGTTTTGTGGTTGTGTGATTATTTAATGATTAATTTCTTTGTTGGACAGGTGCATTGCTTCAATCATTCAACATCATAAACAATGTTGTGATACATATCTTTATACATAAATTGTTGCTATTTTTGTAATTATTTCCTTATGATATATCCCCAGAAGTTTATAAGCATTCTTAAATTAGTATTTTATTAAAGGACAAAATATGCTATCTTAGCAGAAAGAAGAAAGAAATATCCAAAGAGCTAATTAATTAAATTAACTCAGATTTCAATAATGGAAAGCATAGAAAAACATATCCAGGGACTAATAGGGCTTACTTTTTAGTGCAGGTTTTAGAAATATTGTTAAAGTACTTTTATGGTAATCTGGAAATAAATGTGCAGATTTTTAAAGGTAAAAAACTTACAGCTCATTGACCGCAATGTTTACCTCTGCAGAAGGCCTAGGACTAGAGATGGTCATCAAGAGAGCTTTGACTTTATCTAGAATATTTGAACGCTTTACAAAGAGAATGAATTGAATTGCTATGTTATGTAATTTAAAATATTTATTTCTTTATATAGATCTCTCTTTTAAATGAATAAACTTTATTCCCTCTAGCCTCTAAGCATGGAAATAACTACTCATATCCTAAGGTGATTTACGTAGTTGACAAAAGACTTTCAACTACCTTATTATTTGTCAAAGAATCCCTGTAAGTCAGGCATTATTATCTTTTAATCTGTAATGCAGATATACACCTTAGACAGTATGGTTAAATTCTGAAACTTCCTTCTGCTGTAGAGCCTGATATTCAAGAAAATGGCCAAACCTTTCTTTCTAAACACCTCCCCTCTTCTGTTACCATACAGCTTATGTCTCTCTCCCTTTTTTTGAGTAAAAACCTACCTTCTCCACAGGGCTGTCCCTGAAGACACAACTCAAACGGATCTCCACTCACTCCCTCCCTCACTCATGTCTTTTTGGAGTGCTTATTATGTTTCAGACCCCATGCTAAGAGATGAAAATAACTGCATGTTCAAGGCAGACAAAATCCCTGCTTTCCTTTGTGTGGCATGTATTCTCTTTAGGGAAGCAGAAAACAAAAGTTAGAAATACAAACAAAATGAAAATTAGTGCAATGAAGAATATAAGCTAGAGTGATGTGTTAGAAACTGATGATTTGGGGGGAAAATGACTTTAGATAACATGGTTAGAGCAGGCTTTCTAAGGAAGGGTCATTTGACAAGAGACCGAAGGATGAGAAAGAGCCAGGCATGAGGACAGATGTGGGCATAGGTGGTGGAATACAGAAGTAGGGAGCATGAAGACTAGCAGGCAGAGAGGAGCTCATGGGTTCAAGTGACCAGAAAAAAAAGTAGTGACAATAATTGTACATAAATCAGATAGAAATTGATCATACCATGACCTGTTAAATATTTGTGTTTGCAATTTCACATGTAATAATTTTAACATCAGAGGCAGGCAAGAATGTTTATTAAGTACCTACTCAGGGCTGCCCAACTGACAACCCCTGGGGATACCACTTGCCTTGTACTGATGTGAGTGAGGGTCCCTGCAGCTTTGTCATGTGGCAGTATTGCTGAACATTCTGCTAAACAGTTGACATGGATCATCTCATGGAATCCTTATAGCAACCCAGGGTGTAGATATTATAACTGTACCCACTTTAAAGAGAAACTGAGACTAGGTGAGCTTAGGTAACTTTCCCAAGGTTATATAACAGATTATGCAGCAGGCAAGCAGTAAAAAACATTTTTAACATAGGTGGTCTGACTCCAGAGCTATTCTGCTTTGTGGTCCCCATCTGCCATTGATGTCGCATCTCATGAAACTCATGTAAGCTCTGTAAAGGCAATAAACATGCATTCTACTGTTTGGTACAGCTGCAACACACTCAACAGAATGCTATACTCCTAATATATGCTGAATATTGCTTACTGATTGATTCTATGGAAAAAATTAAGTATTAAGTCACTCATAATGTACAAAATCCAGAGAAAGCAGAAATCCTATGGCAATGGGTGAACTAATGATCTCATTGGTATACACTTTTGGGAACTCAACTAGAAACCCTTCCTTAGGGTCACTTACAACTGCTTTCCTTAGGAAATAACTCTAGGTCTGAAACGCAATCATTCTAAAATGACCTTGGATATATGGAATAGAAATAACATCTTGAGATGTTATTCTAATCAATTCATTGAGAATTAGTTAAGTAAGAATCTGAGAAGAAGGTTTTTGTGCTGCATGTTAACAGGGAAAAGAAGTTAATAAGACCTAATATTTCATCAAAATCATTGGGCCACATCTAGGAAAGGTCAAGTTCATGGTGAACTTTTTCTCCATCTTTTAAAAGAAAAAATAGTAAGACTCATGCCAGTGATCCCAGGACTTTGAGAGGCTGAGGTAGGAGGAGCGCTTGAGGCCAGAAGTTTGAGACCAGCCTGTGCAACATTGTGAGACTCTGTCTCAAAAAAAAAAAAAAATTTAAACATAGCAGGGAATGGTGGTGCACACCTGTAGTCCTAGCTACTAGGGAGGCTGAGGTGGGAGGATCATTTAAGCCCAGGCGTTCCAGGCTGCAGTGAGCTACAATCGTGCCACTGCACTCCAGCTTATGTAACAGACCAAGACTCTGTTCCAAAAACAAAACAAAACAAAAAAAGAAAGAAATTAAGGAAAAAGGCACATGTACATTTTTGTGGCAGATAGATTCTTACGGTAGCAGCCCCACAATCTCTGCCTCCTGGTGTCCATGCCCCGTATGATTCCTTATCCTTGAATGTGGGAAGGAAGGATTCATGACTTGCTTCGAACCTATAGAATGTGGTAAAGATGGCAAGATGTAAGTCATTATGTGTACGTGATTATGTGATTATGTTATATTAGATTGCAGCACCTGTATTGCACATGTGTTCTCTCTTTTTCTCTCCCTCCCCCTTCCTCTCTCCCACCTTTGCTAACTTTGAGGAGTCAAGAAACCATGCTGGGGAACCCCACACAGCACAGAACTATGAGGCAGACTGTAGGATCTGATGACAGCCAGAAAGAAGCCCTCATCCTAGTTGCAAGAAACTGAATTCTGCCAACAACCTAAGTGAGCTTAGAAATAAATCCTTATCCATTCAAGCCTCAAGTAAGACCACAACCCCAGCCAAAGCCTTGATTGACATCATGTGAGACTCTAAGCAGAGGACCCGGTTAAGCCATGATTGAACTCCTGACCCACCGAAACTGTGAGATGATAAGTGTATGTTGTTTTGTTGTTTTAAGTCACCAAGTTTGTAGTAATATCACTACATAAAAATAGAAAACTAAACATTATCCCATTGAGGGAATTTAAATTCGAGGCACATCTTTGGAAACAAGCTTTGTATGAGAAGGTATAAAATTGGAACACTTGCCAGTGTATTGCTCATGCTGGAGATGAAGGTCAAAGGAAGCCCTGCCCCCTGCCCTGTAGGACAGCCTTGACCTTTCTGAACCAGGATCCTTTTGCTCTCACTCTATGGAAGTGTTGAAATGTCAGCTGTGTTTGCATGTGTGAAGGGATCTTACACAGAGGGCCCATGTCTCAGAACATGCACGTGATGTTTTTACAGCAAAAATAATGTTGGTTTGCAGGACCTACATACATAGGTTTTTACTGGAGCACAGAGGCCTTAGACAAACCTCCCAACCCAGCAAGGTTGTATTTTCTTTTCAAAGAAATACAAACCAAGCTTAATTTAAATCAATAGAGAAGGTAACAGTGATAAAAGGGGAAAAAAATTACCTAAGCACAGGATAACAAAAAAGAAAGTGGCAGTCAACATATATGAACCTGGGAGAGAGAAAATGCAACTAGAATTTAGGAGGAACTATTCCTTTTTCTCCTAGAAATGTGCTGATTTCCCTTCCTGTTAGGAGGTCCTAGCTGAGTGCCTTTTCATTGAAAGGGTAGCATGTACACTGTACACACCAATCACTTGCTTATTAAAGGTTCCTGTTCTCTTTCCAGCACCTGTAGCAAGAAGTGGGATGTTCTGGATTGGAAGAGAAACAGCAAAATGTTAGCAAAACAGTTTAAAGGAAAAGCTGTAAGAGAAGATGAAAACAGCTTACAATGATCCAAAGGGAGGCATTAAGGCAAAGAGGAAATGTTAATGCAGGCTAAAGACAAGTCTGGGAAGAAAATGAAAAAATTCCCCTAATGGGTGATTCAAAAACAATCATAAGAATAATAATAGTTGAAAAAAACACTAGTAGAATTAAGCAAGAATACTGAAGATAATTTATTAACATATTGGCCTGGCACAGTGGCTCACACCTGTAATTCCAGCATTTTGGGAGGCCAAGGCAGAAGCTCACTTAAGCGCAGGAGTTCAAGACCGGCCTGGTCAACATAGCAAGATGCCAACTCTACAAAAAAAAAAAAAAAAAAAAAAATTACCCAGGCATGGTGGCACACACCTACAGTCCTAGCTACTAGGGAGGCTGAGGTGGAAGGATCACTTGAGACCAGGAGTTTAAGGCTGCAATGAGCTATTATCGTGCCACTGCACTCCAGCCTGGGTGACAGAGAAAAATTGTCTGTAATAAAAAATTATATTGGCTTCTTCACTGAGCTAAGTTTTCATTCACTTAACCTATATTAGCATACACTAGCTTTTATATTTCCTTCCAACCCTAGAAGGTAAATAATGTTATTAATCCCCATTTTACAGACAAGACTGAAAGAGGTTAACTTGCCTAAGTCACATGGATAGAAAGTAGAAGAGCTAAGTTTTGAAGTCAGAACTCTCTGATCCTAGTTTTCTCACATTTAATGCAAGAAATCTCAAGTTCTATGGTATAATAGAAAGAAAATGCAGGGCACTGTCTATGTTAAGAAATACCCATGTGCAAATGGGAAGAAACGTAATGAGTTATTCCTGGGGGCTGAGGTGCCGGCAATTGCAGAAAAGTGTCCCTGTGAGATGAGAAGAACAAAGGTACCCAAGACATGAGCAGGAGAAATGCTCTCGGAATAAAATAGAATAGTGGAAAATGGATCCCTTGTTCTTTGATTTAAAAATTACTTTTCTAACTATTGTGCCAATGTTTCATATAGTGAATCAAAGAGATGGCCTGTGGCAGAATCACCTAGGACCTTTGTTAAAAGTGAGATCCCTGCACCCTGATTCAGATCATTTAGGTAATGAGTTATTCCTGGAGGCTGAGGTGCATGGCAATATCCCTGAGAGATGAGTAGAACAAAGGCGCCCAAGACATGAATGGGAGAAATGCTCTTGGAATAAAATAGTCAGAATAGTGGAAAACAGATCCCTTGTTCTTTGATTTAAAAACTACTTTTTGTAGTTTTGTGTCTGTGATGGTTAATACTGAGTGTCAACTTGATTGGATTGAAGGATGCAATATTAATCCTGGGTGTGTCTGTGTGAGTGTTGCCAAAAGAGATAAACATTTGAGCCGGTGGGCTGGGGAAGGCAGATCCACCCTTCATCTGGTGGGCACAATCTAATCGGCTTCTGGCAAACACAAAACAGGCAGAAAAATGCGAAAAGAGAGATGGGTCTAGCCTACCAGCCTATATCTTTCTCCCATGCTGGATGCTTCCTGCCCTCACACACCGGACTCCAAGTTCTTCAATTTGGGGACTTGGACTGGCTCTCCTTGCTCCTCAGCTTGCAGACAACTTATTGTGGGACCTTGTGATTGTGTAAGTTAATACTTAATAAACTCTTCATATATATAATACATTCTATCTATCTATCTATCTATCTATCTATCTATCTATCTATCTATCTAATCAGTTCTGTACCTCTAAGAGAACTCTGACTAATGTAGATTTTGGTACCAGGAGTGGTTCTAGAGGAACAGAATATTAAGGATAGAGTTCTTTAATTATTTTCGGGTTTCTGGAGTTGGCTGCTTAATATGATTAGACCCAAAAATGCTAAGGACTCTACTTCTAATAGTATAGAAAACACTGATAGTCCTTGGCATGAGCTGTTTAGAGAATTATGCAAAATAAATGCATTTGACACTCCTGATTCACCGCTTGTGAACGGCAAGGAGTTTAGTGACTCTATGCTACCTTTGACCATATGTGGAGAACCAAGGAACATAATGAAGCTGGTTGGTTGCTCCTAAGTTCAGTGGATAAAGTGATGAAAGAAAATGATAAACTCAGGGATTCTGTCTCTCAGCTTTAGAAGCAGATACTGAGCCTCAAATCTGCTAAGATTGCCCTGAGTGAGAGTCTTATCTCCTGTAGAGAAAGAGCTGAAATTGTGGAAAAACAGACACAAGCTCTTATCATGTGAGTAGCTGATCTGCAATGAAAGATGTATGCACAGCCTTGCCAGGTGTCTACTGTTAAAGTGAGGGCATTGATTGGAAAAGAACGGGACCCTGCAACTTGGACTGGGGACATGTGGGAGGACCCTGATGGAACTGGGAACACTGAGTTTGTAAACTCTGATGAACCTTTTTTGCCAGAAGGAACAGCTTCCCCATCCCCAGTAGTGGCAACATCCCTTCCCTGACCCATGGTGCCATCAGCCTTTCCACCTTTGTCTGAGGAGATAAATCCTGTGCTGCCTGAGGCAACAGTGATGGCCTCCCCTGAGGCACTTGCCAGGCAAGATAATGTTGATTCTCCTCAGGAGCCGCTTCCAACACCCCTGTTTGCTTCTAGACCTATAACTAGACTAAAGTCCCAGTGGGCCCCTGGAGGTGAGGTTGAGAGTGTGACTCATGAAGCAGTACACTACACTTGAAAATAACTGTTTGAGTTCTCTAATTTATATAAATAGCAATCTGGAGAACAGCCATGGGAATGGATATTAAGGGTATGGGACAATGGTGGAAGGAACACTGAGTTGGATCAGGCTGAATTTACTGATTTGTGCCTACTAAGTAGGGACTCTGCATTTAATGTTGCAGCTCAGGGAGTTAAAGAAGGTTCTTACAGTTTATTTGCTTGGTTAGCTGAAATATGGATTAAAAGATGGCCCACTGTGAGCAAGCTGGAAATGCCTGATCTCCCTTGGTTTAATGTAGAGGAAGGGATCCAAAGGCTTAGGGAGATTGGGATGGTGGAGTGGATTAGTCACATTAGACCTACTCATCCCAGCTGGGAGGGTCCAGAAGATATACCCTTGACTAATGTCTTGTTAAATAGATTTGTGAGGGCAGCACCTGCATCTTTGAAGAGCCCTGTAATTGCTCTTCTCTGTATGTCAGATCCAATGGTGGGAATAGCAGTCACTCAACTACAAAATTTAAATACGATGGGAATAATTGGATCCTGAGGGGGCAGGGGCCAAGTGGCATCACTCAACCGTCAAAGGCAAGGTGGCGTAGTTACCATAATGGACAGCAGAGGCAAAGTGGCAACCAGAATAGTCTGACTTGTGTAGAGCTCTGGCATTGGCTAATTAATCACAGCGTTCCTAGAAGTGAAATTGATAGGAGCCTACTGCATTCCTACTTAAATTATACAAACAGAAAACTTCTAGGTCGAATGGACAAAAGACTAATTTGAATTATAAAAACAGAGAATCACAGCCCCTCAATCAATTTCCAGACTTGAGCCAGTTTACAGACCCAGAACCCTTTGAAGGAAGAGGAGGCTGGATACCCTCGAGAAAGGACACCACTACATTACTGACAATTTATGCAGTGAATCTTTCTCCCATCCTTCCCCAAGGAGACCTCCAGCCTTTTACCAGGGTAACTGCATTGAGGAAAGGGAAATGATCAGAAATGTGGGGGACTACTGGACACTGGCTCTGAGCTGACATTGATTCCAGGGGACCCAAAATGTCATTGTGGTCCTCCAGTTAAAGTAGGGGTTTATGGGGGTCAGGTAATTAATGAAGTTTTAGCTCAGGTCTGACTTACAGTGGGTCCCTGGACTCATCCTGTGGTCATTTCCTCAGTGCCAGAATGCATAATTGGCATAAACATACTTAGCAGCTGGCAGAACCCCACATTGGCTCCCTGATTGGCAGGGTGATGGCTATTACGGTAGGAAAGGCCAAATGGAAGCCATTAGAGCTAACTCTACCTAGAAAAATCGTAAGTCGAAAACAATATCACATCCCTGGAGGGATTGCAGAGACTAGTGCCCCCATCAAGGACTTGAAAGATGCAGGGGTGGTGATTCCCACCACATCCCCATTCAGCTCTCCCATTTGGCTTGTGCAAAGACAGATGAATCTTGGAGAACGACAATGGATTATCATAAGCTTAACCAAGTGGTGACTGCAATTGCAGCTGCTATACCAGATGTGGTTTCATTGCTTGAGCAAATTAACACATCTCCTGGTACCTACTATGCAGCCATTGACTTGACGAATGCCTTTTTTCTTCATTCCTGTCCATAAGGCCCACCAGAAGCAATTTGCCTTCAGCTGGCAAGGCCAGCAATATACTTTTACTGTCCTACCTCAGGGGTATATCAACTTTCCAACTTTGTGTCATAATCTTATTCAGAGAGACCTTGATTGCTTTTTCACTTCCGTAAGATATCACACTGGTCTGTTGCATTGATGACATTATGCTGATTGGATCCAGTGAGCAAGAAGAGCAAACACACTGGACTTATTGGTGAGACATTTGCATGCCAGAGGATGGGAAATAAATCCGACTAAAATGCAGGGAGCTTCTACGTCAGTAAAATTTCTAGGGGTCTAGTGGCGTGGGCCTGTTGAGATAGGCCCTTTACGGTAAAGAATAAGTTGCCACGTTTGGCTCCTCCTACAACCAAGAAAGAGGCACAATGCCTAGTGGGCCTATTTGGATTTTGGAGGCAACACATTCCTCATTTGGGTGTGTTACTCTGGCCCATTTATTGAGTGACCTGAAAGGCTGCCAGTTTTGAGTGTAGTCCAGAACAGGAGAAGGCTCTGCAACAGGTTCAGGCTGCTGTGCAAGCTGTTCTGACACTTGGGCCATGTGACCCAGCAGATCCAATGGTGCTTGAGGTGTCAGTGGCAGATAGAGATGCTTTTTGGAGCCTTTGGCAGGCTCCTATAGGCGAATCACAGTGGAGGCCACTAGGATTTTGGAGCAAGGCCCTGCCATCCTCTGCAGATAACTACTCTCCCTTTGAGAGACAGTTCTTGACCTCTTACTGGGCTTTTGTGGAAACTGAACATTTGACTATGGGCCATCAAGTCACCATGTGACCTGAACTGCCTATCACGAACTGGGTGCTTTCTGACCCCATCTAGCCATAAAATGGGTCGTGCACAGCACCATGTTTCATCTAGTGAATCAAAGAGACGACCTGCAGCAGAATCACCTGGGAATTTTGTTAAAAGTGAGATCCCTGCACCCTGATTCAGATCCTTTTTAACAAGCACTGACCTGGATACACACTAAAGCTAGAGAAAGATTCTGCACTGGTATGTAAGCTGGGGAATGCTACTTACTAGGAGTGATGGCCATAGTAACGAGGTATGTTTTAGTAACACTGATAGGAAGCTTAGCTCACTGTGGGACCAAAATCACATATTTACCTGACCTAAATCCATGGCACAGGTAAAGTAAAGAGGAAGAAGAAGGAGGAGTAGAACAAGGAGGATGAGGAGAGAGAAGAAGGAGGGAGGAGAGGAAGAAGGAGAAGGAGGAGGAGAAGGAGAAGGAAGAGAGGAATAAGTTGACATCACCTATCCTTTCATTCCTACCATAAACGAATGAAGGAATGAATGGGACATGCTATAAGCTGACAGCATGTGCCCCTGGCCTGGTCTCCCTGGATGAAGCTATAGTGAGTGGAGGTGAGCACAACATCAGCACTGCCAAGCATCTACAGCTAGAGCAGGAACATGGCTGATGGAGCACAATGCATCACCAGTGACCAAGACAAAGGGAAGTCTGAATGGACTGTCAGTTTGGGGAACACCTGTAAGATGCCTGAAATTTGAGATTTCTGTAACCAAAAGATCTATAGTCTCAGGATCTGTATTCAGGTTTTTCTGCATACAGCATGACTTCTGGGAAGAATGTTAGAGGTGGGCTGCTCAGGAGGTTGTGGCTGCCTTCTCTGCATCTCTCAGCTAGACAAAAGGCATAGAACATTGGATTTCACTCTCTTTACTTTTACGCTTTCTGGTGAAAGGGCAAAAAGTAGACTGCAGATGAACCCAAGAGATGACTCACTATGGAATGCTTTTCCTTTCTATCATCTCTGGAGAAAGGCATTTTATCCCAGCATCTCTCTTACTGCAGACCATTACCCGAATACCTGCAGCCCCTCTACTTCTAAAGGCATCCTTGCAGTGTGTTCACTGTTATTACTCTTGACAACAGACGTGAGACTGAGAATGATATTTCTAAAAATAAAATGGCTCCACGATTGCACTACTTGTCCCAGAATCGCACTATCTCCTGAAACAGAGCCGGAACACCATTCATAGCAACTCCCTTACTGCCAGGAGATTTGTTTTCAATGCACCTGACAAGCCACATGAGATTCATCCTCAAAGCCTACTTGTCAGGGGAATAAATACCAAGAGTCAGAACTTCCTGAGAAATCTAGTGATGGAAAAGCCTTTAAGGATGAACAAATTAAATTCTGTTCTAACACCGGCAACAGAAGGAAAGCAAAGTGAAGTGGTGCAGAGGAGAAAGTCCAGGTCCAATTTTGGATAAGGCTGAAGATGAGTTACACTGTTAATGCAAAACAGATACACAAAGTTTTTTCAGACAGCAGATGCCCAGGAAAAGGAGGCTGGTCTGGGAACGTCTTGCAGCCAGGAGAGGCCCTTTGCTTCTGACAATTAGATAATTTTTCATGAAAACATCAATCCCTAGAAGTTCATTGTAGAATCATCTTTGCAACTACTTTTGCCACCTGTGTCCTGGGGTCATTTCTCCAGGCTTCCTATCCCAGGGCTAACATGTGTGCATCCTAATTTCCTCATCTTGTTTCCACCTCTGCATCTGTCTAGTGCTGTCAGACCAAACAGATATGCTCGAGATGACCACTCAGTACTTCAGGCTGGAGGCTTCTCCAAGCCAACACGTTAGAGGAGCTCTAGAAATCTAACAGTGTAATGGTTTCCATTAAATATTGAATATTGCCCTGTAGGGATGGAGCCTAGAAATTCATAAATTATGTAATCTAAGGGCTTTGCTGATGACTGATAAAATCAAATTAGCTGCTTTGGGATAAGGATGAATTTGAAACATAATTTCCTCCTTTGAAGAGACAGTGACAAATCTCTTTGATGGGTCTGCATGTCAAGGTTTTTTTTTTTTCTGGTAGAAAATTTAACAGGATCTTTTGTTAGGCAAAGTAAATGAGACTGGCTTAGGTTATGAACTAGTTTTTTTTTTCCCCAAAAAATGTTTATTTTTGTTATATTATTAAAGCCATACCCACCCATACAAATTTTGTTTTTAAAAGCAGGAAAAAAATTCACCCATAATTCTAACAGTCCAATAAAACCTGACATTTAGAGCATCTCCTTTCAGGCATGTTGTTGTATGATCATGCACATTTCTACAGAATTGAAGTCATATAATATGCAGATACACATATACACACATATATATGAATATTTATTTTATATATTCATTAAAACCTGATTCTTAATGGCTGTAAAATATTTCATATTCTGTTTCAATTTTTGATTACTGCTTTACGATACTTATTCCACCAAAGGGTACGAACAGTTTTAAGTAGCTTAACATACATTACCAGATGATTTTCCATAAATTCTGATTCAATTAGTAATCCAGCCAGTAATATATGGACTTTTAATTTTCTTTTTTGGGCTGGGCATTGTATTAGTCTGTTTTCACGCTTCTGACAAAGACATACCGGAGACTGAGTAATTTATAAAGAAAAAGAGGTTGAATGGACTCACAGTTCTATGTGGCTGGGGAGGTCTCACAATCACGGTGGAAGGCAAAAGGCATGTCTTACCTGGCAGCAAGCAAGAGAGAAAATTAGGACCAAGCAAAAGGGTTTCCCCTTGTAAAACCATCAGATCTCATGAGACTTGCTACCACAAGAACAGTACGGCGGAAACCACCCCCATGATTCAATTATCTCCCACTGGGTCCCTCCTGCAACATGTGGGAATTATGGGAGCTACAAGTGAAGATGAGATATGGGTGGGTACAGAGCCTAATCGTATCAGGCATTAAAAACTTATAACAGAATTCACTTAATACATGTCAATACTTTCCAAAATATTTACTAATTTGTTAGGTGAAAACAGTGTCTCATTGTTCTTTGAGCCGACTCATGACATTTATTGCTCTTTAGGCTTTGAAATTACTTTTTTATTTTTTAAATTAAAGTAATGCCTGAATAGTTTTGCCCTGCTCTACTTCTCCCTGGTTGTAGAATTTCCTAACTCACTACGTGAGTAATTATGACTGGTGTAACCAAGAGTGTGTGTTTTGAAGTAAAAATATGTTACTTGTTGTAACCAGAATAATTCCCTAGTCACATACAATCCAGTACTAGTGTGGTTTCTCATTAAACAAACAGGACAGGAGGCAAGATTAATAGTTTTAAAACATATATCTACCTTTAGTCTTCTCTCTTAGAGAACATTGTTTTAAAGATCCAGTTTGTAATCCATGCTATTACTTTTTAAAATTCCTTTGCTTTATTTATGTATTTTTCCATCATCACTGCTTAAAAGCTTCTTACTCACTTTCCCCTCTCTTCATCACACACTGCATCCAACATCTCACACCACTTAGTCCTTGCCTTGTGTGTCACAGCCCCTTTCCTCTCAGCCCTCCTGTCTTACATTCCTCTATCCCTACTTTAAATTTGGAGTCACTAAAGTCTAGAATCAGGTTGCCAAAGAATGCACTCTGGCTGGTAAAATGATCAGACACCCACATGCACACTGATACATCTTTTCATCACACTGGCTTTTTGAACCCTACTAGCTGTCAATATATAAATGAGGCTTTGCAGCTCACCATCATCATTTGCACAATATAGTCTTGACTCAAACTGAGTTAGCACTGGTCGATGCCCACAAGAGTAAACAGTTAAAAAGGAATTATTTGGTGCCCACCATGTTCAAGGTATTGTGCTACATGCTCAAGAAGCAGGAATAAGTTGCAAAGATGAAGATTATCTGGTTCCTACTTTCTAAGTACCTTCAGTTGGAAAGATGAAACACATAAACATGGGGAGAAAAACCCTACCTGTCAAAATAAAAGGTAATAATGATGAAATTAAAGAGAAATATGTTTGAAAAATAAGAGCCACTAGACTAGTGCAACCAAGACTGCAACACATATTCTGCCATCCTTTTTTTTTTTTTTCAAACAAGATACATCCATCCCAAATTGAAAGATATGGCAGTAAGGTCTCCAGCTTCCAACTTTTCAATGTAGTCTGGGTCTAGAGAAGGTGGCCTTAAATTTTGGATTCACCAAATGTGGTTTTGCTATCATGAATAGAGTTGCTACATGGTCTACAATGGAAGAAGTGCCCATTTCATCTGTTGTTTATTGAGTGTGGCAGGCACTGTGCCATCCACTGGGGATAGCTGTGCACACAACAGAGATGGCCCTTGCTTTCCAGCAGTTTCCAGGTGGTGTATTTTGTGAACTGGCCTCAATATTAGCTCTGGTTGACCTTGTTTTCCCTTTGCCTAATCTTTCTTCCTCACTTCTAAGTCTTTAACTTTTTCTGTGTTGTATGTTTCTTTGTAAGATGCCATAAATTCCTAACACAAAACTGAATATAAACAACGAATGAATGTTTCCAGTTAGTCATGTGCCAGCATTTCTTGCCTTGTACTTGATCAGCTACTTGAGGACAAGGACTCTGTCTCCTTCATTAGAACATAGTATTTATCTTTATGTTTGTCTTCATACTCAGCACTGGATGTGGTATAGTACTCAACAAATATTTGTAGATATAATTTGTCCCACTATAATACTTTCTTTTTTTTTTTTTTTTGAGACGGAGTCTCACTCTGTCTCCAGGCTGGGGTGCAGTGGCATGATCTTGGCTCACTGCAACCTCTGCCTCCTGGGTTCAAGTGATTCTCTTTCCTCAGCCTCTCAAGAAACTGAGGCTACAGGTGTGTGCCACCATGCTCAGCTAATTTTTGTATTTTTAGTAGAGACAGGGTTTCACCATATTGGCCAGGATGGTCTCGATCTCTTGACCTCGTGATCCGCCCACCTCAGCCTACCAAAGTGCTGGGATTACAGGCATGAGTCACTACACCCAACTGATGGGTACTGTCCTTGATTTAAAAAATAGTTCTGTAATCACTTAGGCAAGGGATGATGAACTAGCCTAAGTAAAGTATTTGCACCGGAAATGTTGGGTTTTTACAAATCTGCTGGATTATGAGTAGATAAAAGCCACCCAAAACTGATAACTGGACTTTCCAGGAAAAAAATACTTGCTCAATAGTTCATTATAATCACTGAGAGCCAAGATAAAAATTGTCTCACTGAGAGACACTTTTGTTACAGACTCTCACTGAAGCTCAGAATCAGCATGAAAAATAGGACTGTTGTAGAGGTAAACTGAGTAATTCTATCTTGCCCAGTTTACATTTGACACCCAAAGAGAAAAAAATTAGGAATAAAAAGGTTTGCTTTTTCTTTGGAAATGATCCTTCCCTGGTCTGACTTAGCAAGGAACACTGCTATCTAATGAAGCAACATGGAGTGGTCAGCAATGAAAGATAATGTCTATAAGACTCCTCCTTTGGGTCTGGCCCATGGTGGGCACTTTGTGATGTAATTACTGACAGTAATAGGGCGGTAGTTTACCCAGGATGTGATCACCACGGCATCCATCTAGTGAGTATGAGTGGGCATTTCTCCTGTCTGTGAGGGAGACAGAAGAATGCTGGGGAGGCACAAATGAACAAACACACCAAAGAATTCTGGCTCTAGAAACTGGGAAGGAGCTCATGGAGAATGCCTTGGAGGTTGAGTGAGTCAAATAGCCAGGCAGAGAGAGAAGGATGGGTGTTAGTGCAGGAGCGGGAAGCCATGAGTACCAAGGCCTGGTGATGGAAAATGTGCTCAGCTTTCGGTTAGGCAGGTTGTATGGCTGGACCATTGAGGTGACGTCGAAAGACCAAAGTATCAATGTATTTTGAGACATATGTGTGACTGAATTGCATGCTCTGGTTCGTCACAGATGTTTAGAGCCCCATATAGCCAGATCCAGGCCAGGGTGCTTATCTCATGCATTTCTTGTGGGCCCTGGGGGGAATCACATGGAAGTACGCTCCCTCCCCTGTCTTCCCGCCCCCCACATCCCCCTCCCCCCATCTAAGCTAGGACAGTTTCTACACACCTTCTGGGAATGGGAGAACTAACATTGTTATCTCATTCATGTGGACAAGTGGTTCGTAAGATACAGTCGCTGAAATCCTAAGGTTCCTTTGAAAATGCCTCATGTTCCTTTGAAAAACAGTGTAAAATAAAGTGGGGAGGGAGTGGGAGCAAACGCCTATTCCCCATGTCAAAGACAGCAGGTCAGTGTTGGTCTGTTTTATGTATTGGTCCTTTGTATAATGTTTTCTCTGGAAAAAAAAAGGATTCTATGCCACCAAAACAAACAAACAACAATAAAACATTTTTATATCTGAATATTTTGAAAACCACAGCAAACTTGTGGGGTTGAGGGGAGGGAAGAGGGAAGAGAAGAGACAGGAGAGGTGAGTGCAAAAAGGAGGGATGTGAAAGGCCAGGTATCCATATCAATTGCCAGAATGATTGCTTTTGTAAAACAATAGGAATTGTTTTAAATCTGCTTAGGCAGAGGAGGGAAGTTCCAAATCTATAGCTAAATGTAACTTGGAATTTTAAGACTTTCACCTTCTGAAAGAAATGGAAGAATCTACTACATGGAAATATGGGAGAGAGAAGACGCACTTCTCTTAGCTTGGGCAAGCTGTAAATAGGCAAACTTCAATAATAATAGTATCTATAATTTATTAAGATTATTATTTTAATCCATATTTCTTTCAAATAAGGAAACAAGTCTCAGAAAGTTAAGTAACATTCTACAAATCTCACAGTTGGTAATAATAGGGGTAATTAATAAACTTAGAGATGGCTGATGGAGATCATGTAACATGTTTCCAACTGCTCCAAGTCCAATTTCAAGAGCAAACACCGGCTATGGGACCCAAGATCATTTGGTTACATTGGAAAATTCCACAGGAAGAACATCATCCACCACAGCTACTGAAATCTTTGGATCTTTTGTTTTATGACTCTTATCTCCTGTCTCCTATCCCCCCGGTGGACTACCATATAGTTTTTAAAGCCTTGAGAGGAATGAGATACGCCAAGCTTTTATATGCAAAAAAGTGTGGTTAATGGGGTTGTAATTACATCTTAATTATTATCAAAAATTTATCTTTATGCCAATCACCCTCAAAGCTTCAAATAAATATATTAAAACTTTTATCTTAAAAAAGATTTTTATTTGTAATCAAATATTCTATTCCATATAGTTCAGAGCCAATATCTATTTAGTTCTTTTTTACCCCTAATCTCTTAGTCTCAGCTAACTCATTTTTTAAATGGACATAATCAGGCCAGCTTCAAAGAGTGGTACAGCAATATTAACGTACATGTCTTTCTCCTCTACCTGATTATAAAGTTCCCGAATGGAACAGTTGTCTCACTGAGTTAATAAATTATTTCACTAGATTGAAGTTGTTGTTTTACAGATACTGCCTGTAAGGTTGGCTCCCCAGGGTTTAAGGTCACAGCAGTTTCATAGCTGAGCACTGATGGGGCACACAGCTCTGATCACGGTAAGGAGATGTGGCCAACAGGAAGAAAGACACAATAGCACAACAGGGAAGGAGGAAGGGAAGCAGGAAGGAGGCATAAATACACAAGAACCTACATGGACAAACAGAGCAAAAGAGCAAATGATGACTGTCAATGGCAAGATCCTCTCTCATCTCGATTGTTCTTGTGCTGTTATCACCATGGAGGTTTCTCTGCCTTCAGCATCCTCCAGGCTCCTCTCAGGCTCTGCAGGCACCTCTTTTCCGTCTCCTCCTGCTGCCCTAGGCTGAGCTGAATTCAGCTTCTGTGCATTCTGCACTTTATATGCTTCCTTCTCCTTCTGATCTGTATCTGTGAATTCCTGCCACATGGAGGAAGCCCCATCAGTGCCTGCTCAAAGGTTGTGCACCTCACGCAGATTCAGGGAGTAAACAGGAGAATATACCTCCTGGGAGTGATCTTGCATCATCTAAGTTCTATGCAACTGACACACAGTAAACTGTTTGAAATAAGTCTTGGTAACATCTTTTATCATTGTTCAGAATAGCTACAAGTGAATGTTAAAAGCCTTCTTTTTGCTAGCTGCACTGTGAAGTGGTTTAGTCTGAACAGAATTGAAGCACACATCTCAGGGATGGTTGTGGAGAGTACTGAGTCATTTTAATGAAAGTCACCTTCTAGCTCCAAAGGCCCTTGTCCAACTGGTCTGCTAGTCCAGGAATTCTCTGCAAGTTGGCAAGAACAAAACCTCGATGGCCTTGAGCTGTAGTCCAGTTGAATCCCTGTGTGTTAATTGCATGTCAAACTGCAGCAAGGAAGGCAGACAGAGGGGCTGAGCACTGTTTATTGGTTGTTTGAAGCTGAAACACTTTTCATACAAGTCCTATAGATCTCTCTCTGCCTTACTGACAGGGTAGGTAGGACCCAATCAGGTCACTGCCTTCATTACTGCATCATTCTCAAGCACTTTACTTGTGACAATGTCCAAGTCTTGGCAATATTTGAACAGACAGCAGTATTAGGGCGGGGCCATAAAGAACTTGGCTCAAGTCTCCTTTGTATATGGGGGAGGAGCTTATGATGGGGGAGGGGGATTGCTAATCTGCAAGCACAGTGATACGGATATATTTAGAAGGCCCAGGGGTTATCCAACCACATAGAATAGAGTCTAAAGGGACTTTGAGCTGTTAATTGTCAAGTTCCCTTTCAGAGGAAAACCTTTAGGAATAATTTCCCTTGG
The DNA here is from genome assembly GCF_000001405.40 of Homo sapiens. NCBI lineage: Eukaryota > Metazoa > Chordata > Mammalia > Primates > Hominidae > Homo > Homo sapiens. Next base: position 55,272,993 of record NC_000003.12, read on the forward strand.
GTTGCTCTTTAATGTAGAAAGTCTGTCTAGAACAGGATTTCTCAACCTTTGCATTACTGATGTTTAGGGCCAGATAACGCTTTGCTGTGGGAGGAGGGGGGCATTGTCCTGTGCATTACAGGATATTTAGCAGCTTCCCTGGCCTTCACACTTTAGGTGCCAGTAGCATCCCCACTCTTCAGTAGTAATAACCAAAAATGTTTCCAGACATCCCCAAATATTCCATGGGGAGCAAAATTGCCACCAGTTGAGAACCACTAGTCGAGAAAATAGCAATGCTTATGTCCAGCTATGAAATGAAATACAGAGCTCAAACTTCACACCAAATAGTTTGAGCTACCCTAATTCCCAGTCTAGTTGTGCTTTTATAAGACTTCAAACTGGTTACATTTATTCCTAAGTCTAACGCCAGATCACCAAATCATTCTAAGCTATCCAAGGTCATTGGATCCAACAGACTCAATGTCTCCCTAGGGGCAATGTTGGCATATATGAGAATAGCTTTTGCAGGCTCATCTACTAAATCAACAAATATTTATTAAACAATACGTCAAGTTGTGGGGTTTTGAAAAGATCTCCCTGAAACTTCTAAGGAGATAAACCCCCTTTCCCATCTAAAAGGAAAGAAAAACCACAGCAATATTTTTTTTAACTGCCAAGAAATTAGCTCTTCTGCACTGTTTCCGTACAATTTGGTCACCTATTATCCTTGGACTCAAATCCTCCCCCTTCCTGTTCAGGGGTTCACTCTCTCATCAACTTGATGCTTTGCAGTTATCATAATTAATAGCCTTTCCCCAGATAGCTAGGTCCAGAAAGCCAAAAACAAAGGGAAAACCACTGAGTGAATGCCTACCATCTGCCAGACACTCTTCCAAGCATTTCACACACACAAACAACACCTCTGATCAAAAGTTAGTATTAGATAAGCTCATAGACAAAGAAACTATAAATGCAATCCTGAGAAATAGGAGAAAAAAAAATACACGCAAACTGAGATCACCACCTGAGTTGGCAGAGGAAGGATATTAAATAAGGAGGTCAACAAATAAATTATTTTCCATATATGCCTACAATTTAGGGTTACAGTAGGACTTTGGGAACTCAGGGGAAGGGTGGGAGGTGGAGAGGGATAAAAGACTACAAATTGGGTGCCGTGTATACTGCTTGGGTGATGGGTGCACCAAAATCTCACAAATCACCACTAAAGAACTTACTCATGTAACCAAATATCACCTGTTCTCCAAAAACCTATGGAAATAAAAAATTTTAAAAATATATTTTAATAATCTGGGAAGTGACCTTTTGCCCTTAAAAGTTACCCTTTCCTCCATCCTTGTCACCCTAGCACTTTAGGTATAAGTCTTTTATGGCCTTTACACATGTGCCTTACCTCATCATGAGTTTTCCCTGGCTTTTCCTCCCCATCATTCAAGAGCGGGCTCCTGGTTTATCCATCCCTGCAGATCCCCAGTGGGTGTTCAGTCCTCTGCACACCACTGACTCTTGGTACGAGAGCTGCACTCCATTTGACCAGTAAGTGAAGTCCCTTCCTTTTGTCCTATTCATTATTGTGACTTCCCCACTGCTGATGGTGGAGTCTCAGCCCAGCTACTATCCTAAGTGGGGCTACTTCCTCAGCCACTCTCTTCAAATTGGCCCTGGAGGAGAATAAACTAGAATATATAGGTTTGATTCCTAGTTCCAGGACCGTATTACACCCCACAAGTGTTTCATCGTAACATGCTTCTCAAGCAGAGTCCATGTTTGTGTGACTGCGAGTCAGAGGGTCCTCAAGAGGTCCTCAGAGAAGGATGATAAATAAAGTGACAGACAGAAGACAGAATGCTCACACCTGGCCCAGGCCCTGGTCCGGTTAATATCCTGCCTTGTCTTTCACACTATGCTTTTTACTCCCAATAGAGACATGAAACAGCAGATGAGGGAAAATGCCTTGGGTCAAATAAAACAGCATGGATAAAAGGCTTCATGTGTGTAGACCCACTCTTCTCTGGGCCTTGGCTGCAAATCCAGATTCTGGCACCTGCATCTTCCCAAGGCAAAAGGAAGTTGTGAAGGTCAAGAATAAACTTAAGAGTTTTCACCTTAAGAGGCACTTGCTACTTAGGGTATTATTGTCTTACCCCTATAGTCAACAGTTATTTTTCAATAGGTGCTATTTGTAGGACATAGTGTTAGGCAGGCATGGGGGGACACACAGGGTTAACAAGACCTTGCCCTTGCCCTTGAGGGGCATATGGCGATGCTACTTAAAGGGGGCCTCATGGACCATGCCTGGTTGCGTGTTGTTTGAGATCCATCCTTAATGAATAAGAAGAGAAATTGAGAGTAAGCATTTAGGAACGCGAATAGTAGGTAATGTTTTATCTGTTGAATCTAATAACAAAAATTCAGATTTGCATTGTATGTCTTATTTTCACTTTACTTTCTGCAAATTCAATGCTTAGTACACTTCATAAAGGCAAGGGTCTACAACAGATTGGAAATTTTAACAACCAACTTGTCCTTAACCATAGACAATTGGAACAGCACTCATCTAAAACACATATGACTAAAATGAAAGGAAGGTAAGGATAAACGTCTTAAAAAGCTAAACTAGTTCAATGTTATAGAGGGGAAGGAAGATTCTAAGAAAGGTGGGTGCAAAGGTACAGGATGCTTAGGAAGTTGCAAAGCTCCCCCTTCCGTAGCTGAGTAAAATTAAACCAAAAGAAGTAAAAACAACAAAGAAATTATTCACACTAATAGCAGAAGTGGTCTCAATGGTATGGAATACATATCCAGATGTATCATTTGGGTCTGAAACTATTGGGACCAAATGTAGTGAAGATTCTAAAAATCAGAACAGGGTTTCCTTCTGCAAGAAATGATAAGCAATAAGCTTATCATTGAAAATAAGGAAATTCTCAAAAACACCCACTGATGTCTCACACTAGGCAGGGATTGGGACTGGAGTTATGGGAAGGTCCCAGAGTAAGTTCCTCAATGTGCCTTCTGGAGCCACCTTTCTGCATCCTGTAAACAATATTCTGAGGCTACAGAGGTGGAACTATAGGAGGAGATAAACTTTGTAATAGTTTAGCAGGTGGTCGAAGCCAAGTAAGTAATAATATCCTTGCAGCAAGTGTTTCAGTTGAAGCCTGGCAGCAAACGAGGAGGTTAAAAAGAGAAAAATGCCTGTAACCACACCAAATCAAATGCTTACTACATACAGGGTTTCTCTAAAGCTCAAATTCCATTAAAGAGCCTGCTTACACTACAGATGGGAAAAATTTAAATCTGGGGACACCTACCCTTTGAGACGGAATCCACTCTGTCTTGAGTGAGGTGGATTCTGATGCACGAGTGTCAGTAAAACCAGAGATGAATCAAAGAGTCCAAGTTACCAATGACAGGGACCACCTTTCCCTGGGAAGCTGAGAGACTATCAACATTCCTGGATCTCATGTTATAAGAGAAGAATTCACACATTTGAGGTGAACATCCTTTTTCTGGCAAATAGGAAGACCAGTTACCTGCCTTTTTAAAGATGAACAAGAAAAAAATAAAAGGTAAAGGAGGAAAGCAAAAGAAGACAAATTGGCATGTTTCCGATACGAACATTTTGTCTCCTAGTCAACCCTCCAAGCCCCACTAAAAGAAAAGAATACAGCATAAACAGTGAGAGAGGGTGGGCTGGGCAGAAGAGGGAAAGAAAGAGGGGGAGATCATTTCTTTTAATTTAATTTTTAAAATGACAACTAAATTCACAAATAAATTATAAATCACATGGATGAAATAAATGACCAAAATGTGGTAAGAAAATATGATATGATGAATAAGGATTTAGCAGGACTTAGAAAAAACTGAGGAGAAAAGAAATGCTTTTGTAGGACATAAAACTGCATCAAAGCAAGAAGCACAACTATTGCCACAAAAAAAGCACATTTGAAAAATACAGGAAACATAGCTGTATTAGTCCGATTTCATGCTGCTGATAAAGACATACCCAAGACTGGATAATTTATAAAGAAAAAGGTTTAATGGGCTCACACTTCCACGTGGCTGGGGAGGCCTGAAAATCATGGCAGAAGGCAAAGATTCTTACATGGCATCACATCTTACATGGCAGCAGGCAAGAGAGCATGTACAGGGGGGGACTACCTTTTATAAAACCATCAGATCTCCTGAAACTTATTCCCTATCACAAGAACAGCACGGGAAAGACCCACCCCCATGATTCAATTACCTCTCACCAGGTCTCTCCCACAACATGTAGGAATTATGGAAGCTACAGTTTGAGATTTGGGTGGGGACACGACCAAACCATATCAATAGCATATGAATAGAAATAAATTTACAAATTGTAAATAAGAATGGTAGATATGAAAGGAAATACTATATATATATATACACACACACACACACACACACACACACACACACACACACACATGCATATTCTGTATGTTTACTATATATTGTAATAATTTAATATATTGACCTGAGTCTACAAACTGAAAAGTCTCATAGGTCCTGGAAAAGTGAATACACATCAACCAATGCTGAGAAAAAAAATTTAATAAAATTACTGTACTTTAATAATGAAGAATTCTATAAGTGCATATATATAGTAGACAAGTCACTTCAGAAGAGAGACCAGGTACATTTCTCATGGAATTAGATACCAGAAGATAATGACAGCTGCAGGCTAAAGGCATGGGCTATAGGGATGTGCACTCCTGGCTTGGCCACTCACTTGCTATGTGACCTTGCTCTAGTATCAGTTACCTGAACTTTCTGCTTTGCAGTATCCTCATGTATAAGCAAGGATGACCCTTTCCTAAAAATAACCACTGCACACTTTTCTAACTCCAGAGAATCCAGAAACAGTAACACGAAAGACCATCTATCAAAAGAGAGCCAAAAAATTACCAAGACACCAAAATATACAAAGGAAAACTTGCTGGAAATATAAGGAGAATCATCGAGAAACGTAATAGAAGGCGTGATTTTAATACACCTCTCAAGCCTTTGTCAGGTCAAGCAGCAAACAAGTCAATAAAGCAGAGTGGAAATAGTATAATCAGTAAAATTGCCCTACTAGGTATATATCTTCTTTATGTTCTACAACCAAGAACACATGTTTGTGAACTCAAAAAACATTTTTAACAAGTTCAAAATTACTTTTAAAAAATACCAAAAAGCAAAAATAGTACAGGCCACATTTTTAATCATATGCAACAAAAGACAAAATATAAAAAAGAACAAACACTACAAACAACAAACCTCCTGACCAAGAAATGAAAATATTTTTACAAGCCTTTACAACATCTCTGATGTTAAAGAGAACATCAAAACTACAAATTCAAAACATATAGAAAACAAAATAAGAACACTTTACCCCAGATTTAATAGACTATAGCAAAACTAATAAGGTAAAAATTCGTCCTCACACATATTTGTTAATAAAATGAAAGTGTAGAAATAGTAAGATGAGCAGCCCCTCAGAAACAAAGAAAAAAAGCCTGTAATCCCAGCACTTTGGGAGGCGGAGGCAGGCGGATCACGAGGTCAGGAGATCGAGACCATCCTGGCCAACATAGGGAAACTCCGTCTCTACTAAACAATACAAAAAATTACCCATGCATGGTGGTGTGCACCTGTAGTCCCAGCTACTTGGAAGGCCGAGGCAGGGGAATCGCTCGAACCCAGGAGGTGGTGACTGCAGTGAGTCGAGATTGTGCCACTGCACACTCCAGCCTGGGCGACAGAGTGAGACTCTGTCTTAAAAAAAAAAAAAAAAAATAGAAAAAACATTACAAAACTAAGAGTGGAAAGGAGGAATTAATAAAGGTAAAATAGAAATTGATATAGGAGAAAACAGAAAAAAAGATAGAGACATGCCAGCTCCAAGAACTGATAATTTGTAAGCTCAATAAAACAGATAAACCAGTAGCTGTTCTAATCAATGACCAAAGGAGACGCAGCTCCATGCTCAAAATTAAGAATGTGAAACAGGAACTGAACACAAATTTAGACTAACAAAAACCAATAAGTATATGAAAAAACGTTCAAGACTACCAATAATTATACTAATACAAGCAAAACCAACACTGAGATAATATTTTTAGCCAGGAGATTGGCAAAGATATGGCAGTATCTAAGTCAGAGAAGGGTGTGGGGCAATGAGCCCTCTTTTGAACTCTTGATCAGAGTGAAAATCCCTAGATACTTTCTGGAGGGCAGTTTGGCAATATTTGTCAAATTTTTGAATGTGCGTGGGCTTTGACCGAATAACTCTACTCACAAGGATATGTTCTAAAAAGAAAAACACACACGTACATGTGCAGTACAAACAGCAAAACTCAATATTCAAAGTTCAATAAAATTCGTACCACTTTAAAATGATGAGCAGATTTACATTTACTGACTTGAAAAGATACCTACAATATGTTAACCATAAAATGAAGTATGTGAAATGTGAAATGGTAAATTCAAAAACAAATATTTGAGTACTTACTGAGTGCCAGACACCCACTGAGGCATTGTGAGAGGCAGCAATGAACAAGACAGAGGAAGTTCCTGCTCTCACCGAGGATAGAACAAAAGCATGAGCCCACACTACCTCGTGACATGTGTCTGGGGAAAATGGTGGCCAGGGGTAAACAATGTTATCTGCATTTAATAGGATTTGGGGTAATTTCTACTTTCTTCTTCACCCTTCTTTTTACTGTTTTAAAGTTTTTAAACGCACACGCATGGTTATTTTAATTAGAAAAAAAGTTATTTTCTGGGAGGTGTAGAAATCGTGTGTGGTGAAGGGCACAGGTGGACTTGGCATTTGAGTGGTGCTAGAAAATGAGGGTAGAATTTGCATTTATCAGATTGAAGTGGGCATTTCCCATTATGATAAATATATTATCATTAGTAATTGTGTTTAAAATAAGAGCAACATGATTTTCCATATAAACACACAATGAATCTCAGACAAAATTTCATTTCTAGATGTAGCAATTCCAGAAGTCATCTGAGTCCTCATCTTCCAAAGATAAATACAAAAATCAATTAACTAATTAACTACAGCTTTTGTGAATCATTCACTTCAGTGTTTCCCCAGCTGGGATGAAAGAGCCAACAGGAAACTCCTGTGTAGTTCTAGGTGGTGGCAACTTTACCACAACACTGGTAACTTCGTAGAGTTCCTAATGTCTTCCCATTTGACAAAGCCATAAAATATTTGAAAAAGAAAAGAGTGCATGCTTTAGTTCAACTTATTTTAATGTTTGACTTTAACTTTGAGAATAGACACTCAGTATTTTGATGTTGACATCTGTTTTATGTTTCGGTTTTTCTTTTTTTTTTTTTTTTTTTTTTTTGAGACGGAGTTTTGCTCTTGTTGCCCAGGCTGGAATGCGATGGTGCATCTCAGCTCACTGCAACCTCGGCCTCCCGAGTTCAAGCGATTGTCCTGCCTCAGACTCCCGAGTAGCTGGGATTACAGGCTTGCACCACCGCACTCGGCTAATTTTGTATTTTTAGTAGAGACAGGGTTTCACCATGCTGGTCCGGCTGGTCTGAAACCCCTGACTTCAGGTGATCCACTCGCCTCCACCTCCCAAAGTGTGGGATTGCAGACGTGAGCCACCGTGCCTGGCCATGTTTTGATTATTCTTAAATGTGCACTTCAATTGATGTGAAGTCCTCAATTTTTGGATGACATCTGTCATTTGAACCACAAAACTGTCTTGGCTTCCCCGGAAGCCCATCACAGAAATAATGGGGTTCATTGCCTTCCTCAACACCATATTCATTTGTGTTTTTTATAAGGTTGACATTAACATTAGAATGTCCTGCCTGCTACTGTCTTCTGAAAGCCATCAGAACATTTATGGCTTTATGAAGATTCTCTTCAGCACTCATGTTTCTGCATTACATTGGAGAACCTCTTTTCTATCATTTGAGAGCAAAGAGCTCATATTCAACCCATCTTCCCCCATTCAACATTAGAAACAAAAAGGGGGTACATGTCATAGGTTTCTTAAAGTAAAATTAGAGAAAGGCATGAGAACGCAAGCTTCAAAAATAATGAATTGTGCTCTGCTCTAATAGTTAAGCCTGAGGAACAAAACGAAGCTTAAACAAGAAAAAAATTTTATTTCAAAAAGATAAGAAATGGGAAGTGAGAGTCTAGACTGCTTGACATAATCATCACACACTCTGTTCACTAGGGTAGGCACTTGTCTTCATGGTAGAAGATGGCTGCTGGGGTTCCAGCTATCTCACTGGCATTCCAGACAGCAGAATGAAGGAATAGAAGGGGATCTTCTCTCCCTTTTCAGGCAACTTCCCATAAATCCCACACAATTCTGTCTAAATCTCAATTTAGTCACTTGGCTGCATCAAGTTACAAGGTAGGTTAGCAGAAGCAATTTTATTAACCAGGTGGTGATGTGCCAGATAAAAATCAGCATTCTTATTAATGAGGCAGAATGAAAGAACGGATATCAGGAGACAACATGTGGACACATGCAAGCACATGTTATGCATAATTTTAAGGACTGTTACCAAAGTTCTTTTTAGAGAAGGAGCTATCACTATTTAGTCACCACAATGTCCCACTTGTGTATGAAAAGACAGGGCCCAGGTCAGCATCTGGAAAAAGAAAGCAAATCCAAAGTAGGATTGAATTTCAGATAGGAAGAATCTGAGTTTTGTTGTGCCCAAGAAAGAGGTGGGGAGAAGGGCACTAAAAATATGGAAAGGAGCCAGAGAACTTTAAGAGATGGCACAGTGAGTTTTTAAAAGAAAGAGGAGGAAGTAAAGAAGGAAGGATAAAAAGAAGAGAGGAGAGAAGGAGAGGAGGAGTGCTAAATGGTAAAATAACGAAATAGATTTGTAGAACAGAGATGGCCACTATGCAAACCTCCTTCCATCTGCCCAAACTTAACTAATTCACGAAGGCCCTGTGGAGGAGGTGTGTGCTGAAGAGGGAGGGTAGAAATCTAGAAAGAGGGCTAGGAAGGCCCCTTAGCCAGGTTAGTATATCCAACAGAGGACAGTGTCTGTGAGACAACATTAACCAAAGCAGAAGTTTTAAGACGAATGTGAGTAAGAGAACAACAGACCCCTCAGGAAGGCATGGAAATTTTGGGGGCTCTGAAGAACAGATGTACCACCAGTCCCAAAGTGGAATTTTGAGCCAATTCTCTCTGGAAATTAAAGGGCACTTCCATGAGAGTTAAGTTGTTATCAAACTTCAACTTGCCTCTCCTGCCAATCTCTCAATAGGCTCGTGAGGAGGATGGAGAAATGTTTATTGGAGCTTTAATAAAATATAAGCTTTATAATATAAAACAGCGAAGTTAAATGCCATACAGCTGGTTAGTGATTCAACCAGAACCAGAGGCTGTGTTTCTCATGGCCTCTTTAAATTAGGAAGGAAATAGGTGTCATGATCTCATCAACTGAGAGACAGTTCTGAGCAATGCACGCAAATGCATGACTGAGCCTGCGCTTGGCAGAAAGAGCACCCTGATTGATTAGTGATGTCTGCTCTGTGCTTTGGCAGTGGGAGCTTCAGGTGACATGCATTAGATCTGTAGTCCCCTTTAGAGCATGATGACTCTCTAATCACTGAGATTTATGGCAATGCCATTGGGTGTATTCAGTGTTGAGATGTTTTTACTCACACCACTGACACCAAATGAGAGGTGCTTTCTTCCCCTGACACCAATTCCTCAATTCTTTGCAGACACGAACTGGGTATTTAACAATTCAATTCAATTTTGACACTATGTGAAATTAGCATGGACCCCACAGGTTAAGGGCTCAGTCCCAGAAGGCTACCTTCCACTTCAAATATACGTTGCAAGTCTCAGGACACCCACGCTTCTGACCAGCCAGCTATAAGTCAAGGGTTCCCATGACCCCCCTCCACAGGCTTGATAATTTACTGGAATGGCGTACAGAACTCATTTACTGACATTCACTTGTTTATTGTAAAGGATGCAACTCAGGAACAGCCAAATGCAAGAGATACACAGGGCAGGGTGTGGGGCTATGCAGAGTGTTCATGCTCTCTCAGGGCACACCTCCTGCCAGACCCCCAGTGTGAGACAGCCAAGTATAAAGGGATCACCGGAAAACCTCCAACTGGCCTGCACACTGGGAGGAGTGTGCACTGGGGTGGAGCCTCTGGAAGTTCATGCTGTTTGCAGGGGGAGGAGCCTGGCCTCTTTTGTTCCTGGGTGAACCTGGAATTTAATCTGTGAGGCAGGAAACTGGCCAGCAGGACTCTCTCTGCTGAGAGTTTCTGTTCCTCCCCACCTTTTTTTCCCTTTTCGCCCAATACGTTCCATTTTTCTCACCCTTCAAAGCATCTGCGAGCCTAATCTTTCCTGGTCGTGTGACAAGGACCCTAAGGAGAAAGTCCTACAACAGATGTGTGTGCCAACTCAGAAGCAATCTGAACCCCACCATTTAAGGGTTTTTATGGAGATTTCATTACGTGGAGCTGGTGGACTAAATCACTGGCCATTGGTGATGGACTGAATCTCCTGCCCATCTCCCCTCTCAGGAGGTAGAAGGGTGGGGCTGAAACTTCCAGTCCTCTAATCACAATCATGTGGTGTGGTCTTCCTGGCAACTAGTTTCCATCCTGGAGCTATCTTGGGGACTCCAGACACCAGTCGTCTTATTAGCATACAAAAGACACTCATCACTCTGGAGATTCCAAGGGTTTTAGGCACTGTGTGCCAAAAACCTGGGACAAAAACCAAATATTTATTTATTTTTTATTATACCACAGGCATGACTGTGGAGACTTGGAAAAGGAATTTTTTTAATTGCTTAGTTTTTAGTAAGCCCTTTCAAAAGTGAGACAAAAAATTAAAGAGAAGTAGAAGACATGGACTTCATGAATTGAAGATACTCTAGTTTATCTAGCTCAACCTGTGATGTGATACCCTAATCTTCTTTATCATTCCATAAAATATTCAACCATCCTCAGGATTCCCGCAGGGAGCTGGAAGAATAATACATTTGGCAATAGTATACAACATGAGCCAAGCTCCTCCTATGTGCCTCACATTGTGTTTAAACCCTTTACAGAGCACTGTTTTTTCTAATCCTCCTAGCAATACTAAAAGGTGCATGCTATCAGTAACCTCATTTTCTAGATGAGTAAATCAGCCTCAGAGGTTAAGTATCCTCCCCAAGGTCCTACAGTGGGTAGGTGTCAAGGCTGAGATACTAATCAGGAGGCCTCCTGACAGCGACAGCGGCTGGTAACTTATGTCCCATTGTCTCTAGGACTGGACACCTGGAGGCCAAGCAGAGCCTCACCCATTCACGGGAACAAAAACAGATTTTGATTCCATGTCTGAGTTCTTCCCAGGGACCCCATCAGGGCTAGAGTGAATTAACATCCTTAGAGGCAGGCAGGTTGGAAGTGAAATGTTCATTCTTTGGCATCTCATTGATTTGGTTCCTATTAAGAAGAAAATTTCATAATTGAAATCTAGAAGAAGAAATATTTTTCTGAAAGTATGTCCTTCTCCATAGCACTTCTCTAGTCCAGTGTCCTTAGACTACAGTTGGATTATATGAATTAAGGCCTCCAAACAGATAATCACTGTACCTTCTCCTTCATGGACAGACAAGACATATAATGATGCTTCTCATACCGTTTCACTCAATGGAACACCATTTTATCACTTATATTCTCGTGAAAATTTTCCAGAGTGACTGATGATGACAAATCCATGGACCCCAATCAATGGGAAGTGGCTGCTTTCAGGTAAGGGGAGGCATAAAGTCTCAGGGTCCATTTCTCATCTCCTCTGGACATTGGGCTGGGGAGATAAGAGGTGCCTGCCATCTATTTGCTACCACTATGCACTCATTCACTCACTCATGCATTCTCCCTTTCCCAAAATATTCAGAGTGCCTATTATGTGCCAAGCCCTGCTTTAGGCACTTGGGAGATAGCAAGGAATAAGCCAAAAAAAGAGTCTCCTCCACCCACTGAGTTTGCAGGCCTGTTGAGGGAGATGATGAACCATACATGCCAACCAATGTAGCAGCTAAAAATAATTCCAGAGGGTCAAGTGCCCATGAAAAGAGTAAGAAGTCACTCTCAGAGGAGCTCAGAATGCCTGTATAACAATCTATACCCCCAACCAGAACATACCTCAGAATAAACTTCAATAAGGCCATGCCAAGCCTGAGAATTGTGAAGAGACATGATCATCTTCCTCTTCAAAGTGGTTGCAGGCCATCCATGGTTTCACACAGTCTTTTTTCCACCCGTGACCCCAAAGGAGGAAAGCTTCCATCTGGCCCAGGATTTTTGTTTTAATGATGCAATGATGAAGAATGAGAAGACAAAAAATAATAAACTCCAGAGCTTGCCTTGAGAATAACGTTTTACCAACAGGATGTGTCATAAATATGAAATGGCAAAGAAAGATGTTCCAGGATTTGTACTTTGTCCTTTGTTAGCCAGACAGATAATGAGTTACCATCAGGGATTTTTTTTTCTCATTCAAACATGAGCTACATATAACTTCCATACTTCTGTGAAAAGCGAACCCATAAATTACAAGTTATTGTTTCTTAGAAACTGGGATTGTACAAGGGAGAGCCAAACAAAATCATTTGTTTCATGAGCTTGCAACTTTTTAATTAAATACCACTTTAAACTCATACATACATAAGCCAAATGTTCCCCATCCATCCTGCTCCAGAGCATGGTGCCCATGCTACCCCTTCCATCATTTTGCTGTGTTAGAGGTAGGATTCTTGCATTTATTTTTTTTCTAATTTTTTCCTCTATCAATTTAGGCGGGATTGGAAACATAGATAACACAGAACAGGGACTAGTTTTTAACAGTTTTTGTAGTTGTTATGACCAAGGACCAGGCTATACAGATTGATTATAAATTGATAAGAAAGGGAGGGAGGAAAAGAGGGAGTGAGGGAGAAATAAGAGAGGAAGCAAGATTGCAAAGGAGATAGAGAGGAGGGCAAGAGGGAGTGGGGAGACTCCCTAGCCAAGCAGCATGTGAACCTAAGACACTTTATCTGGTTAGATCCACAGACCATTGAGGCTGAAGCTAGCTTATTCTTCACCAGTATTCATGTTTCTTTCATCATTGGCATACCTCTAAACTGCATTTCCCCAGCCCCCTCACATGTAAGTGAGGACATGTGACTAGTTACTCCTCACAGAATGTTGGCAGAAGGGATGTGTGTTACTTCCAGGAATGGCCCCTAAAATCTCCTGATCTGTTCCTCATGCATGCTCCCCTCTCATCTGCTAGATGCAAAGGATCCAGTGGAGGTCTCTGAGGCCCTGGGAGATGGTAGAGCCACACCATGAAGGTGCCTGGGTCCCTGAATGACTGCATGGAGCTCACTCTACATTGGACTGTGACACAAGCAAGAAAGGTAAGACACCAAGATACAGGGATTGTTTCTATACAGTTAACCAGCCCTGAACTGTACACCCTTTGCTCTATTTTTCCATCCAAGGCAGGCAGCACTAACAGATACTTCATGGATAACTTTTCCCTTCAGTTGTCCTCAAACATTTCTGCCATGTCCCAGACAATCCTAACTTCACATTCAGAGGGCATTACAGAGATCTCATCCAAGCACTTTAAGTACTAAATTTATATTCTTAGTTAGTTTGCAATCTACCCTTCACTATAATTCCTATTTAAAAAGGAAGGATGAGTCCATGATTCAATTCAAGATGAGAAAACATTTCTAAATCAAGGGTAAGCACATTTTTCTGTAAAGGTCCAGATAAGTAAATATTTTAGGCTTCACAAGCCTTACAGTCTCTGTCTCAACGAGCCAACCCTGTCATCCTGGCACAAAAGCAGCCACAGGCAGTGTGTAAATGAATGGGCATGGCTGTGCTCCAATAGGCTGTGACTTACAAAAAAAGGGCAGCAGGCCAGATTTGGCCCATGGGCCATAGTGTGCTGACCCCTGCTCTAAATCATTCTCACATTTTCACTAAATATGACCAAGGGCACATGTAAATTCTAGTATCAATTCAATCCCTGTTACATTAGTTTATGCTATTTGTTTTAGACCTCATGGCTTCTCTTGAGTAGTGACAGATATGACAAATGAAGTTGCAAACAGTATTTGATTCTTCTTTCTGCCTCAGCACTGTACTGTGCCTGGCACAAAGTAAAATACAATACATTTTAGTTCCTTTTTACTTCCTTTGAAGCTTGCCTTTGAAGGTTAGACTTGAAGTCAGATCTTCACTTAAGTCCCATTTATTAGTCTGTGGCTTCGGTCAAAGCACCTTCTCTTTGTAAACCTTGGTTTCCAAATCTATAAAATGAAGATAACAATATATACCTCATAGGACTTTTTTGAGGGGTAAGGTGGTGAGGAAAAAGAATAACAACATATATATCCTGTGAAATATATTGTGTGATATAACAATATATATAGTATGAAATGTATAGCACAGTACAGAGGTAAGAGACTATTATTGTAAGCTGCCTGTCCCTTCCTGGATTCTGGATTTACTTTCTTTCCACTGGAAACATGAGTCCCCCGACCCCAATCCCAAGGAGGTCTACTAAATCCCCATTTAGCCTAGGCCAAGAGGCTGTTGGGGTGCATGGGTCGGCTCCACCTGTGTTCTGATTGACTGCCAGAAACCTGAGCCTCCTTTATAGCTACTAACTGGTTCCAGAGAAGCAGCTCCAGCTGCCAAAAAATGTTGCTGTTTTAAAGAGATAAAATGCAATAAAGATATGTTTGTAATGGGCATACTCAGTATGGTCTGACCGGCCAATGACACAAGGCACTTGGGCTTGGACCCAGTGCTATTTGAAATGAGCTCTGGAATCGAAGTACTATTCCCATCAAGAGTATCACCCTTAGCAGTCCACAGCTGAAAGCTTCAAAGTGCAAAATTCAAATCTCCTTTTAGTCAAGTATTAAAATAATGAAAAAGATTTGTGGATAGAATATTTATCCTGCAGTTGCAAATTTTTATGGCCATCCCATTCTACTGAGAGTTGTTATGTGTATAAAACTCCAGACTCCAGGGTCGGTCTGAGTCTTCCCTCCCCGTAGACATCTGTACCATCTGTACCATCTACTTATAGTGCATACTTACCACTCTAAAAGAAACAAAATGCTTTTTAGCTTCCTTGATGATGCTTGCATTAAAACCTGAAGGAAAACATTGCAATGGGCTCTTGTCAGCTAGTCATTACACATTCCCTGACAGTGTCTAGAATAGTGCCTGGCAAGAGAAGGGCTTTAAACAAGATTTACTAATGTTCCAAGTCCTATATCTGGTCATTGTCCTATATCTGATAGGGCATGGATGGCAAGTACCCAACAAATTCATCATTAAATTTGTGCTCAGGGCAAGCAGCAATAATCACTCAAGACACTTTTTTCTTTTCTGATGAGCCAAAACAGAGTAACAGTTACATCTTGGCTGGGGCAGCTTTCCTGCATCTCTGCACAGTCATGCCTTCAGGATGGGGGTCTCTCTGCTAGCACTTGGCGTCTCCCGCAAACCAGTTCCTCCTACCATCTTAGCTAATCTTTGTTAACTGATCCACATATCCACCCAAGACTTCAAACTAAAAATCTGAAAGCATCCTTAACTAATCCTCCAACATCTAATCAATCAACAAATCCTATGAACTCTAATACCCCAAATAAAATTTGAATTGCTTCTCTTCATCTCTATCATTGTAACCTAGGCCATCTTTGGTTGCAAGTATTTCCATAGCTTTTTAAGTGCAAGTGCTTTCTGGCTTCCATGGCAACCCCCCTCAGTCTGTTTCCCATACAGCTGCCAGAGGGCAATACTAAGGCAGAGCATGTCAATGGCTCACTGCTGAACTGCATAACCTGCCTGATCTAGTGCTTCCTGTCCTTTCCAACATCATCTCAGCTCACTCTCCTGTCCATTACTGCAGTGCAGTTGCAGCTGCATTGACCTTCTTGCTGTTCTTGGAAAGCACCCAGCTTTTGACCCACTTAGGGGGTCACACATGTGTTGTTGTCTGCTGGTAAGTCTGCTGCCTATGACAACCCCCACCCCATTGGCTAAGTTCTCATTCTTCAAGTTACAAACAAAGTACCACATCCTCTGAGAGGGCTTCCTAGATCACTCTCTGATATGGTTTGGCTGTGTCCCTACCCAAATCTCATCTTGAATTGTGGCTCCCATAATCCCCATGTGTCATGGGAGGGACCTGGTGGGAGGTAACTGAATCATGGGAGCAGGTTTTCCCATGCTGTTCTCATGACAGTCAGTAAGTGTCACAAGATCTGATGGTTTTATAAAGGAGAGTTCCCCTGCACATGCTCACTCGTCTGCTGACATGTAAAATGTGCCTTTGTTCTTCCTTTGCCTTCTGCCATGCTTGTGAGGCCTCCCCAACCATGTGCAACTATGAGTCCATTAAACCTCCTTCCTTTATAAATTACCCAGTCTCAGGTATGTCTTTATCGGCAGCATGAGAATGGATTAATACACTCCCTCAACCACTTTCTTCTCTATCAACCCAATGCCCTTATTCTCTGACCTTATTCTTTCCCTGAAGACTTGGACTTAATCGAAAGTTTTATACATGTAGAAGTTGCTACTTTTAGTAGAAAAGGAAACATCCGTGAAAACAGTACCTTGGTCATTTCTAAGTAGTTACCACATTTCACAATATTATATTATGTTTTGTTTCTATATAACTTCTCTTAACTAAGGTATTATAAGCTCTATTTGGGTTAGAGACAATGTTTGTCTTGTCATTCAGTACTAGAAGGGAAAAAAGATGATAGAAAACAAATATCCCTTTATTCTGTCTGGTGAGGAATTCTAAATGATATTCATAGACACCTTTTGTGGCATCTGCCCCAAAAACTCCCTTTCCAGGAAATCCACAAATATTCATAATGAACCCCTTATACACAAGGGTAGTAGACCAAATATCCATGTTTAGGCCATGAGACACTACCCATTTTTAATGTCTGAGTTTTATATTTGCCACTGTCTAAGGTGTCTAAGACACCTTGTGGGCAGGGATCCCATGGGATTTACCCATTTTTTAATCCAGCAACTGAGATCAGTGACTGCTACATAATTACACTTTGAATCCATGAAAGGACAGAGCCAATTAGTTTACCCAGGCATCCAAGTCTTGTTTATTGGGTGGCCTGGGTTGGTTTAAGCTGCAGGAATCTAATAAGGGAACACCCAGAAAGATGAAACCATATCCTTAAATTCCTATTCATCCAATAATCCTAAAATAATTTATAATAAAATTAGAAACAAAGGGCAATTGTATAGGATCTTTGTCTGTCTAGTCCCCCACTTCAGAGAGCCTCCAGGGGTAGTTTTCAGAGCCCTGGATGAGGTTTGGCTCATGCAAATCCCATTGTTTGTGGTTCCATTGGAAGAGTCAGTCTCTCTTCTCCCAGCCCCCATGCAACTCTTGGAAAATGGTGCTCAATGGAGAGCATCCTTTGCAGAGGAACTTTGTCCTTAGGGGAAAGTTCTAGATGACAAGTCATAAATTTAGAAGGCCCTGGTCTCAGAAGGCACTCTGAATGATTTCAACAAAGTACAGAAGGAGAAGGTGGTTTTAAAACAGTTGCACCATTGGGTTCAGAAAAAGGAGAGGTCTGTGTACAAATACAGACCACTTTAGTTCTTAAAACATCTGCATATTTTCTAGTCACCAAAGTCACACACAGCTTTACAGCAATAAAGAGGATATTATTTACCCACCCACTTGACAGGTAGGCAAACTGAGTTCGGAGTTGCTGAGTACAACACTAGAAGAGTGTCTCGTAGGAGAGATGCCCAATAGCTGCGCTCCATGTATCCCAATAGCCTTTCTTTCTCTTCATGCTTAGAAACTCACCGTGACTGATATAAAATGTGCTCAGTCAGACAGATGAAGACCTCCTGTCTTGGATAAAATAGGTGCATTCAGGGTGAGAACAGATTAAGTTAAGGCTGCCATAACAGAGAGAAATAGGGAACTCAGGGAGTTTGGGTGATTTGCATGGGTCCTGTTCCAGTTCACATTTGCATCAATCATATCAATATTGAAGAAAAAGATCTGACTTGACTTCCTTTAGATTCTGGTGGACAGACACAGGGATGGCTCAAATCATCTTACTTGTTAACTTTCTTCTTCTTTATGGTCAAGGACTTAGTTTTGTACCCCTACTCTATTCTTGGCATTCTGAGCAGTGACTGACACATAGTAAACTCTCATTGCTCTTAATGAATATACTCAATTTACCACTTTACTTTGACCTCAGACATTCTCTGACTTTCTGGGATGCAGATTACTGTTTCAAAACAGCTTATGTTTTTCTTAAGCAATAAATAGGCCATCATTTCTACCCTTGAAAGAAAATGCTATGTGAGACCACACTGGATCTCAACCTCAAGCTGTCCCTTGGCTTCTCTGAGGTGCATCGTGCAGAGGTTGAGCCTCCCCCCGCTGGATCTGAAGGATGTAGGTACAAACAGCTGAGTATACAACCAATGGACCCCAGCCCAGTGAAGTCACTACCTTAGAGGCCCAAGACTGTCATCACTGTCCTCACAAGTCCATGCTTCTGGACTAGTGGTGGACACCTGCAGCATCTGGCTTACTGTTGAGAGCTCTGACTACAAGAGACCAGATTCAAATTCAGCTTGGCGTGGGACTATGGGTGATGTATCGAACCTCTCTGGAGCTCAGTTGTTTTGGCTGTGAAATGGGAGAGAATAAAACACCTCATAATGCAGCAAATCACAAACTACAATGTGCACACAAATCACCTGGGGATCTTATGATGCTGCAGGTTCAGGCTCAGTAGGTCTGAGGTGGGGCCTGAGAGCTCAGAATTCTAATAAGCTACCAGGCCATACCGATGTGGCTGATCTGGAGACTGCACTCCAAGTAGCAAAGTCATAGAGCAGTAAATGAGATAATAGAATAAAAGGAGATTATTAACATGAACAAGCATTATAAAACAAATTATTAATAATCATGATCAGTAGTAGCATTTTGGTTAACATACATGAAATTACCACCAGCCAGGTTTGAATTAGACTGTTTCCCGCCCTGAGTCCTTTCAAACAAGTTTTGTGATTCCATCTGAAAGCTCCTTCAGACATTCCCATAAGCCCTCATGTAACTACAGAAGTCAAGGGCACAGTGAGAAGATATTTTATTACCCGTGTATTTATTTATGGGTTTTGGGGGTTTTAAAACTGGCAATTAAAACCTTGTAAATTTGTATTATCAACAAAATAAATGTAGACGGGTTAGTTACTCTTTGCTAATAAATTTGATCATTCATTTATAAAACGAATGTTCACCCAAGAATCACAGAGCACTCTATAAATATCGCTTCACGAAGCCGCAAACCACCTCGACAAGGAAGGCACACAGCACCCCTGAGGGGTTAAACAAACCCTCCCGGGCCTGGGGGATGGGAGGGCAGTGCCTGAATTCCAGCCCCCTGGTCCTCTTCCAGTACTCAGGTTCAGGCTCTGCCCCGGGGGGGCCTGACTCTTTGAAGCAAGATATCCGCTTGGATGCGTTTCAAATCAGCTTGCCTAGAGGCTCCAGCCCCAGATAGCCCCAGGAACCTGTCTGTAGGAGCTGGAGAAAACCATATTTCTCTCCTGTGAGAGGTTGAGGAGGACTAGCCTCCCCCATTTCCTCTTTTCCAATCATGCACTCTGGGTAGTTCAGCTACTGTTCCAGAGGTAACTTACAAACCGACTGGCCCAGCTATGGAACTCCAGCATGGAATTAATAAAACAAAACTGCTTGTTCGCTGATTTCTCAGCCAACGGCCCCCACTTCAAGACTTACTCAGCTGACGGTCCTCTTCACTTCTCCCCCATAAATGAACTCAGTAAAGTGTTTTTGTCTTTGAATCCTGGTGCCCTAGATGGACCAGGGTTTTTGTGGCTGGGTTTGAATTCCAGCCCCACCATGGTGGGGGACCACGGACCTCATGTTCCTTAGCTGTGAATTGGGCTTATTTTAGGCAAAGTCATCTGGTGCCTGTGAGGATGTTCAGAAATGATGTGTAAAGAGCCCCAATAATGGAATTTATCCCTATTGGTAGTGCTGGTACCAGTTGTGATATTAGTCATAGATGCAACACTAGCAGCAGAGTGTCAGGCCCGATTATAACTTTTAGGAACCTGAGCCCATGCTTCTCTCATGCACTTCATTTGTTGAGAGGAAAGGGAACAAGAGGATTGATCTCTCATTTATGAGTGCCCTAAGCAGAGCTTAGGCTGTCTCATCAGTCATCTAGCCCTCCAAGATATTACATCTTACTCCCTCTTCCCAAATTATTGACCCAGCTGATACAGACAAGAGACGAGGAAGTACTGGGTAGAAGTGGGTGGGTCCCCAGCAAAGGCCCCATCCTCAAGCCTGGAAACTCACGGCCCTAATGGGAACAGGCATTCATGTTTACACACCCAAAAGTTGCATTTGGCCTGCCAGGCTCCCTTACCGTGTACCCGTATAAACCCCAGACCCCAGGCTCCAGAAGCAGACGAAGATGAACAGAAGAGCAGAAGCACAGCAGAACGGCATGGCAGAGAGAAGAGAATGAGCATCTGAATGCTGAGAGGAGTTTGGCTGGGAATGGTCAGAGAGATTGGCTGCTGGACAGCCAAACTCCGGGAGAAGATCATCTCCCCACTCCATTCACTTTTCAGCTCCCCACCCAACCCGCTGAGCCCTACCTCCATCACTCAATAAAACCCCTGCATTCGTCCTTCAAGTTCGTGTGCAACCTGATTCTTCCTATATGCTTGGTACCTCAGTACCAAGAGGACACTGAGCTGGTTAACACTTAAGCTGTCTGTGGATGGCAAGGCTAAAAGAGCTCACCGTAGCACAAGCCTACACAGGCTTTGGGAGTTACAGGCGCCCACTCCTAGATGCTACCATGGGGCCAGAGCCCCAAAGCACTTGCCCCAGCTCCTTCACCTGCCCATCTGCATGCTCCCCCTCCCATAAGGGGTTTGAGCAGGTGCAGTGTCTGAACAGACAAGCCACACCCCTGTCGCACATCCTGCGAGGGGTGTCAGGGAACTCTCGCATTTCACAACCATCTTCCTGGCACACCTTTTTGCCACCTGCCCTCAGACCAGCTGGTATTATTCTTCTTCTTGCTGGTGAGAGGAACCAAAACCTCCGACTCACAAACACTGATGGGGAGCAGTGATATGCATTGCTCTTAGCCTAGGTCTACTGAGTGGTCTCACTCCTTTGGAGCTACCTTTGCCTGGGCTATGTGGCATCCACGTGCTTTTCTGCTTACACAAGGCCTCATGGACTACATGTTAGAGGTTTTTCATCATTTATTATTTGTTACTTACTGATTTCTTAACTACTGACTGTATCTGTATTCTGTCTTGATTCATTTTCTGAAAAAGCAGGACTCATCTTTACTTAATGAGCTTTATTCCAGTCCTAGAGAGAGGTAGGAATTTAATTTGACTGAGATATTCTGTTCCTCACTGCTGCCTTTACTTGATTAACATGGAGAATCATAAAATTTCTGAGCAGAGAACCAAAAGTAGATAACAAATAGGCTATGAAGCTTGCTGAGATATCTGTAGAGGGGAGATTGATAAAGATGTTTAATACATCTTTCTATAAATAAAAGGACTTCTGGTTTGCCCTGGACTTGGAATGAATCTTCTCAGGGCTTCAAGACAGTCATCACTCTGGCTACCTGCCATATGAAGGTTCTTTTCTCAGAGGGCAAATGTTGCTATAAGAAATGCCACGTGCCATTTTATCAAGCTGAGCGCAACTGGCTTGTGACAACCCTGCATGAGACACCCAACCAAAGAAAGATATTTTCTCTTTGATCAGATGATTACTGAGAGTAGATGTGCTAGCATTAAATTGGTTTTCATGGTTGATATTTTTCAAGTAGGCTGGGCATGATGGCTCACACCTGTAGTCCCAGCTGCTCAGGAGGCTAAGGTGGGGGGATTGCTTGGGTCTGGGAGGTTGAGGCTGCAGTGAGCCATGATTGCACCACTGCACTCCAGCCTGGGCAACAGAGCAAGACCCTGTCTCAAAAATAATAAAATAAAATGATAAAAATATTACTAGTAGCTCCAAATTTAGTAATTTCTTTTTGGAAGCTATTATTAATATATTTTGTTTAACAGAATACAGGTCACCTACCAGCATTTCTTATGAAGTGAGCTTCTGTCAAGTTTTTTGTATTTTTCTTTTCGACTCTTAATATAAAATCATCCAAAAGGTATTCATACCTGTGAGTATTTGTTAGCATGGTTTTAAAATGTAGTATGTCTTCTTTGTTCAATTTAAACAACGTTGGAAGAAAACAATGTTTTCCCATGTTTTCTGTTCATGTCTTTTCCCCTCTAGAGCTTGGCTCACACCATTCCTTGCATTTAGAATATCCTTTCTATTATGCCCAAATCTATTTCATTCTTTAAGGCACATTTAAAGGCTCTCAACCTTTCATGCTCAACTGCTGCTTTCTCTCGTCTTTACTGATTTGTTTACTGGAAGTCATCTCCCCCAGTTCTGCATACTTTCATACAGAAAATAGCAAATTTCAGATGTTTGTTCATTTAGTTTTCAAAAGAAGGGTACCTTGGCAAGTCAGGCTTGCATTCTCTTTTTTAAAATAGCTTTTATTAAGATATAATTCACATGCAGTAAAAGTTGCACAAAAGTGAACAATTCAGTAGTTTTGAGTGTATTCATAGTTGTCCAACCATCACCATAATCTAATTTTAGAGCATTTTCATTACCCCACAGAGAAACCCTATGAAGAGTACACATTAGCAGTCACTCCCATCCCCCCCACCCCTCAACTCTAGGCTACCATGAATCTACTTTCAGTATCCATAGATTTGTCTATTCTAGACATTTCATATACATAAAATTACACAGTATGTTGACTTTTCTTTGTTGACTGGCTTTCTTCATTTAGCGTAATGTTCTCACAAGGCATCTGTTTTGTGGCATGAATAAAGACTTCATTCTTTTTTATCCACTGTATGGATATACCATCTTTTGCTTACTTATTTATCAGTTAATGGACATTTTGGTTGTCTCCACTTTTTGGCTTTTATGAGTAATGCTGTTGTGAATACTCATGCATATGTTTTCAATTCTCTTAGGTAGACACTTAGGAGTGGAATTGCTGAGTCATACAGTAATTCTATGTTTAACATTTTGAGGAGCTGCCAAACTGTTTCCAAAATGGCTGCAACATTCTATATTTCCATCAGCAAGGTAAGAGGGTATCAGTTCCCGCACATTCTCGCTGACACTTTCCTTTGTCTGCCTTGCATTCTTATCAGACTTACATTCTTGGTCTGAAGCTTTATTTCAGAAAACAAATTTGAGGAGAAGAATGGATTTGTTAGACTTGCTTCAAGAAATGTTTTCTCCTAAAATGTGCCCAATGTGCTAGGCCTAATGTGCTGTGCCTGCACAGGGAGTTATTGAGCCTCTGACCCCCTGAGCAGGCACAGCACATTGGAAGAAGGATGCTGCTGTACCTCGGAACCGGGAAGCCCCTGAGGTCTCCTTCTCAGTGCCACCATTTGCAAACGATATGCCTTTGGTAGATTAGTGTCTAACCCTTAGTTGCCTCATAGATAAGATGAAGAAGATATTTCCGCTTTTCATTACCACAAAATAGGATGTGTGTGTGTCAATATATTGTATTAGTCCATTCTCACACTACTAATAAAGACATGCCTGAGACTCAGTAATTTATAAAGAAAAGAGGTTTAATTAACTCAAATTTCTGCATGGCTGGGGAGGCCTCAGGAAACTTGCAGTCATGATGGAAGCCACCTCTTCACAGGGCTGTAGGAGAGAGAATGAGTGCCAGCAGGGGAAAAATGCTAGGCACTTAAGAAACCACCAGATCTCATGAGACTCACACACTATCATGTGAACAGCATGGGGAAACCACACCCATGATTCAATTACCTCCCACCGGGTCCCTCCCACAACACATGGCAATGATAGGAACTACAATTCAAGATGAAATTTGGGTGGGGACACTGCCAAACCATATAACATATCTAGAAGCTCATATGGGCCATAACAGGCATTCTAGAAAGCTCTTTCTGAATGATTCTCCCTGAAGTCTTGTAGTTCTGTGGCAGTGCCTTTAAGTACGCCACCATAGAAAAGGGAAGTTTTGGTCAATTTTTGTAAATTCCATGTGTGTGACAAGAATGAGTGGTCTCTGTTAAGTACAAAGATTGTATACAAACATACACATATCAGGCGAATTACTGTGGAAGTCAAATCCAATTTATCTTTGTTTAATTTTGATCTCCTTGATGGACTGGTTTTTGAGAAAGTTCTGGACCGTTTCCCACACTGACTCTTCACTCAACCATTTATCCTCATGTTTCTGTCATATCTTTACACAGCAAATCCCAGCTAGTCCTCTCCTAAGTACACTATTCTGTTCCCAAGTCCTCTGGTGCCTGAAGCTTTCTCATTATCATGAGAGCAAAATAATGTGAGTGTTAAGGCCCACAAAGCAATAAAGCATGATTGTGAAGAGCAGAAGCTTTGCAGACAGACCCAAGTTCAAACCTTGGCACCATCACTTCCCAGCTTATGAACTTGGGAGGCTAACTGACTTTCTCTGAGCCTCAGAGTTCCTGTCTGTAAAATGGGAAAATTAACACCGGAAGTTAGGGTGGATTCAATGAGACCACGCATGTAAAGCAGTTATCACAGAGCTGGGGAGAGGAACCGGTAAGGATTTAGTAAATGCTAATTTTGTTAGTAACAATAGACAACATCTGCATGGCAGCAGATCTTCACCTTCCTGAGAGTGCTTAATATGTTCTGGGCACTAAGCCAAGTGCTTCAGTTGTATCAGCACATTTAATCCTCACAGCAAACCCATAAGAGTGATAGGACGGACATCACCATTTTACAGAGGAGGCCACTGGGGCACAGAGGGATGAGGCAGCCCACCCAAGGTCACCAGTGAGCGGTTGCTCCTGAACTGCACCTCCATCATGGGAGCATGGGAGCCTGGGCTCATCTTCTGATGACAAAGTCGGTCATGGAACTAACAAGAAGACACACCACAAAAAGGGACTCTTTGTCCCACATCCCTTTCTGTGACCTCCCAGAAGTGCCCCGCAGCACCAGACTCCACTCTGGGTGGCTACTGTGGTTCTTCTTTTGTGTCTGGGAAAAAAGGGTGCTCGATAGGATCCAGCTGCCAGCTCACTACAGCCCAGCCCTCCTCCGGTACTCCCAGAACAGCTCTTGGGTCTAGGACAACAAAGCCCTTATTGGTCTCATTGTTGCAAGTGTAGTTGGAAACATCTGAGATAAAGCTGGGATGGAAAACCGAGCAAACTGTTAAAATCTGCACAATAAAAAGGCACAATCAGGACACACTTAGGGATAACATGTTACACTTCCAAAAATTAACACTGTTGGATGAAAGCCCCAGCTTCCCAGTTTTAGTTCATTTTAGAAAAAAAATCTACAATACATAAATATACTCCCACTGTAAAAAAAT
The DNA here is from genome assembly GCF_000001405.40 of Homo sapiens. Classification (NCBI taxonomy): domain Eukaryota; kingdom Metazoa; phylum Chordata; class Mammalia; order Primates; family Hominidae; genus Homo; species Homo sapiens. The sequence goes on from NC_000003.12 coordinate 55,298,595, forward strand.
AAAAAACAAAAGCCAAACAATCAATAAGTATGAGGAATAAAATGAGAATGTTGACCATTATGCCTCCGTCCACCCTGAACCCACAGCTTCCAGTGGTAACCATGATCAATAGAGTAGATATACCTCCTCCCAAGCTTTTTCCTTTGTAATAAATGCATATATATGTACACATAAACATGTTTCATTTGGAAAATATTGTGTTTCCACACAAATGGTGTCACAATATGTGCATTGTCTGCAAACTAGCTTTGCTTATTTTATTCACTTAACAATAGGTTTGGGGAGTGGGACTTGGGGAGAAATAGGTTTGGAAAATTTTGCCAAGTCTGTGCACACTTAAATTGACGTTATTCTTCATGAATGACCGAAGTGTTTCCCATGGTGTGGTGCTACCATAATAATTTATTTAACCTTGTCCTTCTGAATGGACATTTGGGTTGTCATGGGGGCAAGCTCTAAGATGACCCCCTCCCCATGATCTCTACCTCCTGGTATTCATGCCCCTGTGAAATCCCTTGCCCTTGAGAGTGGGCTGGCCTCATGACTTTCTTCTAATCAATAGAATGGAGCAAAAGTGATAAGATGTCACTACTGTGACTAGAGTACAAGACATTGTAACTTGCCTCTTGCTAACAGACTCTTCTCTTGCTGGTTTACAGAAGGGCCCATGTGGCAAGGAACTAAGGGCAGTCTCTGGCCAAAAGCCCACAAGTAACTGAATTCTGCCAATAACCATGAGTTTGGAAGTGGATCCTTCCCCATTCGAGTCTCAGATGAGTCCCCAGCCCTGGCCAACATCTTCATGTGCTGTGAGAGACCATTAAGCAGAGGACCCAGCTAAGCTCTGCCCAGATGCTCAATCCACAGAAAAAGATACTAAGTGTGTGTTGTTTTAAGCTGCTACATTTGCAGTGGTTTGATATGCAGCAATAGATAACTGATACTGCTGTTAATTGCTTTCTATTACAATCAGCTGGAATAACTGCCCTTGTGCCTACAATCAGAGATGTATTTTGGGATCAATTCCCAGACCTGAGATTGTTCAGTCTAAGGGTAAGGATATTTAATGTGGAAAAATAACACTAAATTGTCCTCCAAAAATATTATCAAGTGACAATCATGCAAACAGTATGAAAGTTCCTACTTCTCTCCATGTTCTTGCCAAATGAAGTGTCATTGATCATTGAAAAAATATCAGTTTGAGAAAAATCAGTACTGCATTGCTTTGATTGCATTTTCCTGATCACTTATCAGGGTGAGCATCTTTTTAACGAATCCCTTGGCCATTTATTTTCCTCTTTCTTTTGAGACTTCTCTCTTGATATTTTTAGCTTTTATCCTATTTTAATTGGATTTCAATTGGATTGAACAACTAGAATGATAGAATGATATCTGGGGGGCACACAATGGCCATTGGTGATGCTGCTGTTGATTACCCAAAGTGCTATCCCATTTCTTCCTGTGTATTTACTACTATTTCTCTTGCAGTTAATAAGCAATTTATGGGAAGATTCTTTGAGACCATTCAAATATCCTGCACCTCATTAAAATATCCCCCTGGATTTAGCAGCCTTTGATGATTCTTGCCTGAACAAAACTTTATTATGGTAGATGTAAAATGAAGATTTTCATTTCTAGCACTTCTTCCACATTTACCAGCTACATTCAGCCTTCTTGTGGATAAGACTCTCCCCTTTCTCCCAAATGTTTATTGTTTTTATTAGTATGGACTCACGATTTCCTGTTCTTCTCAATGGCCTATAATTTATTACTATCTTTAATTATATTAGTGCTCAAATTTTCCCAGTTTGGCCAGTGGGATCCCCTCCAAGTTGGCTATTATTTCCTTGTGACATACCCACTTTTTCTTTCTTTCTCTTTCTTTTTCTTTCCTTTTAAAACTCACTTCTTTACTTCCTGCTCCAGCCCTGGAATCAGCCATTTCTCTGAAAAACTGTGGTTCTTTCAAGTGGACAAAGGTATTAGAGACCAAAATTTGGGCACAAGATATGCACTTTAACAAGGACCCACTTTAAGTGCAGTTTAGTGAATTTGAATGAATGCATGAACTTCTGTAACTACTACCACAATCAAGATATAGAGTTTCTGTCACCTCTCAAAGCCTCCTTTTCTTGCTTGCTCATATGCAATTACCTCTGTCCAAAATGACCCTTTCCCTTTCCTCTACACACTTGGCAAAGCCATGATTGAACATTTATTCCTTCTTAGATTTTGTTCCATTTTCCTCAGCAAAGGTTCTTTGTTTCCTCTTCTTCATGCTCACAAAAGAGAGAGTAAAAGTGCTTGCTCAACAGTTCTTCAACTGCTCTAATAAAGATTGATTCTCTTACCAGTTTTGTGTCCTTGGGAGTTAATCAGCCTCTCTCTCTGTCCATTGATTTTCCATCTGTAAAATGGGTCACTCTTGAACTGGTCCCATATCCAACACATGTAAACCTGTCAATGTAACCTACAAAATATCTCTTGGATCTTTGCCCTTCTGGACAGCTCCACAGCCACCACTCCAGTACCTCTCTTTTGAAAATCTGTCTGGTCTCCCAAATTCCACCTTTGGGCTCATTCTAATGGATTCTCTACAACACAGCCAAAGTCATCTTAAGAAATGCCCATCATTTCTTGATTGAAAACTCTTAATGGGTTAGGTATAGAAGGAAAGTTCCTCAATATAACAAAAGACATTTATGAAAAACCCATAGCTAACATCATAATCAACAGGGAAAAACTGAAATCTTTTCCACAAAGATCCAGCACAAGGAAGGGATGCTCACTCTTGCCACTTCTATTCAACATATTACTAGAAGTATTAGCAAGAGTAACCAGACAGGAGGAAGAAATAAAAGCATCTAAATTAGAAAGGAAGAAGAAAAATGGTCTCTATTTGCAGATGGCATAATCCTATATGTAGAAAACCCAAAGAGTTTACAAAAAAACTGTGAGAACTGATAACTAAATTCAGTAAAGTTACAGGATACAAAATTGGCATACAAAAATTAGTAGCATTTTATACACAAATAACAGCAATGCTAAGAATAAATTTTTTTAAATCTTATTTAAGATAGCATAAAAAAGTGGAAATAGATTTAACCAAGAAGGTGAAAGATTTGGCACTGAAAACTATAAAACCTTGATTTAAAAAGTTGAGGACAACACAAATAAATAGAAAGATATTCTGTATTTATGGATTGGAAAAATTAATATTGTTTAAATATCCATAGTACCCAAAACAATATACAGATTCAACACAATCCCTATCAAAATTCCAATGGCATTCTTCATAGAAATAGAAAAAAATCTTAAAATCCATATAGAATCATAAAAAAACAAATAGCTAAAGAAGTACTGAAGAAGAACAAAATTGGAAGGATCACATTTCCTGATTTATATCACAAAGCTATAGAAAGCAAAACAGCATGATAATATCATAAAAACAGATATATAGACCAGTGGATCAGAATAGAGAGCACAGAAATAAATCCAAACATATATGGCCAACTAATTTTTGACCAGGACACTAAGAGGACACAATGGGGAAATGATAGTCTCTTCAATAAATGCTGCTGGAAAAACTGGATTTCCATTGCAAAGGAATGGAATTAAACCCTTATATTACACCATATACATAAACCAACTCAAAATGGATTAAAGACCTAAATGTAAGACTTGAAACCATAAAACTCTTAGAAGAGAATATAGGGGAAAAGCTCCTTGGCCCTGGCAATACTTTTTTTGATATTGCACCAAAAGCCCAGGCTACCAAAGCAAAAATAAATAAACGGGACTATATCAAACTAAAAAGCTCTGCACAGCAAAGAAAACAATCAACAAAGTAAAAAGGCAACCTACATCTAGGGAAAAAATATTTTCACAATTCATATCTGATAAGGAGTTATTAATGATTGGTGCAAATGGATCCCAAATTGATTCATTTAATACATTTGGATATTTAATAATATCCAAAATTTGTACAGAACTCTTACAACTCAATAGCAGAAAAAATAAACCTGATTAAAAAATAGGAAAAGGTCCTGATGGATACCTTTCCGAAGAAGACATAAAAGCAATCAACAGGTATATGAAAAGACACTCTCAACATCATTAATCATTGGAAAAATGCAAATGAAGACCACCATGAGATATCACCTCACACGTTAGTATGGCTATTATTAAAAACACAAGAGAGGCCAGGCATGGTGGCTCATGCCTGTAATCCCAGCACTTTGAGAGGCCGAGGCAGGCAGATCACAAGGTCAGGAGTTTGAGACCACCCTGGCCAACAAAGTGAAACTCCATAACTACTAAAAAAGAATACAAAAAATTAGCTGGGCATAGTGGTGGGCACCTGTAATCCCAGCTACTTGAGAGGCTGAGGCAGGAGAATCGCTTGAACCTTGGAGGCAGAGGTTGCAGTGAGCCAAGATTGCGCCACTGCGCTCCAGCTTGGGAGACGACAGCGAGACTCTGTATCAAAAAAAAAAAAAAAAAAAAAAAAAAGAGGAAATTCTGCTGTTTGCAACACATAGATGTACCTGGAGGAGATTATGGCAAGTGAAAGATGCTGGCACTGAAAGAAAAATATTGCATCATGATCTCACATATATGTGGAATCATAAGAAAAAAAGAGAAAAAAGTCAAATGTATAGAGAATAAGACAGTGGTTACTGAGGTTGGGGGCAGGAGAGAGGAAATGAGGAGAGGTAGATCACAGAATACAAAGAAGCAGATATAGAGGATCAGTGAGTCTAGATATTGAATGTACAACATGAAGACTATAGTTAATAAAATTATAGTGATTATGGATTTTTGTTAAGTAGATTTTAGCTGCTCTTTTCACAAAAAAAGCAGCCATGTGAGATGATATATGTTTGTTTATTTCACTGTAGTAACCATTTTACTATCAATACATATCCCATATTATATTGTGAACCTCAAATATACACAAAAAAATTTATTTAAAAAAAAATAAAGAAGGCTGGGTGCAGTGGCTCACGTCTGTAATCCCAGCACTTTGGGAGGCCGAAGCAGGTGGATCATGAGGTCAGGAGATCGAGACCATCCTGGCCAACATGGTGAAATCCCATCTCTACTAAAAATACAAAAATTAGCTAGGCGTGGTGGTGTGCACCTGTAATCCCAGCTACTCGGGAGGCTGAAGAACGAGAAATCACTTGAACCCAGGAGGTGGAGGTTGCAGTGAGCCGAGATCACGCCACTGCACTCCAGCCTGGTGACAGAGCGAGACTCCGTCTCAAAAAAAGAAAAAAAAAAGAAAAAAGAAGAATAAATACCAATCAGTGCCATGACCCGTCAGCTGCTACACACTCAGTGGCTCCTCAGCACCGTGGTGAGGATACCCTCCATCCCTCCCCACATGGCTTGTAAGAAAGGACCTTCTGGAACTGACCTCTCCTTGCACACGTCACACTGTACTCCCCCGACTTGCTTTCCAATTCTCCATGCACCATCCTGCCCTCTCTTGCTGGAATAGTTTCCCTATCTCACCTAGACCTTCCTATGATTCCATACGCAGAGAGGCTTCCACTGGCTTCCCTGATGAAGTCAAATCCCCCCACCGTGCACTCCTCTAGCTTTTGTCACATTTTTTTGGTTGCACTCGCTATAGTTGTACCTCTCTTTGGTATTTTTGTGATATACTTGATAAATATCTGTCTCCTTAACTGGAATCTAATCTCTCAACAGTGGGTGCTATTTTCCCAGGACTGACACTCAGTGGGCATTAGCTGAAAGAATGAATACCCCATAGGGTTGGTGTTGGGATGAATGAGGTAACACACGGCCTGGCCTGAAACAGAACAACACATGGAAAAGCAATGCCAGAGGCAGGGATTTTTCTACATAGTTTCATCACTCTAATTACCATTTTCTATTGTGAGTTCTCCTTTAGCAGTCTGTCTTCTCTACCATTCCAAAGATGCATTGAAGGTGGGGACTAAGTCACACTCTTCTCATTTCTCCACCACCTGGTACAGTGTCTATGCTTAGTAAGGGTTCAATAAGTGTGTGGTGAAATCAGTAAGTAACTAATGAACGAATGAAGTTATTTAACCTCTACATGCTTCTGTTACCCCATCTGTGAGAAGGGGAAAATATAAGCACCTAACTCATGGGCTAGTTGGGAGGGAAGTATTAACTTGGATTGATATTTGCAATTGTACATTCTCTTTTAAATAAATATGCAATGCATTGGGCAAATGTAAGGGATTTGGGTTATCAGGCCTACTACAGAAGAATCACGTGCAGGGTAGAGGGGAGTTTGTGGAGGGGTCATTTCTCTCTTCACACACACAAGACATCATCTGTCTCTATTTAGAAAACCCTGAAGTGCTCATCATATACCTCTCTTAAGTTCATATCACATTTCTCTAACCACACTTTACATATTTTGTATTAGCTATGGGATAGAATATATTTTCCCTTACATTGCTCTCCACTGCTCTTTAAAGACATTGCTATTCCCTCTTGTTCATTTAATCAAACCTTCATTGGATTGTGCAATATTCAAAGCAAACCAGATCTGAAAATGCTCAATTTGGAATTTTTTCCCAGTTATTGATGCTTATTTGTTCTGACGATATATATATGGTTTTTTACCTCATCCCTAATAACTCCACAAACCTAATACATGCCCTTCTCAAAACCTCAATATACATGAAAACAAAGGTCTGTCAATTCTCTGACTTCAAATAAAAATCTGACAAATGCCACATCTTCCCAACAGGCCTGGTGATTGACATTTGAACAATTTAGTCACACTGGTCATTTAGCATTGTGACAGTCACAATGTCTGGTCACTTGCATCTAAGAGGTTTGCCTCTGAAGACACAGTGTTATTTAATGTGCCTGGTATAAAACAGTGAGACCTATCAGTGACTATCTTCTTGGGCTGATCATTCTAGTTTTGAATTAGAAATTTAAGGACGGCAGCTGTCTATTTAGTATTCAGCTCATAGTTATGAAATCATCGACATTTTCCATTTAAATTTTATTGGTGAGAATCTTGTGTAGGAAACTGAATCATGCTTTCATTTCCTTACATCCCAGGACACAGTGCTTTTTCTTCAAAAGTAAATAGGGCACTGTCTTGGGCTTTTTCTGAATTTCTTGTCAAGGAAAAAACCCTTTTCTTGAGGGCCAGCATTCATCATTTGTGCCTGTTTTTTACTCTGACTGAAAAAGAAAATGATTCAGTCTTCCAACTGGCTATTCTCTGGTTGCTTTAATTCATGGGAAGCCAAGAAGGAGAAATTGGTAGGTTCAACAGTGTTGGACAAGGATAAACAGAATCATATCACATTAACTGTAATTTACAGCATTTCAACACATCCCTGCTTCTGCCAAAGCTGGCACAGATCAGCCCCCATTGGAAAAAAGAGAGAACAGGATGGGGCTTGGAGGGATCGAACAGAGAATCTAAATTTCTATTTTCTAAGCAGGAGTTTGAGAACTAGAGCCCCATCAGCACTTTCTTGAATATTTTGCTCATTCATGCTATAAAAATAAATAACACAAAATATTTTCTGGACTTAGCCTAGTCTGTTGCTAAAACCAAAGCCAGCCTGCTTTCAAACAGACTCACCGTTTCACAAGCATGGACATTTTCAGGCTGGCAGGCGGCCACTGGAGGAGTTATTGAAATTCAATTCAAAATGATGTACTCTCTGGAAAATGCCCATTTATGAGCATTCAAAGGGATGAAGAATTTCACAGGAAGATGACAGCAATGACAACTTCTAGGACCGACCAGTGTTGCCTGGAGATGATTACCCCTGAAACACACACGTGCTCTGAGAGTTTTGCTGGAGAGTCTTCTAAAGGCTGGGACTGTTTGTGTTCAGATGGAATCTCTGTATATGAAGCTATTTATTACAGGCTGAGAAAACAAATATATGCAACAGGGGATTGGTGGAATTTGTAGCTGAAATACCCATAGTGGGGTCAACATCATAGATCCCAAAAAGATCAGAGCCCAGGGCTGAGAGGACCATTTTCTAACCTGAGGGCTCCCAAACACATTCAGAGATGGAACATCTGGAAGTTATGTTCTCTCTGTAGAACCCCACGGAACACTGATAGCAATTTTTTTCCCAGCAGATAACCAAGGAACAATTTTTCTGGCTAAAACTATGGCTGTCGTGGGTATGCCATTTAACAACTCAGCCCTAAATATTGTACTTTTTAAAAACTGTCTTTCTGTCCTATAAGAATGAAATCATCTCTATGAGGACAGTGACTTCATCTTACTGCTGCCTTCCCGGATGGAGCCTGCACAAGCATCCTCAGAGGCAACATGTGGTCCAAATGAATACACCTGGTCATTCTAGAGTTCTTCCAAAAAATTCATCTGCCACTACTAAATCTGTTAGTGACCTAGGTAGACAGCAGCACACATTTCAGAAGGAAATTATGGGCAAGAAGAATGCTCAGTAGTTAAGAAAAGTCCAATCCACAACATCATTTCATCCTCTCCATTTGGAGAAGACCCCCATTATAACAGTTTAAAGGTGGTGATTCCTTCAGCATTTCTGAGGTCTACCTCTATTGAACAATAGCAATTGGTAAAAACGAAGTTGAGAACTACTGGCCTAACCTATCCTGACATTGCTGAGAATTTATGCTTAGAACGCAAGTCAGATTAGAAGACCTCATCCTCAGCTTGACCAGCTAATGTTAATTAATGATCATAGAATAAAGTTATTGCATGAAGTGATTCCATATCATTGTGCAATGTCCTGAAGTCAGGGATGTCCAATTTCCACTTCCACAGAGGAGTCAGTACAGTCTGTGTTTTTGCGGGGTTAGGGGAACATCATTCGTTTGATAAATAGTCACTCATGGCCTTCCTATGTGCTAGGTACTGTCCTGGGTCCTGGGTAGATAATGGTGAATAAAACCAAGCTCCTGCCCTCCTGGAGATTATTTTATTCTCATGGAAGAGAAACATGGTTAAAAACAAAAGTATAATAGAAGATCAGTTAGTGCTAAGAGCTGTAAAGAAAAATAAATTAAGGTGAGGAGACAGAGGGGAAGGCAGTGATGATATTCAAGAAGGTTTCTCTGGAGAGGGACCATTTGAACCAATACTTGAATTAAATAAAAGCAGACACTAAGTGATAATAGAGGTGACTAACATCTGTCAAGACCCCAAAGGACTTTTTGGTCTGAAGTAGGATCACATGATGACGTAAAAACAATCAGACAAGGACATTTGTTGCACAACTATACTTGAGTGCTGAAAATAATTGGAAACATGTTGTTTCTTCCACTAGGCTGTCAGAAATTTAGTGAGGTACACAGAAAAGTAGGTTTAAGGACATATAATTACAGCAAATTCTGAAATATCCAATCCTGCCTGGTCATAATAAAAATCTATGGAGAAGTTACTACGTGAGACCCAAGTATATATTTGCAAGAAGTCTTTATCCTTAATTCCTATCTTAGTCTGTTCAGGCTGCTATACCAAAAATACCATAAACTGTGTGGCTTAAAAACAACAGAAATTTTTTTTCTCACAGTTCTCAAGACTGGGAAGTCCAAGATCTAGCAATCGAGAGACTGTGTCTGCAGAGGGCCTGCTGGCTGGTTCATAGATGACAGCCTTCTCACCGTGTCCTCACAAGGCAAGGGGCAAGGGACCTCTCTAGGTCCCTTTTATAAGGGCACTAATTCTATTCATGAGGGCTCCACTCTTGTGATCTAATCACCTTGCAAAGTTCCCACCTCTAAATACCATCACATGGGGAAACAGGTTTTCACAAATGAATTAGGGGCAGGGGTTGCATAAACATTGAACCTATAGCAACTACTAAATATTATTTGTTGAATTATTTTCCATAGTCAACATAAAAATGGAGACAATATGAGTTCCAGCCGAAAAAGTGCCAACTTTGAGGAGAGAGACGTAACAGGCAAAGCCTTGGTTCTGCAATGGCCCAGCGTGTCATCTTGCACATATTGTCTCTCTGTGTATTTTTCACATTTGAAACATGAAAGTGGTCACGTCTGGTCTGTAGAGTTGTGGGGAAAATTATTGATGATAATGTTTATAAAGGCCTGTCCTACCCCACTGGCGGTGGAGAGGTAGTAATATATAGAATATTATACAGAAAATCAGAAAGGGAAAATACTTCGTCCCAAAAGAAAAGAAAAGTACCTAAGGATAATTTTTCTCCACCCTCCCCAGAATCACTGTCTATAAATCTTAACTCATCGGCACTAATGCCCACAGTCCAGTCTACTCATAGATTGGGTATATGTGTTACAGAGCTCTTTTTAGGAGTATATATATTGTTTAAACTTCTATTTCAAAAATGAAGTCTGTGCACATAGTCTCTTAAAACTGTGGGACTTCTGCATTGGTAGCCAAAACCAACTCAAACTAATTGATGACAACTCCAACCTGAATTACTGATGTTATAATCCACAGATGATTTTAAGAGTTTAGCCTTATGAACAAACTTTCTAACTAGAACAACCTAGTGCTATCTAGGGGAGGATGAGATTAATTAGTACAAACAAATGGATGTAAAACAATTATTTTTTCAGCTAAACGTTTATCCTCCATGCATTCATCTACACATCTATCCAACCAACAGACATTTATTAAGTGCCATGTGTCAGACATTGGTTTACATGGTTGGGATTCAGCAGTAAAACAGACAACATTGCTGCTGACCTCATGATGCGTATATTCTAGTTCATAATACAGATCAACACAAATAAACAGATAAATTTATAAATAATTTGTGGTGTTGACAAGTGTTATGAAGAAATGAATGCATACTCAGGATAGGTGAACACGTGATAGCTCAGGGGAGGTAGGGTGGTCAGGGATCACTTCTCTGAGGATGTGAAGTATGAGTCAAGACACAGATGGAATGAAAAAGTGAATCATGTAAAGATCTGGGAGAAAAGCATTCCAGGCAGAGGCAACAGCAAGTGCCAGGGCTCTGAGGCAAGAGTGAGCTAGACATTTTCCAAGCCTTGCAAGAGGGCCAGCACAGCTGGAGCAGAGGGCAAGGTGAAGAGTAGTCAGAAACGAGATTGCAGAGAGGCAGGGCCAGATCACCTAGGGCCTCAAAGGCTATATAAGAGTTTTCTAGTCGATTCTAAGTGCGATGAGAAGCCTTTGAATTTTATTTGTTTATTTGTTTTCTTGTAAAAGAGTGATTTGATCCTATTTTCTTTTTAGAAAAGAGTTTAATTGTTATGGGAGAATTACAACTCTGCTCTATCGTAGGAGATAGCAGGTTCTGGAGATGCAGAGGGGAGAAGAGGAAAAAAATCAGATCGACCCATTAGGAAGTTACTACAATAGTGACCCTAAAAGAAATGGCAGAAGCTTAGACCAAGGCAGTAGTAAGCAGGAGCTGTAAGAAGCAGTCAGATTAGGACCTATTTTAAAGTAGAAGGAACAGACCTCCTAGTGGAGTAGATGTGAGAGTGAAGGAAAGAGAAGTTTGAGGCACATTTAATGTTTTCAGCCTAATGAGCACCTGAGGTACATTTACTGAGATGGGAAGACAAGAAAGCAGCAGATTTGAAGGGAAAATCAAGAATTCTTTTTGGGGTGTGCTCATTTGAGATGCTAATTACACATCTAGATAGAGATGTTCAGCAGTCAGATGGAAGTGAAACAAATATCCATGATTTGCTGCTGAGGAGTTCAATGTCAAAAATTCCAGGAGTAAGCACTCAGTAAATGTGGTTCTCTTATCACTTAAACTTCGGGAAATACTTCATTTTCTTCTCTCAAGAAATAAATTCTTACCAACTTGACTGAGTGAATATACCTAGAATTCTACACTTCCAAATTATTGAATATACATTCTTTTTAAAGAGCATATGGAACATTTACCAAAATAGACCATATACTGGAGCAAAGAAGTCTCAACAACTTTCAAAGGAGAATTTTTTTTCACCTCAGTGGAATTAAACTAGAAATCAATAATAAAAAGATAACTAGAAAATATCCAAATGCTTGGAAATTAAGCAACACACTTCTACCTCACCTATGAGTCATACTCATAGGTTAATTAAGTTAATTAAAGAGTTAATTAAGATGTTAATCAAAGAGTTAATTAAAATGGAAATTAGAAAATATTTTGAACGGAATAATAGTGAAAATATATCAAAATGTGTGGGATGAAGCTCAAGCAGTAGTTAGAGGCAAACTTGTAGCTTTCAATGCATATATTAGAAAAGACTGAAAATAAATGCTCTAAGTTTCCATTTCAATAAACTATAAACAGATTAACACATTAAACTCAAAGGAAATAAATGATGTAAATTTGAGCAGAAAGCAAGGAGAAAACAGACATTTAATAGGGAAATCTAACAAAGCCAAGAGTTGATTCTTTGGAAAGATGTGTAAGTTGATAAATTCCTAGCAAACCTGATTAAGAGAGACAGGGAGAGAGAGAGATGGGGAGAGGGAGAGAAAGAGATGGGGAGAGGGAGAGAAAGAGAGAGAAAAAGAGAGAACATAAGTTACCAATATCAGATTTTAAAAGGCCACATCACTATAGATCATATAGACATTAAAATGATTATAACGGGCTATTTCAAAAAACTTTGCCAATAAATTCAACAGCTTGGATGAAATAGGTAAATCCCTTGTAAAACATAATTTATTAAAACTAAAACAGAAATAAGAAATCTGTTAAAAAATGGAATATTTAGTTAAAAACCTTTCCACAAAGGAAAATTCAGGCCCAGATTGTTTCATGAGTGAAATCTTCCAAACATTTAAGAAGGAACAATAGCAAACTTAAATAAATTCTTTCGGAGTTTAGAGAAAGAAAATGTTTTTAAACTCATTTTATGAGGTCAGCATAACCCTGACACCAAAACATGATAAAGCCCTTACAAGAAAAGAAAACTACAGGCCAATCTCACTCATAAATATACATACACATATATATGTATGTGCATACACACATATATATGTATGTGCATATATATGTATATGTATACACATACATATATATAAAAGAATTTGTTTTAAAAATCAAATATGCCTTTGCTTCAGTCTATTTTGTTCAGTCAGACTAACTTTTAAGTATATTTGAGACACTTTGATGGCCCTAGAAAACATTCCGGGGTTGGAAATTTTTCAAACTGCAATCTTGAGGTAGAAAGTACGTGTCTATAGTTCACCTGATGCCCCCAAAGAATATATTTGTGTCCCTACAACAAAATTAATTATAATTCCTCTTTTGGGGACAAACTCATCTTTTGGTTCATTTAAAAAATAATTAAAATGAACAAAGTCCAATAACATCAGCCAAGCTTACCACAACTCATTAGCATGACAAATATCGGCTGACATAACTGATGATAACATTGAGATCATTTCTTATTGTCTTCTTATGATGAGTGGTGAATGAAAGCAGGCACACAATCACATATTAGGACATACTTGTACATAACACTTTTGTAACCACTTGGCACCAAATCATAGTGATGAAGAGCTGTGATTTTATTAAACAACAAAGAGCAATTCACTGTTTCAAGTTAATTTTATATAATAAACTATTACATAAAAAGATAGTGGTTTAATATTTTGTTCTCATAAACATTTTCAAATGTCTTCATGTGTCATTTTATGAATCTCAGTACCCCTGAAATACAACCACCTGATCTGGCCATTTTGGAACACACACCAGTGGGGCTAAACTATCAGCAAGATACCTAAGCAATCCACATGGCTGATTTATTAATTGAATTGACTGGGTGTTTCATAAGTGCTTACAAACCAGTCAGCTGCAGTGGCTGCAGAGCAATGATTCTCAAAGTGTGGTGCCCAAACCAGCAGCATGAACTTCACCTGGGAACTTGTTAGAAATTCAAGTTCTCTAATTCCAGTTCAGACCCATAAATGAGAAACAAAATCACAGCCCTCTGTACTTCAATGAGCTCTCCAGGGAGTTCTGAAACCTGGCCCCCTCATGTCTGAGAATTGGCAACAGATCCACTGAAGATCCTATGGTTAAATGGTTATCAATGTTATCTATCTATCTACCGATCTATCTTCTTGCAATACATATGTCATTCAGTGCTCACATATATAATAACATCTTCCTCTAAGAAACAGTTTTCAAAGAAAGAAAAGGAAAATGTTATGGAGAAATTAAAGGTCACAATAATTTGAAAATCACTTTAAATATGGATAGGAGATCAGTAACTGTCATTCAGTTTTGGCAATGGCATAGATAAAATTGTTTATGGACTTCGGCCTAATTTCCAGACACTTTAACTCCTCTCTTTTCTCACTCAAGAGTCCTTACCGGAATTATAAGTGAATGGGAGGATGCTACTTTCACCACCATGATTGACATGTGGGATGTATAGATTGATTAAAAGAATAGGCTCTGGAGCCTGAGTTTGAAGTATACTTCCTCCTTATTACCAGTGAGACCTTGGTCAAGTCTCTTAACCTTTCCGTGCCTCAATTTCCTCATAATTCCTCATAACTGCTCCTACCTCCTGGGGTTGTGAGGATTAAACAACATGATATACATCTAACATTATTCAGCTAGAGCTTGGCACATACTAAATCCTCCATGTTAGCAATTATTATCACTAGCTTTAATACTATCAGACCAAACAAAAGTAATCCACTCATAAATTACATTTGATAACTGATGACCCAGACTGAGCCCTCTGAGTTTCTGAGTGACAAACTCAAGAGCTGGATTAGTCAAAAAGGCTGGAATTTACTGGTCTACTTTCCCAAATGATGGAAATAGGAGCATGAATTGTCCTCAAGGATGACTGCAACCAGGGACTCAAATACACTTAGGACCATCCCCTCTGTCTCTGTCCTCTCTGCTTCTCCCTGCATCACCTTCATTCTGTTAGACAAAAAGTCTAGCTTCTTTCGCAGGGCAGAGAGCAGGGTCACCAAGTCATTCTAGTTTTAAAGCCTCAGGTGTGACCAGAGAAGATGATCCAACTAACAGACTCAAGGGATGGCCATGGCCTAGCTTGGGTGATCACCCTTATTGGGACCAATTTCTCTGGCCAAGGTCAGGCTCCTTCCTTTTGCACATCCCTTCCGCGACAGTGGCACCAATCCACCGTGAGTTTTGCCAAGGATTTATATCCCTTTAAGGTAGGCCCTGAGCAGCCTTCCTGAGCCATCTGGCTTGAGAGAAGTAACCAACCATTTTATTCCTTCTTCCTGTTGTTGCTGTCATTCTGGCCATTTCGCAATCTGGTTCTTGATGAGTGTCCCATCTTTCATGGCTTTTGTTGAATTTGACCCCAGGCTGGAAACGGGACGTGTGTTTATTTTACCTGACAAAGTACCCATGGCTGAAAAGCTTGGAGCACTCGAGTACTGTATTTTTTCCCCCTCCAGATGGGGCTGTAATTGTAATTTAACTGTCTGGGTCCAACTTAAGGTGAGGAAAAGATATATTAAGTTTGCACACATGTTATTCGCCTACCCCCACCCACATCCCTTCGGCTCTCCACATTTCATAGGCAACCACCTTCTGCGGGAGGGGTGTGTGTGTGTGTGTGTGTGTGTACACACACGGTCGTGTTACAATTCTCATTTTGCAAAGTTTATGCAAAAACCAAACACCTGGGTTCAGAGTTTCCTAAAGGAGTCATCTGAAGTAGGTGCTTTACGCCAAAACGTCACAAAGATTTATGTGCTTTCATTTGTGCATTAAATTGAGGACAGGTGGGAGAATGCTCAGGCCTGAGAAAAACTGATAGCTCATTTCTCCCTTCGAAGAGAGATGGCTGTTATGACTACTGCTGGTTTAGATAAAATAGATACAGACTTTGTTTAAAAAAAAAAAAGAGGGCTCATGTTTGAAAAACAGTATTTCAGCAGTCAAATAATTACCTCTGCGATCATGTTTCTCACAAATGGAAAACCCTGGACTGAGATCCCACAGTGAGTCCTGCTCCTAGTTCAAACAACAGGCAATACCATGCCCAACAGCCAAGAAAATGGCCGGACCTCCCTTCACACTTGCTGAGGAAGGGTCCCTGGAATTGAGGCAAATGGTGGCCTCAACACATTCCATTTTAATGGCTTGCAACAGAGTCAGTTACACATATGTAACCACTCACTTTTTAATTTGATTCTTGTTTCAAACACCTTTTCAGGACCCAATACATCTAAAAAATGTCATCACTTGATAGGTCGCTACTCTATCCCTGGCCTTGAAACAAGTGATTCGATGTGCTGAGTATTCACCAGGATTTGAAATAAGACTGTGAATTTGCATTTCAGAAAGGGAATACTATTTGGAAAGCCCAGTCTGCCAGACTTTTCACAAAGGGAAAGGAGAGCTCCACTGGGAAAGCCTGCTGGTCAGCCTCCCCCAGGCAGGATGCTGCTTGTCCCCCTGATGACCTGGAGGCATATTGGAGAAATCAAAATTATTCTGTACACTTGATCCTTTTGAGGTTCAAACTGAGCTTCTGAATCAAGTATTTATCAAACCATTGACTGATTTCCGAAGTAAGAATTTTCTACTTGGAAACCAGAGCTATATTCACATTGAAGGGCAAAGGACATACAATTAGTTCCTGTTTTTGTATGACTTCACTCAATTACATGGATACACATGAAATCTGAAACCACCTAATGATTTCTGATCTTTTCTTGTGTAGGCAGTTTCTACAATTCTAGTGATCTGTTGGTCATTTAAAAGAACCACTAAATGTGATAATCAGAGAGTAAGAAATGCTCAAAAAAGCAATGGGAAAAGCTTTCAGATAAAATACCCTATAACTCCCAGACATTTTTGTATAAGTTTATTTAGCAGTTCAGCTTGAGATATGTATGTGTTTGTGGGGGTGATTACTATGACTGTTGAAGGGAGGTAGATAAAGGAAGACATTTTATAAATTGGAGAAAAATGGTGCTAATAGTTCAATAAGATAAATGCCTACCTTTTAAAGTTGAATTCCAGAAGAAATTGCAACACAGAAACTGACGCAACATTTTTTTTTCCACGTCAGAAAAACATGCTATCTTGCACCCAGAGTGGAAGCTGTGTGTTACAGCTTGAAAATACTGGGATGGTGCTCTATTTAATTTATATAATTTATACATTTTTTCTTTTATTACTTTAAACTTTTTTTTTTTTTTTGAGACAGAGTTTCACTCTGTCACCCAGGCTGGAGTGCAGTGGCGTGATCTCGGCTCACTGCAACCGCCGCCTCCCAGGTTCAAGCGCTTCTCCTGCTTCAGCCTCCCAAGTCGCTGGGATTACAGGTGCCTGTCACCACACCTGGCTAATCCTTATATTTTTAGTAGAGTCAGGGTTTCACCATGTTGGCCAGGCTGGTCTCAAACTCCTGACAGGTGATCCACCTGCTTTGGCCTCCCAAACTTTTGATTAAAATTCTGCTGCTTAGTGAAAAGAGTCCAAGGTTATTTTTTCATCTAAAAACAAACAAAAAGAATTTTATTCACTGTGATTTAAAAAGCATGCCTAGAAAGAGCCCTACCTTAAATTTGCACCGTGCTTCATAACATTGGTTCTTATTCATTTTCGAGATACTCATCACCAACATATCAATAATTGCTTATAATGTCAGTGGGTCTATGGACCATCTAATGCCCATTCCTAGATCTCTGCAGTGTGTGGAGTCTGGTCACCACACCCAGCTCTACCCTTTACATTGTCTCACTTGATCCAAACGACAGACCTTTGAGGGTCTTATCCATCAGGCTCGGGTCATGCCTACCTCCAGCCAGTCTCTCACAAGGCCTAAGAACACAGATCTGGCCACTGTCTGCTAGTCCAGAAGGGTTTACTTTCTCTACTCCTGCTCCCTCCACCCCGACAGGTAGGATCCAAGTGAAGGTTAGACTATGTCTTGCTAGGTAGGCTAATCGGGTAGGGTGTGAAATACATTCTTCCAGGAAGAAATGACCAGGGTTGTTTAGGTTCCCAACCTGCATCTCCACCCTGCCTAGTGGGTCGAGAGTGCTAGCACTTTAGCTCCGTGCTTCACAATGTCTCCATGAAAAAATTCACTGTGGCTCCTTTAGGGGGAATCTCCCCTTGCTGTGGTGATACCAGGAAAACTCTGTCCCAAACCTCTGGGGCAAATAGCTGCCCTGTTTCTGTATCATTGGCAATGAACCCACCGTGACTTAAAATAACAAAAACAAGAACTGACATTGGACTGACTTTGTTCCAGGCACTGTTTCAAGCACTTCACACATAGTGACTTATTTAATACTTACAACAATCCTATTAGGCAAGTGCTATTATTCTACTTTTTTCACTAATGAGGAAACTGGGCCACAGAGTTGGGATTTTTTTT
The DNA here is from genome assembly GCF_000001405.40 of Homo sapiens. NCBI lineage: Eukaryota > Metazoa > Chordata > Mammalia > Primates > Hominidae > Homo > Homo sapiens. The sequence continues at coordinate 55,316,937 of NC_000003.12, forward strand.
TTTTTTTTTTTTAGTTTGCTTATGATCACACAGCCAGTAAAGGTTGGAAACAGGACTCAAACCCTCCCTTTGGGTCCAAGCTCTGACCACTTGACTCCACTTAGCAATAACAAAAGAAAATGCACATACTTATAAATAAATAAACATATGTATTATCTGAGGTCTTGACCAACATTTTAATTTCTTTGACCAATGTGAATATTGTCATCAGGAGGATTAGAACTGCCGCATTCGGTTGATGAGCCCTACAGTGTGAGGAGGAAGCTGTGAGGTATAGAGGTGAGGAGCACCAGAGCTGCTGTGGACTCAGGACATGAAGGAAAGCCACAGAAGCTCCCTTCTCCTCTTTGGCTACCACCAGCAAAACAAGGTATTGTGGGGTCACATAAGGACGAGGATCTGGATGAAGGTAAAGGTGGGTTTCAGAGGGTAAAGAATGAGGAGGCGAAAGGGAAACACTACGTGATTCCACCCAGAAAGTCTACAATTGCTCACAACACTTGGCTACTGCCTACTGTGGGGACATAAATTAGAGATTGTTCCTAGTACATGCTCACGACCTATTGTTATTCTTCCTGCATGCCTGTATAGTAAAGCTCACATTATGAGGGTTTGGTTCTAAAGTCAGCAAGGCAAAACTAACCAAGAGTTGACCTTCCCCGGCAAATCTCTGAAACTGTCCAATAGTAGAGGACACAGACATATCTCTGTCAGCAAGTGCAGCACAGCAGATCCTTCCGCCAGTAAGGAAAGAGATTTCTGTTCTCTCAGTGGAGCACCTGAGGAAGAAGCTGGCTTGAACATAGAGGCCCTGTTGTTCAAACAATACAGTTTTTAAAGAGCAGAATTGCCCTCAATATAGGCAGATGCTCATGCTAGGAGATGCACTAGGGAACCAGGACAGAAAAAGGAAACATCACATTTCCATTTCCCATCTCATGCCAAGGCATAACTCAATGGAAGAAAATGTACCCAGAATTGACCTGCATGGGCATGGCTTCATTTGACCAAGTTAAGCATGTGCGAGAGGGATGCCACCGTTAACTACAGGCAAGGCTGGTATTAAGTCATTACACATTGGTATGCTGATCTGCCCAGTGAAAGCTCTAATCAGTTAGTGCCCAAAGTGCCAGTCCTTAAAGTTTTTACTATAACCACTCCCGAATGTACACGTGGACCCACATACGTGGAGCCACACATGCCCGCATAGCTTAATCTCCCTCACTGCAGCATGGGCGTTATGTCTGGGATGCCCTAGATTTAGGGGTACTTTTATTTACCCTCCAAAGAAAGCCCTGCTCAAATCCTACCATCCCTGGGCAGTCTTCCTTGCTTTTCTCCAAATGGGTGTGATCTCTCCTCTACTTCTGTCATTTCCTTTCCTTATACCCTACCTTTTATTATAGGTGGTCGGAGACCCTATTTCCCACCTAGGAGGTGAGCTCATGGAACCTTAGTGACCTCCTTTTCAAGAGTATTAGAAGGCTGCCTTTTACAAAGTTAGAGGTCAATGGATGTTTCACAGAAAATAAAATATCAAGCAAATGCATCACGTAAAACACATATTCACTCATTTATGTGGGCCATACAGAGCCATGAAAACACATAATGAATTAAGTCTGAAAACATTAGCTCTATTAGTATGAAATGCATTACCTTCTGAGGGTTTAATGTGACCAAAGCATTCTTGTCCATGTCCCAGTCTCTCCTTGCAATTTCCTAATTCCAACCACCACCACTGGAAAGATGGAATAGAAAATACCAAATGACAAAAGAATTATGAAACTTACGACTTGGACTCTTATCCTGGTAGAGATGGGTGTTGAGTCAAGAAGGCATCTACCTATGAGCTTTCCTCTTTACAGAAAAGACTGTTCAAATGTCTGTTTCATTCTCTCTGTCGCTCTCTCTCTCTCCCTGCTTGCTTGTTCACCCTCCATTTTCTCCCTAATTTATAAATTCCCTAATTACCCTAACACCATACCAGGAAGTAACCTCTTCCCATACACCACTGTGGATCTCTTGGAAGGAGTGTAATTCTTGTATCACCTCCCTCTGTGGAAGTCAAAGGGCCAGAGCCAGACCCACCTTTCACAGATTCAGCATAGGCAGGGAAGGGCTGTCTCTTGGGACCTTGAACCTTATCTCAGAGTTCAAGGGGAAGAGGTCAGGCTCCAGAGTAGTGGCAACACTGTTCCAGCTGGCCTGGCTGTGGGCTTTTCTTCCCTTCCTGCTCCTGTCTTCCTGGCCCTCACACTAGTCTTGATGTCTGCCCACTTTCCCAGCTTCCCATTCTTCCCTCTGTGAGCTCCCCAGTAGCCTTCTAATAAAATTTCCCACGCTTCAGCTAACTCAAATCAGTTTCTGTTGCTAGCAGCCAATACTTCCAACCAAGAGGAGCTTCAGAAGAATTTTTTACATGCTTAGTTCCAAGCACACTGAGATGGGTTCAACCACTGCAGGCAAGAGCATTAAGCTGGTAACTAGTCTTGTTCATATTGAAAAACCAACTTCTGTAGGTGAGTGGTTGTTACTTCTGAGGAAACACCCCTTCCTGCCTGTCTGAATCCAGTGGCCTCTCCATGTCACCTGCCTATCTTGTGGGGTGTCTCCTTGCATTTAAAAGCTGACTCGAATTAAAACATTCCAACACACACATTCAACGGCTACTTCTGTTGTATCAAAGAAGGTTTTTGCATCATGTTGTCGTGGACCAATACATTCATTAAAGATAATTAGTTTGTTTCCTTTACTCCCTCACTCAATCCCCTTGGGAAAGCTCCATTACTATTACTTAACTCTCTTGGGGGACACTGAAAATGACTCCATTCCATTGGCTCTAACTAGTTAAAGTAGCCAAATCAAAGCTTCAGAGTTCCAACCCAAATATTTCTTTTTTTGGTTTGTATGCACATAATTACATATGATTTACAGTGACGCACAAAATTTCCGGAAATAAAAACAGGAATCATTGTTCAAAATTTTATTCAATCCAGAAAAAATATACCCAGCAACAGAAGACAGATGTCACGAACATGGAACATGTGAGCTTGGAAAAAGTTTGCCAAGTACATCTTTACTATCCCCTGAATTCCCATACAGGGCAGGAAAGCAAACAAGATCTTGGTGGTGCTCAGGCAGGGAAATGAAGTTCTGAGAGGGTTCGAAAACTTTTGTATTGCTCTAATAACTCCCCCTCCTGTGATCCAGTGATTAGAAATATTCCCCAGAGTAGGAAGCTCTCTAACGAAGAGAAAAACTGGAAGTAGGGGGTCCAGGTGGAGACCAAGCTATGTGGGGTCTTAGAGAAATATTCAAGGTAAGCAATGCAGTGGAAACCATAGGGCTACTATTTGGTGGAACTAGAATTGCCAAATGTCCTGAGAAGACCAAGGGATTAGTAGCTTAAGACTCGGCCTCTAGGGCAGAGGGGAAGGTAGGAGTACCATGTTGACTCCTGAGGGAAGGTCAGACAACCAAATATTGAACTGCTTATTGGAACTGAACTTGTAAACTCCTGAGGTTTCCCCACCCTGAGTAGTAAAAGCTGTGCACAATGATCAGCTCGAAACAACAGGTCATCATTGAAAGGAACCTGTGCCAAAACACCGATTGGAATTTTGTGAGGATTTATGGATAAAATCGGATTCATTCAGTTGACCCTGGGCTATATTCTTCCCTATCATCACCCTCTCAAAAAATGGGGAGATGCCCCCTACAACCACCGAGGGACAGATTGGCTTCTGTGGGTCCAGTGGAACCCTAGTCTAGAAGGAGCTCTTCATGCCCATCTGCCAATCTAAGCAGAAGGATGAGAGGCCTCTGTCTTTGTTGTGGGGCCTATAAAATGCCCTGTGCTTGGGCCCTTGCCTACCTCCTCAGCCCATGTCACACTCTCTTCCTCTCACACCTCTCATGTACCTGTCACTCGACCTTCAGCCACTTCCCAGGACTTATTCTAGTTGCCACCTTAGGATCTTTGCCTCTGCCATTCCTCTTTCTGGAATGTTCTTTCCCATGACCAATTCTTTTCTTAGCTCTCCACTTAAATGTCAACCTCCACAGAGAATACTTCCCTAGAGGCTCTCTTGAGTGGTTCCCACCTTGTTCACTTCTAGAGCAGGGGTTGGCAAATTATGGCCCAAGGGTCAAATCCAGTGAGCCATCTGCTTTTGTAAATAAAGTTTTATTGGAACACAGCTGTGCCCCTTCATTTACAAGTAGTCTGTGGCTGCTTTCACACTACAGTGGCAGAGTTGAGTGGTTGTGACAGAGACCAGATGGCCTGCAAAGCCAAAAATATTTACTATCTGGCCCTTTACTGAAAATATTGACTGACCCCTGTTCCACGGATTTCAGACATTCCATAATTATTGTTCTTTACTCTCTTATTTCCATTCAAGCCTGTATGTCCAGGAATGCAGATATCTTGTCTGTGTTATTCATGTTCTTATCCCCGGCATCCAGCACATTGCCTGGCACAAAGGCAACATACAACATAGACACTAAGCAGGGATTACCATTTCCATTTTCTAGATGGAAACACTAAGGGTGAAAGGAAGGAAATGTATCTGTGCTGGAGTGAACTCATTGTGGGGGGTGGGCTAGTATTTCTTTTGCTTTCTTTTTTTTAAAATTTTATTTAATTTTAATTTTAATTTTTATATTATACTTTAAGTTCCAGGGTACATGCGCACAACGTGCAGGTTTGTTACATATTGGCTTTTATCCAGATTGATTAACTTGACTCTTCTTTGAATGGTCTCTTTCTTCCCTTCTGTAGGTCAAGTCAAGGCCAGTGACTAGACTCTATTAAGGTACAGAATCCAGCCTTGAGACTCTCTTGTCCAAGTTTTGACTGAGACATGGATACATCATCCATGTTTTGGGTATTCACCTGTCTTTTATCAACCTGAACACTAAAATCTTGGGTACAGTAGAATGGATTTTTCTCCATTCTCCTGGGATCCACTTAAATCCCTTTAGCTTGAGTGACACTCCTGGCAAGTTTTCATGAGTAGGACAGAGGAATAATGTTCCTGAATCATGTGCTTAATTACAGTGTGTATATACGTGTGTATATATATATTTTCATTTATCCTGCCATAAGCCTTTTTTATTAATATATTTAGCCAGCATGAGGATTATTATTAGATACTCTTGTTTCTAAAACTTCATCCTAAGGATAAGGCAAGCAGGAATTTCCTTCTAAAGCAACTTACTGTTGCTACTTTTAATAATCGAAGGTTTTAGTACAGTGATTTCTCCTTAATCCTCTTGATAATCCCAGCAAAATATGGGTATCAGAAAGTGGAAGGCAACTCTCCTGCATTTTGCTGGGTATCTAAGACATGGTGCTAACGGGGTCTAGCTAAACTCAAGACCATTTCAAAACAAGAGACTAAGATGCGGGTAAACCAAGAAGCCCACACAAATCCTTCTGTGGAACCAGGAAATGAGCATCTAGTTGAAAAATGTGCCTGTTTTTCTGCCTCCATACCTTTTTCTACCATCTCAATGTTGCATTAAGATTTAGCCCTAACTAACTGAAGCATGGGATGGAGCCACAAAACACAGGCAGCAAAAGATCTTTACTGGAGTGCACCAAGAAAGCAAATCCCTTTTGTGCTGAGGATGGCACCTTTGCTGTCACCAACCCCTTCCAGCCTGAGAGAGACAAGGAGCAGGAGATAATTCCAAAAGCAAGTAAAGACCCCTGTTGGATGTAAAAAGTCAGCAGCACCAGGCACTCCTGAGGCTCCCACCCCAGGAAAGCTGGGAGAGACAGTGCGCATTTTTTCGATGGGGTACTCCTTTCACAGGCAGTCAGAGCGTAACTGCCTGTTGCCAGAAACCATTCATCAGACTCCACAGAAAAGGCTGTCAGCTCGGCCTACAGGCCCCACGCCAGCCTGTCAGGATCCAGGCTAGCAGCCAGGGTGTCAGGGGCTGCGGCTGGTAGCCAACCAGGACTTTGATGTCTAAGGGTTGGCTGGCTGGGATGTGAGGGTGGCCAATGGGCTCTGAAACCATATACCCTGCTCAGAGGTCATGGGTTCTGAAAGCAAGCTGGTCGTTAGAGTATCTCTAATAAAGATGGAGGTAGGCATTTCATATTGTTAAAAAAAATTGTTCAAATTATTTCAGTATTTGTTTTGATTTAAATTTCCATTACACATGCTTTTTATTATGCAACTCAATTAGTACATAAAAGATTTTTCTGTTTAAAATGTTTAAATGAACATAATTGTACAATTTGGAAAGATTACAATGCTTTTATTTAATTAACACTGCAATAAATACATTGCTCTGTAATGAACCCCATACTTTTAGGCCATTAGCCATTCAATAAATTTGCAATATGGAAGGTCCTTTATGGAGAAGAAGATAAATAAAGCTATTTAAACGAATGTACGACAGCTATGATGCTAAGCAGCAAATTATAGCTTTTTGCTTCTCATCTACTAGAGTTGTACCTTGATTACAAACACATGCGAGTGTAATAAACAGCATACATTTCAATTACTATTTTGAACATGAGGTACACTGGACGCTAAAGAAAAATTCTGCAGCATTGGTGCAGCTCCACTCCATGGCATCTTCCCAATGAGAAACTCTTTCAGAATTTTTCCAAAAGGTTCATCTGTTGTCTGCCTTATCAAGCCAGGTCTGGACCTGCCAGACAAAAATAATGTCCCTCACGCAGCCTCTCAGAACCGGCTGGTTCCATGGGTGATCACAGAATTAAAGCCACTCCCCTCGTGTGACACTCTCTGACAAAGGACTATCTATGACAGGTCTAGCAGCAGCAGAGGTTATGTCCAGGCCCTGCTCTCTGTCGTCTCGTCACCGTCACACACCAGTTACAAGCAAAATGATGAACCCCTCCAGTCCCATGGCCCTCAGTCCTCATCCAAACACCTTCTCCTTCCATTACTGAGCCCTGCAAGGATGGCACACACAGCTGGTGCCCAAGAGCCCAGATTTCAGATGAAGCTTAGAGAGATTAAGTGTTGGCATAGGGTCCCAGAGCCGAGGTGAGGCTATAATTTTGTCTTCTACTTAATGCACCTTATTAATATTGGTAGCTGTAATACAATAATATCAGTGACTAAAATGTATTGATATCAGAAACAAGGACTGATATTGAATGATTATTATTTCCCAGGGGTTATACTGCATTTTATAGATGAGGAAACTAAAGCTTAGATATGTGAGTAATCTGGCCCAACATCACAGGAAGTAAATGGTGGAGTCAAGCCCAAGCTATGTAGCTGCTCCCAGGATTCTATCTTCAAGTGGTAACTGGGAAGATCCCAAAGTCCTTCCTTTGGCTTACTCAGTGTTCTTTCCTTTGCTCTCCTTCATAGTCTATTCATTTTCTTTTTGGAGACAAAGAGTCTTGCTCTATCGCCCAGGCTGAAGTGCAGTGGCGCGATCTCGGCTCACTACTGCAACCTCCGCCTCCCGGGTTCAAGTGATTCTCCTGCCTCGGCGTCCCCAGTAGCTGGGATTACAGGTATGTGCCACCATGCCCACCTAACTGGGGCCTGCCTCAGATAAATTGTAAAAGAATCACAAATGGGATCTCCTTTTTAACCCTTTTCTCCCTATACATCAGGAAAGATGGCAGCCCACAACCATTCAATAGAAGCCTCCCTTGGTATTCAACCAGCCATATTTGGCTTGCATGGCAAAAAGCTTTCAGGGACGGGAAACAAAGAACATAGTGGGTGTGGAGTCAGGCCTGGTTTTAAGTCCCACCTTTGGTATCTACTAGCTGCGTGGCTTTGACCAGGCTGCTTATCCTTTCTGTGACTAATTTTTCTTAACTATAAAATGTAAATTATGATAATTCCTATCTTCATATGGTTATTCTGACATATGTATCAGATAACCAAATTTATCTAAGTTAGCTTAGTATGTAGTATATGTAGTAAATGCATAGTACCTAGCATATAAAAAATGCTTAGTAAGACTTTGGGTTCCTCCTTACAAGTTTAGAGGAAATCTAAATAACTCAACTGATCATTCAGCCAATATTTATTGAGCATCTATTGTTTTCTGGAGAGTGTTCCCAATATGTGGGATAGATGAAGTTTCTATTCCTGCTTCTGCACTACTTTATACTGTGTTTATGGGGTGGGGGTGCTCATAAAATAAATAAGTAGACAAAAACTGTAATATTTCAAGTGACAAAAATAAGGCAAGATGAAAAAGCTGCATGATAAAGATGACATGAGGGCTATGCAGAAGGTGATATTTGAATCCGGTCTGAATTCAGACAGTGGCGCACATGCCAGGGTGCCTGACACACAGCAGGAAGTCAACAATCACGCAGTTGGAGACTGAAATATGGACTGCCGAGCTCACTAACCCCAGTCATGCAGTGTGTGGCTAGATGTTCATTTCAGTGTACAAAAATTTACAATGACCTGCTGTGTGCCAGGCACTAGGGGAGACAGTGAAGTTGCCTTTAAGTTCGAGCCAGCTTGTGGACCTTCTGCATCATGGCGCTGTTGTTAAAGGGTGGCACGGTGTCCTTTTCTGGACTCCAGAACATTCCAGTACCCAGATCTCTCTTCTAAGAAGGTAAGCATGGAGTATACAAGTAAAAAGAAAGCAGGATTAGAGCCAGGTGATGGGTGTAGCAAAGGACCACTTGTCAGAGGTGAAATGCAAAATACCTGAAATGGAGGAGACATTTGACAGATTGTACTTATTTTTATTTTTTCCTTCAAAAATAAAGGCTCAGTTCCTACATGGCACCAAGTTCTAGCTAAGAACCAAGATGAAAATGATACCCTCCTTGTCCTTGAGTTCAGTCTCTTATACTCATAACCATTACCATTATATGTCTCTTCATATTTTTCCTAAAACTGATTTCCTATTTTTACTTCAATGTTATCATTATTTCCTTGTATGTGTTTATGTCATAAGCCAGAAATAATTTAAAGACTCATCCAGGATGTAACCGGACAGATGGATGGATGGATGGATAGACAGAGGGATGGACGGTCATCCAAGGCAAATCTAAGACTGCTCAGAAACCTAAGCCTTCGATTAAAACAAGAGTAGAATAGCTCAGCATTTCGATGGCTGGATGAAGCTTCTCTTCTTTTATGAAACTGATTTGCAATTGAGACTCAATTTCTTCATAAGCAGTGAAGAACTCTCATGGGTTGGGGGTAGTGTTGCCTGTAGGTTCGTATTTGGAAGCTTTCTTTTCCCCAGTAACAATCATACACTTCACACATGTCTAATGTTTTTAAAGGGCATTCATATCTCTTAGATCATGTAAATGGCAGCCCTATGTGACAGATAGGATAATTGTTTTAGTGTTTATTATAGAGTTGAGGAAACAAGTGGAAAGGCTTGCTAGAGTCTAGTAACAATCTTGGACTGGAGAAACCAGAAGATTAGAACCAAAATATCATGACAAGCAATTCAGAGCTTCTTTTCAAGGTATTAGAGGGTTGCCTTTTACATAGTCAGCGGTCAATAGATGTTTCACAGAAAAGAAAAGAACAAGTGAATGAATCACATGAAATCACATACTCATTCATTTGTTTGTGTGGACCATAGAGAGCCATTAAAAAACATACTTAATTAAGTCTGAAAGCACTTGTTACACGAGCATGAAATGCATTACCTTCTGGCAGTTTTTTGTGACCAAATCATTCTTGTCTGTGTCCCTAATCTCTCCTTCCAATTTCCTAATCCCAACCACTACCACTGGAAGGGTGGAATAGAAGACACTAAATGATACAGGAATTATGAAACTTACCACTTGGAATCTATTCTGGTAGAGATGGGAGGGGTTAAGAAAGAATCTACCTATGAGCTTTTTTCTTTACAGAAGACTGTACTAAAGCTCTCTCCTCTCTCTCTCCACATTTCTTCTTTCTCTTAATTGCTTTCTCTCTTTACTATTTTTCTTTCCATCTCATTCTCTTACTTCACTTCCTTTTCATCATTTTTTCTTTAACTTCTTTTTTGTTCTTTTGTCACTCTAGCTTTACCATGAGTCTATCACATTCTACTGCAAACAGATCTTCCGGGGTCTTATACCTGCCCTCAGCATTGTATTTCCTCATTTGCAGCATCTTAGCATGAAGCACACACATAAACCGCCCCACCCCCACCCCGCCCCCAGTCCCAGTGTCTGCCTGTAGTGGAAATCTATCATTTCCATTCATCCCTTACCCTCTTTTTGGAAAGAGCATGCCAATGCTCCTTGGAAGAACCATCTCTCCCCTGGTTTCCATGTATCCCTTCCCTTCTCCAGCTCCAGGGATCTGCACACATCTGGCAAGTGAGAGCACTCCATCCCTCAAGCTCAGTGACTGGTTCACAGATGGCCACATGAGTCAACCCAGGCCAATGAGATCAATCCCAGGATTTTTTTCTGCTGAGTTGTGAAGCTAGTGTGATGAGTCTAGAATTCATCTTTGCCACCAGTTGGAGATAGACTGCTTGAAAAAGAAACCAAACAGTGGTAAGCAGAGCTGAGGGATTATAACAGATCACTAACCATGTTATTTGAGCACCTGCATCCAGCCACGGCTGAAGCTGGACTATTTAGTCTTCTGAATTTCACAAGCCAGTAAATGACTTTCCAAAGTTAAGCCAGTTTGAAGTGTTATAATAGATTAATCTGGTACTACTCCTTAGATGCATGCCTTTGCCTTGTGAATTTACAGTTTCTCTAATAAAGAGTCAGAATCTATTTCCCCTCCCCTTGAATCTGGGCTGGCCTTGTGACTTTCCTTAGCGATTAGGATGTTAGCCAGCAAAAATAGAGGTTTGAAATGTGTTTATGTGATAGAACTTGTTCATTCACACACTTCTGTTATTGCCATGGGAATATGCCAGAGCCAGCCTGCTAGAGGATGAGAGGCACAGGGCCCAATTGCCAATGTGACCCCAGCCAATAACCAGCTGACCCCAAGACATGTGAATGAGCTCAATCAAGAACAGAAGGATCACCCAATCAAGCCCAGTATAAATTTCTTTAAAAAAATAGAGACAGAGTCTTGCCGTGTTACCCAGGCTGGTCTCAAGCTCCTGGGCTCAAGCAATCCTTCCATCTTAGCCTCCCAAAGTGTTGGGATTGCAGGTGTGAACCCCCAAAGCTGGTCAAGCAGTATAAATCTCTGACCCACAGACTCATGAGCTAAATAAATGCTTATTGTTTTAAGTCACTGAATTTTAGAGTGGTTTGTTAAACAGACAATGGTGTCAATAAATAGCTGAGAGTGTTCTTTTCCCATTATTTGCAGCCAAGGGAGTCTAAATATATTAGTGCCCATATGGGATCCCACACAGCTGCTGGTATTTCTCTCATTATCACATTTAATGTGCTCTTTTGTAATTGATATTTACCTATCTGTACATCCTTCCAAACCAGCACTGTCCAACAGAACTCTTACAAAGATAGAGACACTCTATTCTGGCATTGTCCACAATGACAGCCACTAGCTACGTGTGGCTACTGAGTACTTGAAGTGGGCCTGGTATGATTAAGAAATGGAGTTTTGAATTTCATTTAATTTGGATTAGTTTAAGTTTAAATAGCCACCTGCAGTTAGTGCCTAGCATATTGAACAGCACAGCCCTAATATCTAAACTCTTTAAAAGCAGGAGTTGTATCCATCTTGTTCATTATCACATGTCCAGGGGAAGAGATGGGGTTAATAATTTTTTATGATAAGGAAATATATTCTTCTAACTTCCTTAGGAATTTCTCACTCCCTGGTAAGTAGACCCATCAAACCTAATGAGGTAAATAACCTTAGATGTCACCAATTTTCATAAGCACCATAAACCACTCAGCAACATTTTGTCTGGGGGACAATACTATCCTGGTCACAACACCCCAAACTCCAAAGATTTAGTACTGTTATTGGCTAGTGTATTAGTCTGTTTTCACACTGCTGATAAAGACACACCCAAGACTGGGCAATTTACAAAAGAAGAGGTTTAATTGGACTTAAAGTTCCACATGGCTGGGGAAGCCTCACTATCATGGTGGAGGTCAAGGAGGAACAAGTCGCATGTTACATGGATGGCAGCAGGCAAAGGGTGCTTGTGCAGGGCAATTCCCATTTTTAAAATCATCAGATCTCTTGAGACCCATTCACTATCACAAAAACAGCACAGGAAAGACCCACCCCCATAATTCAATCATCTCCCACTTGGTCCCTCCCACAACACATGGGAATTATGGGAGCTACAAGATGAGATTTGGGTGGCGACACAGAGCCAAACCATATCAGCTAGTAAGCAAAAAGGAACTTTCTGGATAAATCCTAAGCAAACATGAAAGTACAGTTGTTCCTACCACATGTGTTTCTTTTCAATGACAAACAGACCCTAAGATGTGTCCTGCTTCTGGTTAGAGGATAACCTCCAGGAGGCCCAAAGGAGAGGGAAGCAGCAGGATTAATTCTTAAGTAGCTCAAACACCACAGGAATTAGAACTCTCAGAGAAGCACCTGCCTTAATCCCTTCCAGTGTTGGGAATATTGGAGCAGATGCCTCTACAAGTGCTCAAGGGTGTGGTACGAAGTGGCTGGGTGGAAGGAAAGATGAGAGTTAAGTTTCTAAGATAGAGTGTTCAACCTCACAGGTGACCAAAGGACCTCACAACCAGCCCAATTCCTGATTTGTGCCAGGCAAAAGCAAGAGGACTCTGAATTGCTTTCACATATCTAGAACTCTTTTTGTTCTTCCTAAGATGTTATTGGTTTTTTAGAAAGACCTTTCCATTTCTGTGATACAGAAGTAAGAGTCCAAGGTGTTAGCTGAAAACAGTGCTTACCATGTAAAAGAGGCCCGAAAAATACTTAAATAACTGCTATAAAAATAAGTACTGTTGTTTGCAATACTTCATATTAAACAATGGCCATCTCTCAAGAAGGCAGAAAGGAGGTTGAACTTACTTTTTTGTGATATTGAGTTGCCCTCTTTGTGTCTTCTGCATATATATTAGAGGCGTTATAGAAAAAATACTTTCTAAGCCATATGTTGCAAGTCATAAGTACAGGATGTTTTTCTAGCCAAATCTCATCCAACTCAGAAATGCTTTCAGGGTTCTTCAGGCTCACTTTTCATACCATGGTGTGTCTCATTATTCAAGATCAGCTGGAGCCCAGAAGTGACTCAGTCCACTTGAATCACTGAGATTTGAGGGATTTGAGCTGAGCATAAAAGGGCAAAAAATTAACTGTGGCCAAACAGAAGGTGACAAATTCTCATAAAGGAATTATATACCTTTTAAGTTTTGATTAAAGAGATGGATGCTGAATATACTCCCAGAATAATAACAACATGAATATCACTGATCACAGTACCCATATTAACAATAACTTATTGCTTAATATATGCTCAGCACTTTAATAAGTACTTTACAAGTACTCTCTCACTTGTTCTTCAAAAGAACCTTTGCATTAGGGACCATCAACATATTCAGTTAATGAACGAAGAAACTGGGGCTCAGAGATTTAAAAAAAAAAAAAAATTGTCCAAGGTCACACTCCTAGAAAGTGGGAGAGTCAAGATTCAAAGCCAGGTCCTCTGGCTAGGAGGCCCAGGCTCTCAACCACTGAGTCATAGGATTGCTGCTTGGTAACTGCCTTAAAGCCTTGGAAAGCCAAATACCGCAGCAACGTGAATCCCTAGGAAGCTTAGTCAATGTTTTCTTAACAACCCTAACTGCACCTGAAAACAAGTAAACATTAAAAACTGCGTTTTGGAGGGTTTTTTTTTTTTTTTTTTACACACCAGGAAGTCTAGACACCTGCCTTTGTATATTTTCTGGAGGGGGGAAAAATAGACTCATTGTATGAAATTTATTTCAACCATTTAGGGAGATTTTAGTAAAGATAGGTTACATTTGCTATTCAGCAGTGAGACATAAATGTTTAACACAAGGTCTTCCTCCTCACCCACCCCTCCCCTACGGATGCTTTGAATAATGCAAAGTCTGTTTTAAGCTCTGCTGATTTACTCAAGAAAAGGGTCAGAATATTTTGAAATGTTGGTCATACAATCTGGCATACGGAGCATTAAAACTTAGGGTAAAACTCAACAAGCTACTTCCTGTCTGCTGCTTCTCGAGACTTCATGGGCTCATAACACTTAATAAAAAAAATGAGCTGTAAATAATACCTGATTTAAACTGCATGTCTCATTAAATGAACTAGACATTTGGAAGATCTTTTCATTCTTGCCGGAGAGTATATAAGCCTTTTGTGCATAATATGTTAACTTCCTGCTCTTTGAGGACTATGTGCTAGACACTTCACTCTTGGCTTGATTCCGATGGACTGATTGATAGTCAAACATCTTTGATCCACAAAACTGCAATTTCATATGGTCTACCTAACAAATGCTTTACATGTTTTATCTTCTAATCCTTACAACAACTGGTAAGGTAAGTCCTCTTACTCTTCCAAGTTCATTCATATATCAACTCCAGGAGGACAGAAACTCATGGGCTTTATCACTGCCAAGTCTTAAGTGCTTAAAATGGGACCTAGCATATAGTAGGTGCTCATTAATTATTGGATGAATCACTATATGCATGGATGGATGGATGAATGGGTGGATGAATGAATGGATGGATGGATGAGTGGGTGGATGAACATGTGAATGAATGGATGGATGGGTGGGTGGGTGGGTGGGTGGGTGGATGGATGGATGGATGGATGGATGGATGGACGGATGAGTGGGTGGATGGATGGATGAGTGGGTGGATGAATAGCTGAATGGATGGATGGATGAGTAGGTGGGTGGGTGGCTGGGTGAATGGGCGGTTGGTAGGTAGGTGGGTGAATAGATGGACAGATGGATGAATGGGTGGATAGATGGGAAACTAAAGCCTAGGTAGATCATTCAGCAAGAAATTGGCCAAGCCAGGCTTTGAACCCAGGTCTGCATGTTCCTGTGATTGTCCTGCAAAGCCTTTCATTCACTAAGCATGCAACCGGTTAAAGAGAGAATGCACCAATTGCAACTCTCATTTCTAGTCCCATGACCTTTCTCTAAAAGTCACTCCCTGTGTATGTGGGCAGAGGAAGAACCTGGGACATCCTGTGGCAACACAGCCAACTGTCTGCTCAGGCCTTTCCAGGCCCTAGATATTTGGGTCAAGAGGGACAGCAGAGGGGCAACCGTGCTGCAAAGAGTTTCAAATGCCCTTGATACTGAAAAGATGGGAAGGGCGTGGGAATAGCCAGAGGTTACATGGAAGGACAAACATCACAACTGGAGGAGACTGAGGTGGAGAGGAGGCCTGAGATTGCACGTGCAGACCTGTGGAACTGTTTCCACATTATCCACATCAGGCTGCAATGCTTCATTAAGTGGGGCCCCCAAGGGTTAACCAGGAAGGTGGAGGGGACAGAACAGAGCAGGGGAAAATAAATCTTGAGGAGGAGGAAGAAGGGGAAGAAACTCGGGCTGGAATCACTTTGTTTTATGAATAGTTTATGAGGCGTATCAGGAGTCACCCTAACGGGCAAGGGCTGGAATGTTTTCTAACTTTAAAGTGAAAGCCGCCCACCAGGCTGCGAGAGTGGGAGCGGCAAAATATGAAAAACACGGAGGCCCCTCTCTGCACTGCCCATCTATCTTGTAAACCATGGATCTCCAAGGCGCATATACTAGCAAATGTGTCTCACTTGGGATGCTAAAACCAC
The DNA here is from genome assembly GCF_000001405.40 of Homo sapiens. NCBI lineage: Eukaryota > Metazoa > Chordata > Mammalia > Primates > Hominidae > Homo > Homo sapiens. The sequence goes on from NC_000003.12 coordinate 55,332,641, forward strand.
CTTGGAGTTTTACACAGCCACTGTGCCCAGCTAAATGTTTTCAGGCGACTTCTCTCTTGCCTGGAAAAGTATCATGGGTGGACCCTGCGGCTGAGGAGACATTTGGAGGGGAGGACCACAGAGCCGGGTGTGGCACGGGGTGGTGGGGGGGCAGTGCTTACATCTACACCAACTGCATATACACTGGTCACCATGGAGCAAGGAGGAAGTACAGCCAGGACTAGGTGGTCTTGCTGTGGAGCTAAAGAACACACAAGAAGCCTCAGAAAGAAATCTTTATTTGTCCAAATGAGCTTGATGCCTTTAGCAGTTCTCTCTCCACCCACAGGCAAAGCCACAGGCGCCCCATAAACTGACCCCACTATCCAAGGCCTTGGGGAAACATTTCCTCCATGCCTTCCCCAACCCCTGGACTCCAGGTCTCAGGATGGAGCCCCACACCTCCGTGGTTGACCTGCCTTTGTCTAGGCTGCTCCTATGCCCTTGCCCATCCCTACAACTTATCCCAGCAACATCCCTTGGGTTCTTGAGGCCAATGTCCAAGATTCCCCTTTGCCCCACTGTCCAGGCAGTGTCTGTGCTCACACTCACTTCTGGATTCAAGCCACGGTCTGACCCTGAGCCTCCTGCTTGCTTGGAATGTGAATTCAGACTTTAGTCAGCAGGCTAATGCAAGGGACACCGCTGGTGCACAGGCTGCAGATTAAGGGCGGGGAGACATCCCATTATTGGGTGCACATTCTCAGCCTCCACCCTAACACACTGCCCTCTCCTCTTCCATTCACAAGCCCTGAAAATCTGGCTTTCCAAGACATCCCCCTACCCAAGCTGCTCTAACTCAGTGGAAATTCAAGCCAACGTTTCTTCTTGATAAGGTTTTCTCTTATGCTGAGTTGAAAAGGTTTTTGTCTTTTTTTTCCCCCTTCCAGAAAGGTTGGAGAGTTATTCGGAAGGTCTAGTATGTGCTGGTGTCCTTGCAATCACACCTGCTCTGCCTCAGAACATGCTGTTCTTTATGTTGGGGTAGAGTCTGTATATCTACTTGAGAAGACCCTGCTACCCTCTGGCACTCTCATGGCTCATCCTGGAATACGAACTATTCCTCATAGGAAATGGATAATACAATATCAGTGAAGATATTAAACATAGCACCTGGCCAGGAAATTCATGGTGTCCAATGAATGAAGCTTGTTTCTTTGCTTCATTCATTCATTCATTCATTTGAAATTAATTAGTGCCTGCCATGTATCAAAACATGGTCAAAGTCCTCAGAGTTCACAGTTTAGTGAGGGGAGAGAAGCAATACAGAAACCCATAAATAGATGAACATGATCATTTAACATAGTAGCAAGGCTATGGAGACAATACTGGAATTGAGAGTGAAAAGCAGACTTAGAAGGATGGAAGTGTGGTGGAGATCTATGTATAACCCCCCACAGAGAGCAAAGCAAGGTTAAGCAACCCTACTATCTGGAAGTTTTCTCCAAACCCAACAGATTCCTAAAGAGTTAGTCTGAGCTCTGAGAAAGAAAAAAGTAAGAACCCTTTTTCTAAACAGGGCTGGTCTGACTGTACAAAAGCCATTCTACTACAAAGACTAAACCCAGGTTCTGATGTTGGCATTTCAGTGTGAGGAAAGAAAGATTCCTGGCTGGAAGCAGCAGCAAAGGTCACTAAATGAGAGAGTGCATGGGTGGGAACACCCAGTCAACTGGGCTTGAACACATAGAAGATGGTGGTGAGAGGGAAAATTCCCTTCTGACTAGTTCTAGGCCTGGACAATGGGACCATCCACAGCAGCTGTTGGGCACCTTCCTAAGGTGGAGAATCCAATAGCTCCCCATTGAAGCCAAAAGACACATCGATCCTCGTGGGCAGGTGCTGCAAGTCATAAGCTTAGGAATTTGGGGGCTATGGTCAAGTCTCTCAAGGCATTCCTATTTGCATCCTACTTTAGGTAACTGTGGGTGCCACGTGGTCAAATACTGCAGGGGATGGGGGTTGGAGCAAAGCAGGGCGATGCCTGGGAAGTGTAAAAACGAATCCTTGGCTAGTGTCAAGGGAGTTGGCCTGGCCTCAGGTGAAAGAGGCTGAGAGGTTGTTAAGGTCATACCTCTCTGTGTATTATACAAGTCTGTGCCCCTAATGAAAATTCCATTTCTTCTAAATAGGCTAATTGAAGGACCTCTTCTTTGAAAAGGCCAGTCTGTGTTCTAAAAAGGGCTTAATGAGGACACGGTTATGACAAACCTCTTAAGAGACAGAGCAGAGAGATTTATAAAAACCTACAGAAAAATAGCAGGTAGTCAGGCCACTTTAGGAGGAGGGAGCACTAAGGAACCTACAGTACTGGAAGAAATAAATGGGAATGCTGAGAATAGGAGGGTGGGCTTCTAAATAAGTATACAGGCTGAGAGCAGGTAATCAAATGAACAGTTACAGTATTACAATGGCAGCCTATGGCATTTGTTAGCACTGGGTACCTGGTGCTAGGTAACGTGCTCATGTCAGTCCTTGAAGAGAGGTGTTATGATTTTCATGATTCTTCTAGAAGGAAAAACTGACTTTCAGGCAATTTGAGGAACCCCCCCCCAAGACTTAAGATTTCACAGCTGTTAGACAATGCAGACACATATAGACCCAGAACACCTGGCATTGCACATCCAATAGGGCATTGCCCCATCCAGTGAAATCTGGTGACCACTTATGCCAGAATCACAGAAGGGCCTAATAGATTGGCCTTTCCTAGGCTTTGGTGGACATGCAGAATCAAAATCTGCATGTGGCCCCTGGAGATCCACGTTCCAAAAGCTCCTTGGGTGATATTGAAACACACTCTTGTTTAAGAACCAGGCAGTTAGGGGCAGTGAGTAGATTGGGTTGTTTGGAACAGAGGGTTTCTAAGAATCCAGGGGCTTGAGATCTACAGGAATTTTTTTTTTAATCAGCACTTCCAGAAGAGATGAGGGACAAAGCCCACTCTGTAGAGTGCTGGGAGGACTCCATCTATGCACAATGTTAATGGTTATTGATCTGGATGTGATGGAGTAAACCTGCTGCATCCTGCCTTCCTCAGGTACCTGGTTTAGCACACTGAAGTCAGGAGGGAGACTGGAAAGAACTGTGTACAGATGAATGCAGAAGATCCCAGCTTCTCAGAATGAAGATCGTGAACTCAACAGATTTTAGCTTCAGGGAGCAGAAAGTAGAAATGGAGATGGGGCCAGGGACCCAGGAGTGCCTACTCCAAAGGTTGGCCATGGTCCTGTGATAGTCCCATACAACTTCCAAGGTCTAAAATCAGCGTCTCCATGGTAGAGTTGTCACTGATGAAATAACAGCATTACCTGTCAGGAAGAGAGGCCCAAATATTTTCCATGGTCCTGAGGACTCATTCTGAGAAAGGCAAGCTACTGAAAGGGCTTCTCCAATTCCTGGCATTTTCTTATTCCCAGGCCCTGATGACAGAGGGGTCTTGGCCCTGAATCTGCCCTTGTGAGTCCTGCACAATGTCCTTTGTGCCACTGGCTTCATCAAAGAACTGAGCCTCCACCAAGCGGCTGTAATCTGAAGGCAGAAGGTACAGTGGGGGTGAAAAGGAAGTGAGCTTTCATCTTCCTACGGAGGGATGCCTATACTTTGCTCCCACTGGCCCTTCTGTTGGACTTTGGATGGAATAGTGGGGCATTGTTGGGGACAGTCTGCCACCACCCAGCCCCCATGGGCCAAGGGCTGGGAGGCTTCTGCACATACACTCTTTGGCACTAGTCAACAGGCCCCCAAGCTGCAGCCCTGTGAAGGCCCCTCCATAAGGGTTTGGAGGGCTGATGGTGGCAGGGCAAGTATCCTTTCTGGAGGAGGAGGAAGCAGGACCTGCAGGCCCTCACCCCTGTCCTTGAAACACGGAGGCTCTTTTCCTGGTTTGCCTAGTTGGAAGGGAACATCCCAGTTTGCAGGAGACATTTTGCAGGCTTGGCCACAGACATACTTTTACACCTGGTTGTATAAAATATGCAACATTGCAGAGGAGTTCTAGCCAGAGCACTTCAGTGACAAACTGGCACAGGGACACACACAGTCAGGCACACTCATGCACCCTGCCCTCAAGGGGCGTTCCATGTGACACAGGCCAGTTAGACGCAGGATGTGCAGACCAGACAGACACAGACCCAACGGTGAGACTGAATGTTTATTGGTGGGATGAGGTGTGTGCAGGTCACTCTGCAGGACCCAGTGCTGGTGTGGGCATTTGGTGGAACAGCCTGCTGAAGGAGGGGCAGATTTCCCCAGATCTGGTCCCAGCCCCTTGGTAGGCACACTCTAGCTGCAATACATTAACAGAGGAGAATGCAATGAGTTCTCCAAACTACTCTGCTAAAATGCCTCAGCCCATAACCAGGCTCAAATATTTGTCCACTTGGACTCAGTTAATTCTGCAGTGCAGCAAACTGCCCAACAGATGTTTTTCAGATGCAGCCTCCTCTCATTATATAGGGTGCACTAATCTCCCCTAAGAGGCTGAAACCATCCTTAAAAATAAGTGTGTGTATATGCGTGCATGCATGTGTGTGTGAATGAAGGGGAGAAAGAGGCAGAGAGAGAAACAGAGGCACAAAGACAGAAGGATGGACACTCACCACACTGATCTTCCCAGAAATGGCCCACACTCTAACAAATCCAGCACAGCAAATTGAGGCATTTCCAAGGAAAGAAGCACATGTGGTCACCACAGAAACAAAGCTGCACACAGCAGGGTTAATCTTCGTGCAGCACACCTGCAACTTCTCCACAGCAGGTGGTGTTGTTTGGTTTTGCATACCCATCCCCAAACAGCATTTGAATTAATATAAACGTATCCTAGCTGGTCTTTATGGCAACAGCAGCAATATGGTGGGAGGGACCTGCTCAGATGGAGGTTGGCATAATGCCTCCTTTGTGTCATCCTTCCCAAGGGAACAGGGATGGCAAGGCCATCCAAGAGGGCCCTGGGATGGTCCCCCAGTCCATCGGTGGCCTGCACTTGGGTAAGATAGGCGCAGGGGACAGGGGTGTGGTCAGTGACTCTGTGGCTGTAACACATGCGAGGCAAGTGGGCTTTAGAGTGACAGAAGTGTAAGGATGGCCAAAAGGAGCTTTGCTTCTTGCCAAAAGTGATGCGTTCAAATAAAAGCAGAAAGAACCTGCAGGGGGCAGGGGCGCTGGGCAGAGTTGGTGTGGGAGTAGACCGACTGCAAACCCAGGAGGAAAGCAAATGTTTCCATCAGCAGGGATGAGGAGGAAAACTTGGCATGGAAAAATACAAGCTTAGTGATAACCAGCTTATGAGTTTTTGCCGTGGCTGCAGAAGAGGGAGGTAGCAGCGATAAGGCTACAGACTGTAATGTTTGCTTATGAACGAATGAAGATGGCTAAGCTGCGTGTGCAGCTGAGCTCCTCTCTTCCACTGGACACAGAAGATCCTAGGGCTACACAATGAGTAAGGCAGACATGTAATCTCCCTTCCCTCTTCTGTTTTTGACAAGTGAGAAAGCTTTACAGAAGCACACATTTCAGACAGTGGAAAAAAAAAAAGTATGGTATAGCCTCAGGATCCAGAGTTATGGCTTCTACCACCATATCCATCTGCACCAAATAAACTTAAAAAACACATTCCGTTCAGTTCACAGAAGCAATGGGAACCATAGCTTTCTCTCAATCCAGTGGCCTTACAAAAAAGTTAGCTAGTAAAGTGGTCAGTGGCCTTATTAGTAAAGAGTTCCTTTAGGGCATAGACTCCTTTCACTAGCAATTTTGTATATACACTTGTAAGAATATTAAGGTAAGTGAATATCAGAAAAGGATCAACTGGTCAAAGAAATGGTGTGCTAAGCTTTAGGATCATTTTGATAAGAAGTACAGAGGGATTGGGAATGTGGGGTAGAAGGTGTATTTACTTCAGGGATGTGTGCCCAGGTGGTGGTGGTCAATGAAGGCTTCCCACAGGAAGTGAGATGTAGCTCAGTCCTAAAGGATAAGTGGGTTTACCGAGTAAAACTCAGGGGAAGGAAGTGGGTTCAGTTTTGACATAAAAGGAAGTATTCCAGGTGGAGGGGGAATTGGACAGCCAAAGGCTCCAAGATCTCAGAGAACATGGTATGTTGAAGAAAGAACTGAAGGAAGTTCAACGAAGGGAGGTGGCAGCGACGCTGAGAGGTGAAGGTAGACCAGGTTCTAAAGGGCGCTGTCGGCTATCCTAAGGCATCCGGACCTAGTCCCAAGAGAAGGAAATGACTTTTCTAGCTTCACTGGTAGCGATGGAGATTGAAGGTGTTCCAAGTAGGCTGCATGAATGGCCTTGGAGAGGAGGTTACCAAGCTAGAGGAAGGTGGAATTATCTAAAATCATGATTTCCTCTACCCTTTCACACTGGCTGTCAAAAGATAGAACTTTAGGCCAAAGAAAAACGGACCAATTGCCTGAAGGGTTGTTAAGTGGCTGGCATTTTTTGTCCATTTCATTTTTGGGAGCACTGCAGGAGAGGGAAAGGATTTATGCTGGAGAGGAGGCATGGGTCCCCGGGAATTGCAGGTGGATGCTGTCTTGTGTAATAATGTGGAATACCTGGCAGGGTGGCTGAAAGTGTGTGTGATCAATGGATTGATGAGAGTGGCAGCTTTTGGGCAGACAGGCTGGCTCTTTCTGAGCTCTATTCAATCTCACTTTAGGGGGTGCCAAGAGGCAGCAATGCTGAGGTTTTTTTGTGGCTTAATGGTAGATTTCTTGATCCTTTCTCTCCCATTCCCTCTGCTGACTCGGATACAGGCCTTATAGACTAAATGGAAAATTATGGTGGGGAGTGAAGGTCACCTTAAAGTATGTGCCTCATCATTAACAAGCCTTGGGCCAAAAGGGTGAAATTCTAACTCAAAATCTGGAGTCCCAGCTATCTGCATTGCAATCTCAGCATTGCCCCTTCCCAACTACGTGACCCTGGGCTATTTACCTCACATCCTCATCTATGAGATAACTGCAGATTATCATTATGCTACTTCAAAGGGTTGTGTATGGTGAGGGTCAAATTTGATAAGGCATATGAAATGTTTAGCACAGGGCCTAGCACAGTTCACACTAAATAAGTGATCGTTGCTGTTAATTTTAATACTAATACAACTATTACTAGTAGTAGTAGTAGTGTTAGTGTTAAAATCTTCAGGGCATCTTAAGGCTGGGGAGACCCACGTTTACTAATAACTAGAATTTTGGCTGCCCAAGAAAATGCTGATATGAACCATCACACATTTTGCCTACAGGACGCCAAGAGAAATTACAAAGCCACTGTAAAACCACATGCCAGTCACATGGGCAATCAACACCAATAGGAGGGGTGAGGCTGCCAAAGCTTGAGTTCAGTTTTCACTTTCTAACTAGTGGCGGTGGTGGTATTAGGGGGCAGTGTGAGATAGAGAGTTGTGTGAAGTGGTATAAATAGAATACGTCTTTTCATAAATCCTGGGCAACCACATGCTATAATGAATGACAGAATAAAAAGGAGCCACACAGGGAGGTGGGGGAGTTGTCTTCCCAAACACATCAACATAAAGCACTTTCCACACATTTCAGCACCCGGTGAGATCTTTACGTGCTGGGAACTCCACATACTTTGTGTGTCATGAGACAAGAGTAAAGATAGGACTTTTATAGGCTTTGGCTTCCTGAGTATTTATAATGTTGTACCAATTAGGCGGCTGAGAACCCAAAATCATGAAAGAGTCCACCTAAGAATCGGTGCCCTGGAACAGCCTGCAGAAAAGCTTGTTCCAAATGCCACAAGCAGGAAGGTATTGTGCAGTCCAACTTTTAAACACATAAGGCTACCTACAGTTTCCATGTGTGACTTTACCAAACTGGGTTCATGCCATGCATGCTACTAGAGGTCTTTTCTACTTGAAAATGTATCTTGGAGAATGGGATGGTTAATTTGATGTGTCAAGCTGACTGGACTAAGGGATGCCCAGATAGCTGGTAAAACATTATATGTGGGTGTGACCATGAGGCACTACTAACACTACGCTCATTTCTAGATGAGATTAGCAGTTGAATCAGTAGACTGAGTAAAGATCCCTCTCACCAACATGAGTGGGCATCATCTATCCATTAAGGGCCCAAATAGAACAAAAAAGGCAGGAAAAGGGAGAATCTACTCTCTGTTTGAGCTGGGAAATCCATCTTTTCCTGCCTTCACACTTCGTCCTGGTTCTCAAGCTTTTGGACTTGGACTTTGGACTGAATTACACCACTGGCTTTCCTGATTCTCCAGCTTGTAAGTGGCATACTGTGGTACTTCTTGGCCTCCATGACTGCATGAGCCAATTCCAATTCTATTGGTCCTGTTTCTCTGGAGGACCCGACTAATACAGAGAGTCTTGCATATCAATAAGTGTAAAGAATCTTCTTATTTTAGATCTACAGAGGGATCTATTGTAGGATGCAAACATTTTTTGCCTAAATGTAAGTCATTACCTACTGTTTCATTCTGGATGAGGCTAAATTATGTTGCAGTAACAACTCCAAAACCCTAGTGGTTTACCATAGTCAAGGGTAGGCACCCATCTCAGGTTGTGCTATTTTGCCTACTTGCTCTCCAGAAAGATTATGTCAATCTATAATCCCAATGATGATGCAGGAAGCCTCACACTCCTATGCTTTAGGAAAGACCAGCAAGAGTGGGTCAATAAAAAGCAAGGCCCTGGCAGAGCCATTTGGTTGATGTCCCCTCCTCTGTTCCTCAGCCTCATGTCATATCTTCTTCCCATCCACAGAATCTTAGACATTCTTTAAAGAATGCCTCTTTGCAGACACTGGCTTTCTTGTTAATTATTCTGTGTCATGTTGGTTCCAAACTCATGGGCTTATGAGGGATGATTCCCAGACAAAATGCAAGCTCTTCAACTCCATCCCCCCGCACCATGCAAATATGTGCCTCTTGTAGCCAGCAAGACTTTTATTTTCATAACTTAGTCATTAGCTCTGTGCAAAACTATGAGTGGAGAAGATGAAGAGGAAGAAGCGGGAGGAAAAGATGACAAAGAGAACATTCTTCAGAAATCACCTCCTTTCATTCTGAAGTTTTAATCATCCCTGATGACTTTTATCTTAAAAAAAAAAATACTGCCTCAGAACAGATGTTCCCAGCCTCATTTGACCTGCACATGGCCATGGGATAAGACAAAATGCAGGGTCTAGGCTACTGAAGAGCCATAAGGAAATCATTTTACCAACAGATAGCATCTGTCCACATCAGTGCTTGGGATGCCCCAGCAACAGTGACATTCTCCAGGAACATACAGACATAGACTTGTGTTTTCCAGTGGTCGTGGCAACTGATGTTCCTCTGCTGTGTTTCTTCCAACTGCTGCCAAAGCTCCTCTGACTGGGGCTGGTAGGAATCTCACGACTACAGCTGACCCTCACTTTCCCTTGTAATGGCCTTCACGTCCCCTGTAATCAGAGTACATGGGTTTGAACCCCAATTTATTAGGGGCCAAGGAGCGTAGACGGAAAGAAACTAGGGCTCCAACCTCAGCTCCTCTGCTTCTTAATGGTGAACTCAGTGAGTTATTCTTCCTGAATTACACTCTAAAAATGATGGGTGACAGAAGCTCTCCTGCTGAGATGTTATACAAATTAAATGAAGTTATAATGTAAAGCTCACTTAAGATGTGATATTCTGAATGTACCTGACACAGAGCATAGCATTGAACAATTTTTAATTATCTCAATGTCTTACTGTGTCCACTGTCTCTACTCTAAGCCTGGCATATCACTTCACCCCAAAACAAATATAATTGACTCCTACAGGCTTCCCCTCTTGCCTCTTGAATTCCACACTGCACACCCAGTGGAGACATCTGTCATGCATTCATTCATTCGGTTTTATTCTATGGGAGCCCATCTAGCCTATTAACTGGCATCTGGAAGGTCTAGCTTAGTGTCCTAGACCCCTGAGTTATCCAATGTGTAACCTTGGGGAAGTTACTGAGACCCATCAGCCTCAGTTTCCTCATCTGTAAAACAGGAATAATAAGATCTACCCTATGAGAAAGTGATTTTAAAATCTAAGTTTGCATAAAATCTATATAGGAAGCTGTTTAAATGAAGATTCTTGGGCCCTGCACATTCAGCAAGATCTGGGGAGTGCCCAGATAACTTTATTTGTAATCAACCCTCCATGTGACTTACCTGTCATACTTTGAGAAGCCTGCTATGAAGATGGAATTGGATTTTTTCCTGTCAAGGGAAAACTACAGTGCCTAGCACATAGTAGGTACTTTACTAGTAAATGTAGCATTCTACAGATCTTTGGACCAATCAAAACTGCTTTACTATGTTCTAGGCACTGTGGTAGATGCTAGGACACATCGGTGACCCAGAGAGATGCAGTTCTGCCATGGAGTCTAGGAGGGCAAGCAGACAAGTATCAGAATACTTGAACAAGTATCCTAAGTACTATGAACAAAGAAACACACGGTACTCTAAATCACTGGGAAAATGATTCCGACTTTATACTTCCCCCGAAAAGCCCCCATCACTCCCACTCTCAACCTTAAGACCCACTTCCTGATCCACGCAGGCAGTGGTGTGCTAGAGCCAGCGCATACCAGCTAGGAAAGGCTGATTGTTTAATATTCAAGAATTTTGTGAGCTGAGTGACTTCCTGTTGTTAACTTGCAATTACCCATATTGGGAATCTTTACACCACAGAAATCCACAAACGCTGCAAATCAGAGTTCTCTTTCCAACTCCAAGAGCCAGTTATTAAACATGTGTTAGCACCCCACAGCATATAGGTTATCTTGCCACCCCTTCCCTGTTCTTTGCCTTTTTCCCACAATATTTGTACTGGTTTGAACTCTACTCACACCTCCAAATCCAAAACTGTCTTGGAACCACTCAGATGAAATCTCATGCCATGTTTAGATTCTTTCCCTGGGAGAGTGGTTGAATGCCAGGTCACCAGTCCCACTGGCAAGGATGCTCATCTTCATAATGAATTCCACCTGCTGGGCACACCCACTGCCTCTTGGTGGATAAAGGAGGGAAATTTCCCCTCAAGTAAAAATGACATCTTCTGGAATTTTTCTCATCTCTCTGAAGTCAACTGCCTAACTCCCTCCACCACTGCATTGGTCTCTTGGGTCATGATGGCAGAACAAGCTGTTTCTAACAGTCCCTTCAACAGGGGTGATATCACCAGCCAGGTATGTCCCTGAACCCTGGGAGGGAGGAATGGTCAGCTTTGGTAGCCCCTGCATGAGGTCTTCTAATCAGATCACTGGTTGGCCCCACTATGGGAAATTCTTTTCTCTTGTACAGAACATTCTCTCCTTCCCAGATTCCCTCTGATAAAAACTCAAAAGGAGACATGCCAGGCCAGAGAATTTAAACAGAAGGGCCTTAGACAATTTATCTCACACTTCAGCAACTTTGCAGTTTATATTTGTAAACCTCACTTATTTACTTGTCCTGTTTTTGTTAAAGTAAACTCATTTGGAGTCACCACATAAAAGGGTTTTGTTTACATGGCCTCTGCCTTCAGTTTAGATTCCTGGTTTAGTCTATTAAAATGAGCCTGATCTTATTCTCCCAAAGAATAAGGAAACTCTAAATAAAGTTTTGAGTCTTCCAGACATAGATACCAGCCCTAAGATTTTGTACCAAATGCTCAGAGTGTGGCAAGAGAAGGGTGGGGAGGCAAATAAGGAATTTGTGAGAGGCCCAGAACTGGAGTCTTTAGAAATCAGTCTTGACTGGGCTCTGGAGGTTAGGATTTGGGGCTTGTCAAAGCTTTCTGGCCCAGAAACAATGACAGGCTTCCTTCAGGATGGAGCTGTGAGTTTGTGACTTGTGTTCTTTCAGTGGGGTCAAAGGAGGGTTCTCAGAATCTCACTTCCTCCCTGTTACCTAATATTCAACACCCCCCAGAGTCAGTGCTTCATCACATGCTTGCTGGAGAGGGTCTTAATCCTACGCAAAGGTCAAAAGAAGGCTGATTGGCATTCTATCACTTGCTCCTACCTCCCTTGGGGGTGTGTGTGAGTGTGAGAGAATGTGTGTGTGAGAGAGAGAGAGAGTACGTTTGTGTGTGTGTGTGTGTCTGTGTCTGTGTGAGAGTGTGTGTGTGCAGGATGTCTCTCTGGAGCCTCAGGGGCAGAGATCACTGCCATGGGAATTGCCATTTACATGAATGGGCAACTGGAGATAACTGGTTTATTTTTCTCCTCTCCCTCTGGCTTTATTCATTGGTCTGGGTGATGAGAAGATAAGCCACCTCTTAGGGAAAGAGTTAAACAGAAGAGACTCAAGAGCCATGAGAACTTGCTGATGAGTCTTTCTTCAAGCTTTGAGACTCCTTCTGTGGAATCTTTGGGGCACCTTCTCCCAAACACCATTTTTTCTGCTTTTCACATGGCTAAGTGCAACTCACGGGTAAGGACCTCTGTGCAGAGGAGCTTGGGAAAGGGACTGCTCTGTAAGCAGCCCCTTGTTGGGGACGGGGGAAGAGTTCATGGACAACAATCAATAGGGGAACTTAAGAAAGTATGATGATCTATTTTATGGAGCATTATATGACAGTTAAAAAGAATCAGACCCATCTGAGTATACTGAAAGAGAAAGGTCTCTGGGACATACAGTTCATTTCAAAAGAATACATGCAACACAATGTCATTTATATTACAAACAAGAACAGACTCAAATTCCAAGGGCATTGTGCTGAGTGGAAAAAAACAAGCTTAAAAGATCAAATATTGTATGATTTCATTTATGTAACATTCTCAAAACGACAAAACTATAAAGATAGAGAACAGATTAGTGGTTGGTTGGGTGAGAGAGTTGTGGAATGGAGAGAAGAGTATAAAGGGATAGGTGATGGAATAATCTGTTGATGGAATAATCCTGTATCCTGATTGTGGTGGTGGTTATACAAGTCTACATATGTGATAAAATGGCATAGAACTATATACCCACATTTTACCAATGTAACTCCCGGTTTTGATATTGTATAGTTACATAAGATGTAATCACTGGGGGAAACTGGGTGAAGGGTACAAGGGATCTCGTTCTACTATTTTTGCAACTTCTTGTGAATCTGTAAATATTTCACAATAAAAGGTAAAAGTCCCAAAACAATGCCATATATTTCTATAGATATATTTGTAAGTAAATGAAAACAAAATAAAAACTGAAAAGATGTACACCACACCAATTGCTGTGATCATGTTGTCATTAGGAGAGTATTTGGAATTAAGGGCTGGTCAAAGGGTGCTTAGCCTTATCTGTAATGAGAGATACTTTTTCAACAGAAATGCATTTGAGTATTTTCTGCATAGTTAACAGAAAGTACTATTAACTTTGTAGAGTCAGCCAGAATCAACAAACATTGACTGATCATTTACTATGCGCTAAACACTGGGGCTGGAGTAGTGAAAAGCCAGCTGCAGTCCCTGTCCTCATGGAAGGATGCCCCAAGCTATGCAAACAGCCATTAAGCAGATGGTCACACCTGTGATGGTTGCCAGGCCCAAGAAGCATCATGAGCTGTGAAAACGTGGAGCAGGGAACCTAGAATTTATTTCTGTGCCTCCACAGCCAGCCTGTTCCCAGCAGCTACTCACTCAGTCACTCATCAAATGTTTGCTGTGCCTTGTTGGACCACCCTGAGGAGGTGGAGATGAATGAAAGAGCTTCCTGCCTCAATTAACAGAGAGCACATTTAAGAGATTGACCATTTATCAGTCTAGGCAATGCATCTGCCTTGGGGTGAGACTTCTAAAAGATGAGGGAAGCAGGCTGAACCTCTAGGACCTGGGAGAATGATGACAAGGCAGTCATGTGCTGGAGCCAGCCAAAAAGACTCACAAGAGCCCATTGTGGGCTCCTCTGGAATTCTGTGAATCAAGTATTAAACATAGTCATTATTAAAAATTAACTTTTGGCCGGGCACGGTGGCTCACGCCTGTAATCCCAGCACTTTGGGAGGCCGAGGCGGGCGGATCACGAGGTCAGCAGATCGAGACCATCCTGGCTAACACGGTGAAACCCCGTCTCTACTAAAAATACAAAAAATTAGCCAGGCGAGGTGGCAGGCGCCTGTAGTCCCAGCTACTCGGGAGGCTGAGGCAGGAGAATGGCGTGAACCCCAGGGGGCGGAGCCTGCAGTGAGCCGAGATTGCGCCACTGCACTCCAGCCTGGGCGACAGCGAGACTCTGTCTCAACAACAACAACAACAAAAAATTAACTTTTATATATATACTTAAATAACTTATATTAAATACAAAGATAAATGCTAAAGAGCCATCCCTTTCTAAGTATTTTACTACATTTTGCTGTTACCTATATTCTTGAGGTTATTTACATCTTTAGCATCTGTACAGTGAAAAGACTTATAATAGTGGGCTACTGTGTAGCTCTACCCAACTCCAAGTTCAATGGTGTCATGCTAGTAGCTTGAAACTAATCATGGTGGGAGCATTTACGCCACAGATACTAGCAAATGCCAGGAGTCTTTACCCCACCCCCAAAAAGTTAGTTGTTAAACACTTGGCCAGATCCCTATTGCCTTCTTGGACCCAGGGTACATTCTGTGGAGGGTATCTTGAGTCCGAACTGTTGAAATATTCATGTACGTTTCGGATCTTCTCCTTTAGTGCTGAGCACTGGGCCAGGAACACAGCAATTGTTCAAGAGCTCATTAATGGGCAGGAAAGAAAAAAGCCAGACACCAGATATTCCCCTCATTCTTTCTAGTGGCTTCAAATAATACCTTGTGTTCCTCTTGCAGGTAATATCCTTTTGCCCTTCATCTTTCTTTTCCCTGGTGGCAGGATGCAGACATAAATTCTTTAGGACCCTAAGACAGATCTCTTGAAACTTGATGCAGATGTTACCAACCATGGCTTGCTGGCCATGTCTTGAGCAGGGACTCCCACCTGAGCCAGCTGGTGACACCCAGGGTTTGCACCCTAGCACGGATGACTCCCAGTTATGACTTTATCTCAGCTTCTGCCACAGATCCCCCCTCTCTCAGCTACTCTGCTTCTCCTTTTGTAAACCCACTGCCCAGTCCTTGGCATGTAGGACAGATGCTCCCTTCTCCTGCTCACAGATCTCTCTTCTGCCAGCTTCCCAGGATCCCTGCATCTCCACTGTTTAACCTCTTTAAGTTAATACAATATTTTTCAAACTTTATTTAATTATTCTATGGTGGCCCACACAAAACTGACAAGGACTGAGTTGGTGTAACTAAAATGAGACTTGAGCACATGGGCTGTTTACATAGACTCTACCATGTGAATAGAACCATGGAGTTGTGTGACTCAGAGGTTCTTAACTTGGGTGTCTGGGCTCTACAGCATCCTTCCCATCCTGCTTCCACACCCTGTCCTGTGTTCCCACCTCTCAGAGCCTTCAAGGAGGATTCCCCGGAGTTCAATGTGGAAAGCATCCTTCTTTTTGACTGCTCAGCATCCATTTCCCACCTCCTAGATTCTGATTGTTCTTGGGGAAACTACCTTGCATTCTCTTTCAATTTCCTTTGATTTAATGTGAGCAGACTCCCAACCAAGGCTCTAGGAGTGGGATAATCAGAGCCAATAAGAAATTCAACTCCAAACCTTGTGGGAGAATTGTTGAAAAGAGTCATTGTTTCCACAGGAATTGCAAGGGGAGCTGTGGGCTTGACAATGCTGGCAGCCATTGCAACTGAGGATGGAATTAACATGGAACACAACAGAGCTGGACGTCTGAGCCCTAAGGACGGCTTTTGGGATCTCAAATCCAGCTATGCCTGAAGACCTAAAGCTAGAAGCTCCTGTGCTTTTCAGTTACAGCCAGTAAATCCTCTTTTTTGGCTTAAGCCAGTTTGAATTGGGTTTCTACACAGCCTGAAACTGCTATGAAGTCAAAGGTAGTGTTAGTGCTGGAAGACACTGCATGGATAACCTCCTCAAGGGGCCACTTCACTTTCACCACCAAATGCCCCTTTTCACCGATCCTTGTCTACTGCTACCTTGTTTGATAGATTATGTCTACCAAAAATAAACAAAACCCGCATTGAGAATCAAGAAAGGCATTATTCCCAATTTTCCTGAACACAATGGTAGCACCTATCATTTATATGGCTCTATATGGTACATGCAGCAGAGTTAGAGGTTTAAAATCATACACTTTGAGGGAGGCAGACTTAGATGTGATTCCCGCCTGCCTCCCCCTCCCCATGGTGGGTGACTTTAGGCATGAAACATAACCTCTCTAAAACTCATTTTTCTTAACTTTAAGATGAGATGTATTACCCACCTCATAGGGCTATCATATGGAATAATTAAGAGATGGGATGTAACATACAACATGATTCAAGACCCTGTAGGTGTTAATTAGCATTAAAATCGTCATTATTATCATGTCTAATCTTCCAAATAATCCTGCAAATTGATATTGTTATTCTCACCTTACAGGGAAGAAAATTGAGCGTCAGGGAGGTTACAGGATTTGTTTGGCTTATGATGGAGCCAAGAATGGAACCCAGATCTCCTTGTATTGTTAGTCCATGCTTCTTCCCCATACTCAGTGTCCCAAATACACACACACACACACACACACACACACACACACACAAACACACACAATTAAAGTACTCAAAAAGCAGCATCAAGTTTATGCGTATCATATGTAATCTCCAAGTATTAGTTGAGTACTTACCAGGTTCCAAGCATTATTATGGGAACTGGATAATGCTTTATAATTAGGCTATTATTTCTAATTAGCCTATTTGGCTTTAGCATGAACAACAACAATTTCTGATAGAGTTGTAGAAAAATATGTTAAATAGCTCCAAGGAACTGCTGTCAAACATGAGGGCCTCAGCACACACACATTTACGTCCATGCCCCCCTTTCCAATGGTACTCTTCTAAAATGGCAATCAAGGACATAAAAAAGGAGCAGTAAGTCTGCAGGACCATGAGAACAAGGTCTCTGACTGCAGCAAACAAGAGATGTCAATAAAATTGAATGACATGAGCTTGAAGACTGAAAGAGCCCACCAAGTGTCCAATACAATGAATGAAAAAAGATTCTCCCTAAAATAAAGAGAAGGTCCTAAAAACTGCCAGAGAGAGAGAGAGAGAGAGAGCAAAAAAAAAATAGCTCATGTAACAAAGGAGAGGGAGACAGAATGGCAAATACTAATAGATTCTCAGTGGATGTTTTACCAAAACTAGGAAGTAAAACCAGGAAAAAGAAGCTTAAGAAACTCTCTGAGCCCCAGTCTCATTCATCATCAGTAAAGTGATGATAAAGGGGTAGAGTGTGGATTAAAGGAAATTATGAAGTAGCAAGTGATGTGGCAAGTGTTCAGCAATGCACTGAATGGGGAGTTTCTCTAAGTACTGATTAAAGCCCATCTTGCCCAGGACATAGCTTCCAAAGTGGTCTGTTCTCCCTTGGGAGGGGCCCAGGACTCCAAGTAAAAACCAGAACAGCTAAGAAATCTTGATAGTAGAGCTCCAAAGTTTCCAGTACCACCCTCCCACGGATGGTACCAGACCTGGGGTGGGGCCCAGGTGGAAAATTCAATTGTGCAATCCAGCCTCATTCCTCAGATGTCTCAGCTTCAGGGGGAGGTTAAAAGGAGGGCCTGTTAGGGCTCTTAAGGTTCTTGGAAGCCATTCCTCACAAATATGGGTTGAGATGGTCATTGAGAGGCTTTTAAACTAGGCATGGCCATCAGCAACTTGTCCCCCTTACTGACCAAAACCCCTGCCCTCCCAATGACGCCACATCAACTAATGTAATCAATTCTTGACTTCAATATTGTCAATACATCTCTGCCTAAAGTAATACAGACACCACAAATGGCTGGTCCATGCCAGCCTCTCCCTCTCCCATCCCACCTTCCACACTTTACACCAGTTTTTATACCAAAAATTCAAAATCTGATCTTATCATCTCATGCTTAGGAACCTTCTATGGCTCCTCATTTCAAAAGGCAATAAAATCCCACTGCCCACCCTGGCATTTGTGTCTCATACACACCTCCTAACATCCTCCACTCCACTTCACACTGGACTCCCCACTTCTCACAAAGCACCCCCTACCCATGCCCATCTCCAAAGCTTTGCCTGAGCTGTTTGCTCTGCCTGGAAGGCCTTTTCCTCCTTTTCCAGGACTCAGTTCCTACCTCTCCTCCTGTGCTTTGAGTGTTCACCCATTACACTTCCTCTGAGTCCAGTCTTTAAGTGAGTTAATTGTGAATGGAATGCCTCTCTCCAAGGAGACTAAGAGAAAAGAGTGACCGCTGAGTATATAAGCTTGAATTCTTCAGAACACTCTGCACAGAGGTGAACATTGAACACCAGTCCCAGGGACGAGTGATAAGTCAGTACTGTGCAACTTATGAGGATAAATTCCTGAGCACTTTGCTACCCTTCCCTTTGCCTTCAGGGGCTTGGTGAGTTCTTCATTCATCAAGGTCACTGGCAGGGAAGATGCTCTAATATTAAACATGCATTCATCTGCACTTCAGTCACATTTCCCATTTTTAGTTAAAACTTTGTCCTGTTCATTTTTTTTCCAGTAGAAAAATGAAAAGCATCCTGCCTCAAATTAATAAATCAGGAGCACCAGCGAGCAAAAGGAAGGAAAATTTGAGGAATGAGAAGGTCCTTGAACACAGTGTGGGTGGCCCCTTATTTCTTTTAAATTGGAAGTAGCTTTGTTGATAAACATGAACATACACCACACCATTGCCATCATCTCCAGCTTGTTCCCTGCTGTAGAACAAGTGGTTGGCATTTAGCAGCATTAACAGTGGCCACCACTACCTTCTCACCCACCTGCAAGAAATGTGATGTTCACACTATTTGAATCCAATTAGTTTTAGCTGACATACCTCTTTCTACCTCCTGTTCCTGCCTTCTGGAAACTGCAAAGTGAAATGGTGACTACCTGGACTGAGGCATAAATGAATTGGTACCTGCTTTGTGAGTCCTCTTTTACAGACAACCATCATTATTAATTCCTCCCTAAATAAAAATACCATTAATAATACATGCAAAACAATCATCATGGAATCCCAATGCAAAGAGGCATCTGGAAGACCCATTCGAGAGCAAAGATTAAGAAATGCAATACAAGGAGAAATTAGCACCAACCCGACTTTATCCTTGGTAGTGATGTGTATATGTGCGCATGTTTCTATCTGCCGTCTCCCTAAGCCATTCAACTCTCCTAAGGAGAAATCTATTCAAACATCTGTGTCCAAATCATCCCATTTATTCCCTCACTCTCCTTTTTGGATCTTGGCTGGGGTCAGATCTTGGCTGGTCTCTTCAGAGAGAGAGAGTGAGTGTGTGTTTTTTCAAACGCAAAGTGTTTTGGATGAGGCAGAAGATGACTCCAGAGGAAATGCGCTTCTCCTCACATCTTGTTTTGGATCCTGGATGGTGTTTACCACAGCCTGGCCCGGAGGCTCTCTCCAGTCACAAATCCCATCTCGACTCACCCATAGCCTTGCGTGATGTGTTCATACCTCCATGCTCTTACAGTTTACCTGGGAGACCGTGGATTCCTTGGTCACCTGGGAGGCCCTCCTTCCAGTTCCTTTGAGGCAGAAAGCCATTAATTTCAGCAGACAGTTCCAGTTTCCTCTGCCCTCCAGGGAATGTGTCTCTGCAAAGGAATCAAAAGGCCTGGGCTAGCATGACTAGAAGGGGTTATCCTGTCCTTCTAACTGACAGGAGAAGGTTGTGGTCACACAGAAACTATGTGCATGTGGACTGGACTGGTTCTGGGCAGCAGAGAAGAGAAATGTCTTTTGGTGTGTTTGACACACATCAAGAATTATAGCCAACCGGAGAATTCTCCACACTAACATTCTAATGAGAAGACCCTGCCAACATCACTACCAAAACAAGTTCCGACAGGAGAACAAAGGAAGCAAGAAGTTTCCCCCAGATGTTAGCAGGATGAGCAGTATGCGAGGGTCCTGAAGTCTTCAGCCTAATTTATGCAATGGTCAGGTTTATTTTAAGACTTGAATGTAGACCTTCAAGTCCTTCAAGGTGGTTGACTTCACGGAACACCTTTTACTGCTCAGTGAGCATGGTTTACCATGGCTGCCTTTCCCTATCAGAGATCTCCCTGGCCACTCATGCAGATGTCAACACAGCAACAACAATGATATGATAAATCACCCTTTGCTTTTATGTGTTCACTCCTTGACTCACACATGCACACACACACACTGAAGATGTTAGAAACTGGGCCTTGCACTAGAGGGAGAGGTGCCAGGGCAGAGTTATGAAAAGCACAGCTTTTCCCCTTGCCCAGCTGTAAACTCCAATCCCATTGAGGCAAGGAATACAGACTATCACTTCATTATACAGAGCGGTGGGTCTCAAACTTTGGCAGCATCAGAATCACTGGGGTGCGGGTGAGGGTCTGTTCAACACAGATTGCCTACCCCACCTACAGAGTTCTCAGTGGAGCTGGGGGTGGGGGTGCTGAAAATGTGCATTTCTAACAAATTCCCCAGTGATGTAGAAGCTGCCCGTCCAGAGATCACACTGAACACCACTCTCTAGGTAGTACACTGGGGCCCATGAGAGCCAGTAAAGGGCCCAATGTATCCCTAATTAATGAGGGGGAGCATCAGTCCATGTTGAGAAGGCCACAGTGCACAGGCGAGCTCCATCAAAGCTGTGGAGCATCCACCCAATTTAAGGAAAGTCTGTGCTTCATTCAGTGCCGTTGTGCCCTGCCTCATTTCTGCTCAGTCAGACCTGAGTGCTAATTTGTCCCTCTGGTTTCAAACCTGGCATGAAATATCCCTAGCAGGTCATGATTTAAAAACTATACATTAGATAATACATGCTGTGTTCCAGGTACTTTCATGCATTATTTTATTAAATTATTCACAGCAATGCTGCATAGGAACAACAATATCTAATATGTAAATATCACTGATTCTGTGCCCAAAACTGTTCTAAATGCTTTGGATGAAGGATCGGCAGACTAGTAACCCATGGACCAAATTTCATCCACTACCTATTTTGATAAATTTTATTGCAATATAGCCACACACATCCACCTACGTTTTGTCTATAAGTATTTTTCTCCTAAAATAACAGAATTAAATAGTTATAACAAAGACTATATGCCCCACAAACTCTGAAATACTTTCTCTCTGGTTCTTTACAGGAAAATTTTGCCAAATCTTGCTTTGGACTTGCTGTAGATCCAATAATTTATTTAGTTCTCCTAACAACAGTAGGGGTAAGTGCTATTTTTTGTTGTGGTAAAATACACATAATATGAAATTTACCATTTTAATCATTTTTCAGTGTATAGCTCAGTGGCATTGAGTACATTCACATTGATATGTGATATGGTTTGTGACAATCTTGAATTGTAGCTCCCATAATCTCCACGTGTCATGGGAGGGACCCAGCTGGAGGTAATTGAATCATGGGTATGGGTTTTTCCCATGCTGTTCTCGTGACAGTGAATAGGTCTTATGAGATCTGATGGTTTTATAAAAGGCAGTTCCTGGCCAGGCAGGATGGCTCACACCTGTAATCCCAGCACTTTGGGAGGCCGAGGCAGCCGGATCATGAGGTCAGGAGATAGAGACCATCCTGGCTAACACAGTGAAACCCCGTCTCTACTAAAAATACAAAAAATTAGTCAGGTGTGGTGGCAGGTGCCTGTAGTCCCTGCTACTCAGGAGGCTGAGGCAGGAGAATTGCCTGAACCCAGGAGGCAGAGGTTGCAGTGAGCCAAGACTGTGCCACTGCACTCCAGCCTGGGCAATAGAGCGAGACTCTGTCTCAAAAAAATAATGTTTTTTAATTGTTATTTGTTTTTTTTTATTATACTTTAAGTTTTAGGGTACATGTGCACAATGTGCAGGTTAGTTACATATGTATACATGTGCCATGCTGGTGTGCTGCACCCATTAACTCGTCATTTAGCATTAGGTATATCTCCTAATGCTATCCCTCCCGCCTCCCCCCACCCCACAACAGTCCCCAGAGTGTGATGTTCCCCTTCCTGTGTCCATGTGTTCTCATTGTTCAATTCCCACCTATGAGTGAGAAGATGTGGTGTTTGGTTTTTTGTTCTTGCGATAGTTTACTGAGAATGATGATTTCCATTTTCATCCATGTCCCTACAAAGGACAAAAAAATAACTTTTTTTAAAAAAGGGCAGTTCCCCTGCACACGTTCTCTTGCCTGCTGCCATGTGAGATGTGATTTTGCTGCCCCTTCCCCTTCCTGCCTGCTGCCATGTGATATGTGACTTTGCTCCCCCTTCCCCTTCCTGCCATGATTGTGAGGCCTCCCCAGCCATGTGGAACTGTGAGTCAATTAAACTTCTTTCCTTTATAAATCACCCAGTCTCTGGTATTTCTTCACAGCACTATGAAAATGGACTAATACAATGTGCAACTATCACCACCATCAATCTCCAGAACTTTTTCATCTTCCCAAACTCCCTCCCCTACCCCCAGCAACCACTATTCTACTTTCTGTCTCTATGAATTTGACTCCTCTAAGTAAATACCTCTTAAACGTGTAATCATACAGTATTTGTCGTTTTGTGCTGGCTTATTTGACTTAATGATTTCAGGTTTATCCATATTGTAGCATGCGTCCGAATTTTTTACTTTTTAGGTGAAACAATATTCCATCATATGTATATACCACATTTTGTTTATCCATCTGTTGATGGACATTTGAGTTGTTTCTACCTTTTGGTTATTTTGAATAATGCTGTGATAAACATGGGTGTACAAATATCTGTTTGAGTCCCCGTTTTTTATTGTTTTGAATGTATAGCCAGAAGCGGAATTGCTGGATCATATAGTAATTCTATGTTTAATTTTTTGAGCAACTGCCATACTACTTTCCACAATAGCTGTCTCATTTACATCCTCATCAGCCACGCACAAGGCTTCCAATGTCTCCACATCCTCACCACCACTTTCAGGTTTTTGTTTGTTTTAATAACAGACATCCTAATGAGTATGAAGTGATATCTCATTGTCATTTTGATTTACATTTCCTTAGCGATTAGTAATGTTGAACATATTTTTTTTCATGTGTTGATTGGCCATATGTGTCTCTTCTTTGGAGAAATGTCTATTCAAGTTATTTATCCACTTATAATCAGGCCATTTGTTTTTCTGTTGTTGAGTTGTAGGAGTTCACATGTTCTGAATAGCAATCCCTTATCAGATAAATGATTTGCAAGTATTTTCTCTCATTCCATGGGTTGCCTTTTCACTCTGCTGATGGTGTCCTTGGATGCACAAAAGTTTTAATTTTGATGAAGTTGAACTTACCTATTTTTTTCTTTTGTTGCCCCTACTTTTGGTGTCCTTTTCAAGAGATCATTACCAAATCCAATGCCACGAAGTTTTTGTTTTCCTGAAGAGTTTTATAGTTTTAGCTCTTTCATTTAGATCTCTGATCCATTTTGAGTTAATTTCTTATATGGTGTAAGGTAAGGGCCCAACTTCATTCTTTACATGTGGATATCCAGTTTTCCCCATATCATTTGTTGAAAACACTATCCTTTCCCTCATTTCATGGTCTTGATGCCAATTAGAAAATCATCTGATCATATATGCAAGGGTTTCTTTCTGGACTTTTTACTCTATTCCATTGGTCTCTATGTCTGTCATCATGCCACTACCACACAGCATAGATTACCATAGCATTGTATTAAGTTTTGAAATTGGGAAGTGTGAGACATTCAATGTTGTTCTTTTTCTAGATTGCTTTGGCTATTGGGGGTCCCCCGAGATTCCATATGAATTTTGGGATTTTTCTATTTCTGCAAAAAAAAAAAAAATGTCATTGGGATTTTAATAAGGATTGCAATTAATCCGTAGATCACTTTGGGTAGTATGGACATATTAACAATATCAAGTCTAATCCATGGACACGGGATGTCTTTCATTTTATCTGTATCTTTAATTTTTGCAGCAATATTTTGTAGTTTTCAATGTACAAATCTTTCACCTCTTCAGTTGTTTATTCCTAGGTATTTTATTCTTTTCGATGCTATTACAGATGGAATTGTCCTCTTTTCTTTTTAGATTGTTCATTGTTAATGTATAAAAATGCAAATGATTTTTGTGTGTTGTTGTTGCATCCTACAACTTTGCTGCAGTTAAGTGCTGTTTTTATCCTCATTCTACAGATGGGAAAACTGTAACACAGTGTGGTTAAGTGATTTGCCTAAGTCACTCATCTAGAAGTAGGGGAGTTGAAGTTGCAACTGGGCATTCTGTTTCCATACTCCCTTCTCTTCACCATTAATTTTCACTGACTCTTTTGAAAAAGTAATTCACAATTACTTACAGCACGGGGTAAATCCAGAATCCAAACTCAGGTCTGACTCCAAAATTTTGCTTTTAACTACAACTGCATTCTGACAGCCCTAGGACACCCCAAACACAAATCCATCAATTAAATACCTTGGCTAATCAGCAAAGAAGAAATTCAAGCTTTTTAAAAAGTAAATTGATCTATGGAAAAGGTGAATGAATTCAGCCAAAGGTGGATAGGACACTAGAGGTGGGGTGACACCCATCCTGGTTTTCCTCTGAATCATTCCAGATGATGCATATGGTTTAGATTAGGAGTCCCCAACTCCAAGGCCATGAACTGGTACCAGTCCATGGCCTGCCACACAGCAGGAGGTGAGCGGGAGTGAGCGAGCCTCACCACCTGAGCTCTGCCTCCTGTCAGATCGGCGGTAGCATTAGATTCTCATAGGAGTGCAAACCCTATCATGAGCTGCGCATGTGAGGGATCTAGGTTGCACATTCTTTATGAGAATCTAATGCCTGATGATCTGAGGTGGAACAGTTTCATCCCTAAATCATACCCTCCACACCCCCCAGTCTGTGGAAAAATTTGTCTTCCATGAAACCAGTCCCTGGTGTCAAAAACATTGGGGCTTGCTGGTTTAGATGACATGTTTTAGACCAGCCTACGTGTCCTCAGTTGGTTACAATTCTAAGATGAATTTTGAAAGGCTACAAAGGAAGGTAACACCTAAACAAATTTCTCCGGAATCCTCCCCGCATGTATTTTACAGCCTCTCTCCTCTAAAGAGCCATGTGGAGTTGGCTGCTTAATGAGGACTCTGAGCTGCAGGGTGAAGGTTCCAAATCCTGTGAAAAGCCCAGGGGTGGCTTCCAACCTTAAGTGCCAATGAAATGACACCAGCTGGCCTTATTGGAATCCATGGGACTCCCAAGCTGCCCAAGAGGTGGTCACTGTACCTTACAAAGGAATGCAATGGACCCGTCCCAAAGGCCTTGGGCATCAATCCCAAAAGGCAATGAACTTGAACTACACAAGCCTCCTCATTGGCTGCTGCTGTGGATGTTGTAAAAGACCCTGCCCAGTGGCTTTGGGCCTGAGTAAATTTTGGCTTGGCTGACCCAGTCCACTAAAATGAATTGGGCATGACCAAGGTGCAGGGATGCCAGCCCTTCCATTAACAGGGAAGCCATGCAGGAGCAGCAGAGAGGGTCAGCAAAGCAAGAAGGCAAACAAAGGCTCTTCTCCAAATGGGCCAGTTACAGGAAGGAGAGGAGGAAAAGGGAGAAGACAAATCTGGAGATCCTTAGGGGATGGGTTTCTTTACAAATCCATCTTCATGATTGCAACGAAGCCTAAGGAAAGGGCTCGTGATGCCACTAAGCAGATGTGAGCACAGCATATGAACACTTCCAGAACATCCACGAGCCTCAGCCTCTCACCTGTAAAATGGGGTTAACACACCTCTTTGCTCCTAATAACTACAAGGAATTACTGCAATGATCAAATGACAGGATGTGGGAGGAAACAGAAAAAAGTTTACATTGTTAAATACCCTTATAGGAACATGGGTATAATCTCATAGCACTGGCCTGGGGTCATGTGGAAGGTTGGTGAAAATGGGGGTAGAAATCAAAGGAGCCTTCAGCTTTGAATGCAATGCTTTAATTTTGTTTTAGGGTAGTGAATTCATATATAATCTCTATAATTGTAAAGGCATATATATAAGTACATTGGGCTCTTTGTTAAATGGGACAGAAAGGGTTCTCTTATAAATTCCTCTTGTAGAAAAAGACTAGAACCATACATGCTGTGTTAATAGGAGTTAATTCCAAGGGCTGTAATTGTTTTACATTGTACATCACTATACTTTAAAAAATAATAATTTAAAAGGAAGATAAGGCACTCTTCTTAGGAAAAGGTGAAAAGGTCTAGAAGATGGAGATAAATGAGAACATAGAAGAAAAGAAAGAAGGAAAAAGAAAGAGAAGAAGGGCAAGCAGGAAAGAAGGGCAAGAAAGAGAAAAAGAAAAGACGATCTCAAGTCTTTTTGTCAGAGGTGTGTAAACCTGGGCAACTGCATCTTGAATAGGAGCTGGGTAAAATAAGGCTGAAACCTACTGGGTTGCATTCCCAGATGGTTAAGGCATTCTAAATCACAGGATGAGATAGGAGGTCGGCACAAGATACAGGTCATAAAGACCTTGCTGATAAAACAGGTTGCAGTAAAGAAGCCTGCTAAAACCCACCAAAACCAAGATGGCGACGGGAGTGACCTCCGGTCATTCTCACTGCTACACTCCCACCAGCGCCATGACAGTTTACAAATGCCATGGCAACATCAGGAAGTTACCCCATATAGTCTAAAAAGGGGAGGCATGAATAATCCACCCCTCGTTTAGCAAACAATCAAGAAATAACCGTAAAAATGAGCAACCAGCAGCCCTCAGGGCTGCTCTGTCTATGGAGTAGCCATTCTTTTGTTCCTTTACTTTCTTAGTAAACTTGCTTTTGCTTTGCACTATGGACTTGCCCTGAATTCTTTCGTGTGTGAGATCCAGGAACCCTCTCTTGGGGTCTGGATTGGGACCGCTTTCCGCTTTCCTGTAATATTTTTAGAACAAAGCTGTGGCATAAATAGATGATAGAAGCAGAGATCATAATTTTCTTTAAAAGTGCTTTTGAAGTGCTATCAGTCTTCGCATGGTAAATGCACATGCCAATTTAAAACTAATCTTGCAAATATCCACCTCTTTACAAGGGGTAAGAAGGTATGTTAGAACAAACTGTTAACTGTGTTGAGGAGAACCGACTGATACATCTTCGCATGAAACCCAGTGACAAGCTCAACTCTACTGATGGAAACAAATTCAGACTCAGGATCATTCTTATGGGACTGGGGTGGCATTCACATTTGCACCAACCAAGATAGAGGAGATGTCGGGATGTTAAGAGAAAGCAGCTACAGGAACAAGACAGCGGAGACCATCTAGAAGCTCTTTAAATAACAATATAACAACATCCATTTGAACAATGTGCTAACCTCTGAGACTCTTCTAAAAGGTTTGGCAGCATCTCATTAGCCATCAGCTTCTTACTGTAGCTAGGAAAAGTAAGAAAACTACAATTCTTTTTTTCTTTAATTCTAACACATTGACTTCTATTTGAGATAGGACAGTAGGCATTAAACCTCAGCGCAGTGGGGTACCATCAGAAGGGTTTCGAGCAGAGGAGCTATGCATGGTTTATCATCTGTTCTGTGTGCCCCCACCAGATCCACTCTCTGCCCTTCTCCATCCTTCTCTCTATCCCAGGAGGCCGACCTCTATAAAGTTCATTCCCTGGGCCTTCCTGCTGTCTACATTTGAGTTGGGTTTAGTCAATGGAAGGTGCCAGAGGACATGGAAACAAGGAGAGGACAGACAGGCTGCGGTATTTATTCTTTATTCATTCATTCATTCATTCATTCTACTGCAGGCCTACTCCTTCATTGATTCCACTCAGGGGCTCCTGGCAGAGAGCCCTTTCCTACAGCCACAGCTTTTCCTGGGGACTGGTAACTCTTCCCTGTCTTTTCTGATCATACTAGCTGCAGCACAGTAGAGGGTCCAGGAGGGCAAGAATAGATTTGGGGACAGTAGTTGAAAACTGTTCTATGTCCAGGAGACAGCTGGTGATGGTTTGGTCCAGGGTTTTGTAGTCTGTAGTGGCAGAGACAGAGAGAAGTAGGTAGATTATGAAAACATTAAGGAAATAAAATCTCTCAACCCATGGTCATCGATCAGACATGAGGGTGAAGAAGACTCCTGAGTTTTAGGTCTGAGAAATCTGATGGATAATGGCCATTTGCAGAGATAAGGAGCACATGGATTCCTTAACCTCTCTCATGCAAACTTACTTCATGAGTTACTGAGTTGTGGGGAAGGACGGGAAAGATCCTCATTTTCTTTCTGCCATTCACTGTGAGATGGCAGAGGAAGCAGCACCTGGACCTGGGTAGCGGAGGGCGTTTTAGGGGGGTGTGGCTCCATGCAGTGGAAAGGACTATTTCCTTAGCATGTATTTGAATAGCAAGAGCAGCTCTAGACATCTAATCTGCATCTGCAGAAAAGTCGCATGCTATTTTTCTTACAGCTAATGAAGACAGATCAGGCAAAGCAACTTAAAAATTTCATTTTTTTTCCTAGCCCTCTTAAGTACCAGAAAAAAATAAATGTAGATATATAATTATTGTGCATTTTGAGAAAGAAAAATCTTATATGCAAAGAACGTTTTCATAAATCACGTCTATGATTTAAAAAATATGTTTTGAGCAGACACAACTGTGCTTTATTCTGCATCTGTTTCACATATACAAATGTGTCAGGTTTACATAAACCACACTGATACAGATGAAAAATAAGGGAAGAACAAGATAAAAATAGCTCTTATGGTATCAGTAACACGTCTTTTATTATTATAATATATGATAGCATTGCAATCAATCACACTCTTACACTGCATTGGCTAGTGACCTCGAATACCACAAAGGAAGAGCTAGCCAACATCCAGGAATCAATTCTTCCAGCTTAAAAAAAAAAAAATCTTCAGTATCATATATTTGGGTAGCTGGTGACTATTTCAAAATTGTGAAATGAATCAATCTCATCTCCCAAGTGTTCCCAGGTCCTGCTTTCAAATGTGTTCTTTTTACATGATACTCACCCAAGGCAGGAGTGGTGAAGGGAACGACAACCTGTCCCTTTTCTGATGCTGCTACACATAGATCATCTATAAATGCAACCACCAAACCAGCCACTGGTAGCTTCCTAGGCCTGAAAGATAACACTGCTGATTTGTACTTTTATCAATCCTTTCTCTTACTATCCTTGACTAGCTGAGCAGATTGCAGCTGGAAAACTCAACTCATTTTTTTCCTTCAACTGAAGAAATATTTAGCTTTTATATTATGATTGTAAAAGTTGTAAGCTCTCAGGAAGATTTTTAAAAAATATATGCAAACGATTCTAGTAAGTGAAACTCTGCTTTCTTACTCATTGACTAAAGGATGCATTTTTTTCTCATAAACTTGGATTATTTCTATTTCTCCTAATGCTTTAGCTTTACTTTGTGTGCCCCCATTAGCTCCAACCTTGAAGTCTACTGATCTATAAGAAGACACTCTACTGTTTCACCAAGGGCAAATTTACCTGGGGATAAAGGATTGTTCTGTAATGCAAATATTTACCCCAGATGATATAATATTTTACCAGTTTTGATTTTCAAATCTTGGGGTTGCTTAAAATTTTCCTGTCATCTTGTTGTCTCATTGTAAAGCCTTTGGCATTTTGTACATATGAATCAGAAGATTATTTTTCTCATTCCTGAAGGGTGACTCCACGTAAGCATAAGATATTCCTTTGTTGTGGCTCTGTTCTAGGTGTGACACTTATCCTTGCAGTTCTAGTTTATGTTTGTTGATTTCCCTTTGCATTTTCATGATGGTCATGTGAGGCCTCCCTGGCTAGAAAAGATGAACATTTGAACTCCCTAGCTCCTGGTTGGGCCTATTTCCTCTGACTTTTTTGTATCTACTATAGCGCAGTTCAGTAAGAAATAGGAACAATCTCATGGAGACATAAGCAGGAAAGAGAATTCTGGAGAATTCTCTTCCTTACTGCTTTCATTCCAGTCTCCCAGGGAATGCCCTCTTCCCATCTAAGAACTTACTCAAAAGGCAGTTGCTATAGAGAAAACTCCCTCCAGACCCAGCTGCTCCTGGTTTCCTATCAGTGGTTAAGAGCTCCTTCCTCCACAGTGCATTTG
Source organism: Homo sapiens (assembly GCF_000001405.40). Classification (NCBI taxonomy): domain Eukaryota; kingdom Metazoa; phylum Chordata; class Mammalia; order Primates; family Hominidae; genus Homo; species Homo sapiens. Next base: position 55,362,820 of record NC_000003.12, read on the forward strand.
TAAATCACAAATGCTCTCCAGTAAGCCAGATAACAAGTTCCTGGAGGCTGAGGGGCTCTGCGCTTGTCTTCTTGAAGGGTCCTTCCTCATGATTGAATAAACATTTGGTGATTAACTGCTAGAGTTTTTATTTTGGTTTTTCCCCCTTTTAATATCTGCTCATCCATGGAAAATGTGGATAATAAATGGAAATAAAAATTTAAAAATCAACACTGAATCTCATCACCAAGATATACTACCTTGTATCCTCAGTTCTCTTATTAGGGACATTTTCACACAATAAAATACAACAAAATATTTTTTCCCCTCTGTGCCATGACATATCTATAGATATAAGGTGCCTAATTTGAGTTTGGGTCTACTGTATCTGGTTCCACTGTTAACAAGGTGAGGTCTAAGTCTACAGTGTAGCAAGATAAGTCAACAGACTGAGGAGTTCTACCAATTTCTAGTCTTTCTCCTGCTTGTGCCATCTACCATTGACTCTATGCTCCCCTAGAAAGAAAGGGAAGTCTTGAGTCTCTGAACATAAGTGAGTTTCTTTCAGTTCCCTAAACATACAATTCTCCTATTCCCTGGCTCCCAGGCTTTTGCACCTTCTATTTCCTCTGAAATGCTTTTCTCCTTTCTGATCCTCCCTCTATGCCACAGCCCCTGTGGAACTTGGCTATTTCCTGCTCAAACTTCATCCCTTCAAGATGGAGACGGGTTTCCATCTTATGTGCTTTCCTAGCACCTTATGCTTCCCCACTCAGCACGTTACATACTGATTATAACTTGGCCTATACACCAGCTTCCCTGCAAGGTTGGGACATTCATAAAGACAAGCATTATATTTTTCTTGTCCACCATTGGATTTTTAGCACAGTGCTTCTAAATGGTGGGCATTCAATAGCATTGCTAAATAAATCAATGAATGAAAGCACAGAAATAAAACAATAAAGTTGAAAGATTTTCAAAGTCTTCTTTGCTTTTCCAGGAAGGCAATAGTCATTGTGCATAAAGTATTTTTCAATTAATTTGATTTAAATGTCATCCACTCATTCCTTCTTCTTCCAGACACAGAAACCTAAGGTTTTGATTAGGAAATCATTGTTCCCTTCCTCTCAGGCCATGTGGATTAAATAAGGCTGACTCCATCCCTCACTTCCACGGGTATAAAGAAGACCCAAGTCAAATTAAAAGAGTGAGCCTTGAGATTTTTGAGGGTACTACTGGAGAAAAAGGATTTATCTTTCTATTGGGGTTGCTGAGTTGGTAGAATGAGGCCTGAAGCTGTTGATGGCCATCTTACTTCCACATAGGGAGAGCTTTCCTGAGAATGAAGACAACACAAAGAAAAGCAGAGCCAGGAATTACAGAGGTACAGTTTCATAATGTCTCCATTCAAATATGTTTTCTGAAGCAATACTACCCTTGAGCTTTTGTTACTTTTATAACTTGCGGTTATAAACCTCATTTGCTTAGTTCAATTTGACTTGAGTTTTTATAACTTGATATAGAATCTTACCCCTTTTATTCCATTCCATGCAGTATGTGTAGGAGGATTGAGGACAAGACTCCAATTAAGAGATCCTTCCTAGACTCTCTCCAGCCATTGCTCCATCCCATAAAGCCAGGAGGAAATTGATCGCTTGGCACCTACATTCACGATGACCCACTTCTCCAAAAATTTCACCATTGGATGGCCTCTCTTGTCACGACACCAAGGCCTCAGAGGTATGAAAAACACAGACCTCACCCAGAAGAAAAAGCTTATCCTCTTTCAGAACGCATGACTATATGTCAAGATAATGATCTTCAGCTCTGCTATGAGGAAACATTTACAAGCAGCCCCTCCAGAATCACAAAATCTACTTTGCCAGACATTCCTGGTCAGGGAGGGAACTGGAGAATCTCTTTCCTACATGACTTTTACATTCTTTTGGTTCTGAAATATGAAACTTACAAAATTTAAATTTCATCCCCAAATTCCTAAATGCCTGTGAGGTGGACCCACTGGGTTGACTTCTTATGGGCAGTACTGGCCCTTTGGCAAGAGCTGAGCCACCTTCAGGTGAAGCTGCTCTCTCTTTGAGAAACATGGATGTTCCACTTGGATGGGAAGCTCTGGGAAGATATTGTAAAACTTACTTAGGAAATAACCACAACCCTAATACCATGGACACACAACAGTCCACTTGGCAGAACACCTACCTGAGGAATTACAGAAAAAAACCTCCTAATATTCTGCTAAACATTTGAAAACCTAGCTCTATCCAAAAAGATCCTATGAATATATAGACACACTTTTGCACACAGACACAGACACACACACACAAACACACACGTATTTCTTCAAGCAGAGTAGAAAACGGCAAAGTGAATTTTTCTGGTCTGGGAATTTTTACAAAAATTCTTACAAAGATGTAAAAATTAAGTCCCATTCAGTTCAACTCATCCAGAATTCTCTTTATTGAAAATAAGAAATGTAGAGGAAATTAGGACTGTCCTAGAAGTCCTTGGGATACATGCACGGTTATATCCATGGGGTATTGCATCCCATATAGGAAGGATGAGAGGCATAAAAATGAAGCCAGGGCTTGGGTCCTATCCTCTTAAAGCAAATAGAAATCTCACTAGACACTTAAAAATCCACAATTCATTAATGCTCAATCAATTATTTGAGCTACAAAATGCTTTGACTGTCTGCAGGGCTATTTGCAAAATTAATGCCTCATGACTAGAGATACCCAGTATACACAATAGTCTTCTCTTAATAACCTATGAGATAACTTTAATCCCAGGAAAAGGAAGACACAAATACAGTCATGTGCCTGTGATCAAAGACAGACCGCATAGAAGATGATGATCCCATAAGATTATAATGGAGCTGAAAAATTCCCATCACCTAATGATGTCTTGATGATCCTGACCCTGTGTAGATCTCGGCTAATGTGTGCGCACGCGCGTGTGTGTGTGTGTGTGTGTTTCATAGTTTTTAACAAAAAGGTTTAAAAAGTAAAAAATATAAAAATGTTTAAAAGTAGGAAAAAGCTTTTAAACTAAGGATATAAAGAAGGAAAATTTTTGTATAACTGTACAATGTGTTTGTGTTTTAAACTATGTGGTTACAAGAGTCATAAAATTAAAAAAAGATTAAAAGTAAAATGGTTGCAGTAAGCTAAGGTTAATTTATTGAAGAAAGAAAAACATATTTCAATAAATTTAGTGTAGCCTAAGTATACATTAATAGTATTTATAAAGTCACAGTAGTGTACAGTAATGTCCTAGGCCTTCACATTCACTCACCACTCACTAACTCACCCCAAGCAACTTCCAGTCCTGCAAACTCCATGCATAATAAATTTTATACACAGGTATAATATTTTTTATCTTTTATATCATATTGTCACTATAATTTTTCTGTGTTTAGATACACAAGTACTTACCATTCTGTTACAATTGCCTACAGTATTCAGTACAGTAACATTCTATACAGGTTTGCTAGGAATAGGCTCTACCATATAGCCTAGGTGTGTAGTAGGCTATACCTTCTAGGTTTGTGTAAGTACACTCTATGTCATTTGCACAATGATGAAATTGCCTATCGATGCATTTGGCAGAATGTATTAAGCAACGCATAACTGCGTATGAAATCATTAATGACTATGCACTTAAGTCTCTCTTCCTCCTTCCATGAAACCCATTGGGGCTGCATGTGTGATTAAACCATACCACCTCTGTTCCCAGGTCTCATGGCATGGTGGTACCTAGGCATGGCATGCCTAGTGGTTAGAAGCCTAGTTCCTAACTAGGATTTGGATCCCAGTTCTGCTGTTTGTCACCTGTGTGCACTTGAGAAAATCACTTAACTTTCCTAATTCTTGGCTACCTTTTTGCATAATGATGTTGTTAATAATAGTACTTGTCTATTAGGATTGCTGACAGTGTTACATGGGATAGTGTCTATAAATTGCCAGCATTACCATTAACTTCTAAATGGTGGCTTTGTTGAGGAGTATCTTCTTGGAACTGATGTTCTCAAGGACACTGGGGAGAAAAGGCTGGTCTTAGCCACCTGATGTTCTCTCCCAACGTTAGGAGTGGAGACATTTCCAGACAGATCTGATGCTATTTTCACTGGGCTGGAATGGAATGTACCTGAACATGGAATCTTTGAAAATGACAAACCAGGAATAAGAAGAGACATGATAAGAAGCTATAAGCCAGCAGGGCTGCTCTCAGAGGGCTGAGAGCTTCGCAGGAGAGGGGCCAGATCTGTTTGGCCCACCACTGTTTCTGTGGTACCCTGAACAGTGCCTATCACAAACTGGGGCTTGATCAATATTTGTTAAGCAAGGGAGGAAAAGAACAAGCAAGTGATTACTGATCAAATGCTAGTCTCCATCAGGGCCACATCCTGGAAAGTCTTGGCAATGCCACCAGTGAACACAGGCAGGGTTAAATGCCACTTTGCCTCAGCACCACAGAGGGACATTGAGGGTGACAAGTTACCTTGTTAATTAGAGCCCCTCGCTTTGTCCTGACTGGGTGGGTGAATAATAATGCAACAAGAACTTTAACAAATAAACTCACTGCAGGTCTCAGGAGTCACCACAGCACAGTCATCACTTTCTATATATTTTCATTTATAATGATTTCCACTGGCTAATGCCCAAATAAAGGAAAAACAAATACCTAGCAGTCAACAGTTTTGTAGCACGTGGCAGACATTTCTAATCCATTATGACACTGTATTTTTCTTTGGCTTAGTCTCAGACACTTTCTCAATGTGACATTCCAGAGAGCCACGAGCAATCAACTGGAGCTGGCCTTTGAGGTGGGGACATTCTGTCATCTTTCTTCTCTATGGGTTTCCTTTTACACCATTGTAATAGTCATTTGTTATCTTTCCTCTGCAGCATCCACTCTTCCTTTCTATGATAACATCCTAATTTTCATTTGAGGACCACTTCTCTTCCCTTCCTTATTGTCAACCAGTGACACTGACTCCCTACCCGAGTCTGGGGCTACAGCGCATGACCAGTTGGCTTCCTCCACTCCCCTAGCCCCCGGGATTGGTTCGAGGATGGGATGAGTCAGGCCAATCCAAGCCAATGCTCTTGGATTTTTGTTGAGCTGGTAGGGAAACTCACCCTCATTCTGGACGTGTCATAATCATGAGAACTTAGAGTAGCCAGTCAAACACCAAGGAGACTGGGAATGAAACCAACGAGGCAGCAGGCAGAGCAGAGGGATGGGGAGAAGCGAATTCTAGTGATATCATTTAAGTCCCTGGATCCAGTCATAACTGAAGTTAGATATTCCTGGACTCAAGGGTTATAAGTAAAAATGCCTTTTTTTTTTTTTTTTGGCTTCAACTGGTCTGAACTGGATGTTCTACAATCTGAAACCACGAGAATAAGACTTAAAGAAATATCTATTCTGGAACATTTCTCCAATTCTTCCAAGTTGTGGGTCCTGGGAAAAGACCCTGGAACTCCCCCTGCCACACACACACACACACACACACACACACACACACACACACACACACACACTCTCTCTTTGGCAACTTCGACTTGGCCTAGCTGAGGAAACTAGGCCGTCAGGGGAGGCCATCTCCTCCCAGGAGCGGGGGAGGGCACCATCTAATGCACAGAGGTGATGTCCAGATCCACAGAGGTGGATTGGGCCTCATAAGCCTGGAGTCTGACTAGGCATCTACAGCTGGGATTTCCTCCCCATCCTCCTGGCCACATGAATGTCATCGGTGCTTAGAAATTCCACCTTCCAGAAATATCGTTTCTAAATCTGCCAACTCCGACTATTTAAAATTCTTCAACTAAACCCTTTGGGAAAGTGAGAGCAGAGCTAAACCTCAACTCTACATCCTGAACTACACCCATGAGCAAGCAGCATTAGCCCATTTCCTTCTCATTTGTTCATTTCTCATATATTCAGAAAATACTTTTCAGTGCCTCTGGGAGTCAAGCACTGGTCTCACTGTTTAGAAGATATCAGTGGGCAAAATAAAGCCTCTGCCTCATGGAGCTTACGTTCTAGAGACAGAGATAGGCAAACAACAATAAACATGACAATAATTCCATTATGTAGAGTATTGGAAGGTGACGAGTGTCACCGGAAAAAACAGAACAGGCTAAGAGCCATCGATGATGCAGTTTTAACCTTTTAAACAAGATGTCAAGGTGGGCTTCCCTGGCAGTGTGACACTGGATTCTAACCTGAAGGACTGATGCATGCAGAAAGTCAGGTCACCCAGGCAGAAAGGGGCCAGTTTCTTAGAACTGTATCCCAAGTTCTTGAACTTCTGAACTTCACACTTTGTTTCTATCAGCCAGTATTTGTCAGCAGTTCAGGGCTATATCTAAATACAGACCAGTTCAACTCAATTTTTTTTTTTATGCTTTAAGTGTTTAGGGAGGGGAAAGGTGAAAACTGCTTAATTTGGCCTCGAGCAGCTGGGGAGTGAGGCTGGTGGGAGGCATGCCAACCTCGCAGTTTGCCTTAATGCCGCCCTGCTGGGCATCGATTCCATAAATGTCTAGAAAACAGTCAGTACTAAAGGATTCTGACAAATGAGGGAGCCAGCAGCAACACCTAATAGGAATTTTTTTTTCTGTATTTTCTATATTTTCTTTCTCAGTAGCAGCTGGAGACGCTGCCTCTGTCAGGGCCAGAGACTGGCAGATCCTGGAGTCCTGGGCCTGGGGATGCCCACTGGGAAGGGACCTCCTTGGCACTCAGTGGCCAGAGGGCAGGGGTTCTGTGAGCTGGGCATCCTTCCCATGTGTGTTTAGGCTTTTTCATTCCTGAGCTGTCCTCCCTCTGGCCCTCCTACTTGACAGAGATTTATGTGCCCGCGTCACACTCACTCCTTAAAGGATTTATGGATCCTTTAAGGAAAACATAAAACAAATCTCAAGGATTTGGGAGGGAGGGGCCGGTCCTGGGTTCCTGTGGAGAAAGTCAGAGGCATCTACAAACAACCTCCGCTGGCTCAAGGTGCATCTTGCGGCTGGAGGCCAAATCCCTGCCCTGTCAAAGCCAGCCACAGCCACCAGACTGGGACTCAGTCAGAGGCAGCTTTGGAGTGTCCCTTCATGAGACTCTAACCAAGGAGGCTGCACACCTCCCATGTGTCTACCGAAGGTCCAGTGAGGGAGTAGGGTGGGAAGAAACTGCCCTGTGGCCAGTGGGGCTGGACCTCTGGCCTCAGAGAGGTGCAGGTTAGAGTCAGCTCCCCGTATCCATGAGACCTTGGGCAAGTTCACTACCTCTTCTGCCTCTCCCCATCTGTGAAATGCAGTAATCATAGTTACAGAGAGAATGAAATGATCCAGAGCTTAGAAAGTCTTTTGTCCCCTTCTGGGCATATCATAAGCACTAACATATCATTTGCCAACGTTATGGTTATTATTAGATAACAACAGATGCATGCACACACCAAACACACAGCACTGCCCGGAACCTGCAGGCTCGCTCCGTCTCTGAAAATTTTTCTTTGGAGCAGTCCCTTTGGAATGCGATGAATAAAACCCTCCGTTTTATTACTTTATTTTTATTCTGCGAATCTGTTGGGGTGATGTGACTTGTACCACCAGTGCTGGCTATAACCGGGCAGTTAACCTGTCTCTTCATGGAGAGTATAAACTACGCACGTTGGCACCAGCCCAAGGCCTGGGAGAAATCAGGTTGTGAAAACAGTCTTTAATAAAAATATTCCCCTTCTCCTCCACATCATGACCTGGTCCTCATTCCAGCACTAAGGACACATTGATTTTTTTAACCAAGTCCAGTGGGAATTATCAAAAGATAAATCATGTAGGTCCGTGCTCGACACCGTAGGATACAACACACAGACACATCACACATCACACACACACACACACACACACACACACACACACTCGAGGAATGGTACCTGCCCTCAAGGAGTTTAATGGCTATGAGAGAGGGAGATGAAACAAAGAAATTAAACATAAAGTAGAAAATAATTAGTTACCTGTTCACCTCCATATGTCTCACTTTTGGGACACCATCACTGTGGAAGGGATATGTCTTCATGTGTTATTCATTTAACACTTAGTGAGCACCTACTGTCCACAAAGCACAGTGCCAGAGATTGAGGGGAACTCAGATGAAAAGCACACAAAACAAGATTTATCACCCACAAGGAATATAGAAAAAGGGCTGTGGAAGATCAAAAGGAAGAGGAATTGTTCCCACCTGAGGCCACGGACGGGTGGTTTCCTAGAGGACTGGCATCTGAGTGGAGCTGAGAAAGTGGAGCAACACTGGAAAAATGGGAGACACCCTCAAATTTAGGGAGACACTGCAACGAAGTCCTGGCTCTGCCCAAAGCCACAGCAGTCGCACCATGACACGCTGCCCTTGGCCCTTCAGCAGCATCAGACAGAAGCAGGAGTTCTGATGCCTACTAGAAATTCATTTCACAGGGACTGACCACATGGTTCTCATCCGAAGGGCAAGATGGCAGTAAGTCTATTTCTTTTCCCTTTAGATTGGGTCAGTTCCGTTGTTCTGTTTTCACTTTCACTAATTCTATTCTCCGTCATCTCTATTCTATTAATGAATCTATACAGCAAGTCTACAATTTTCTATTATTGTATTTTTGGTTGTATAATTTCCATTTTATAACTTCTATTTTTTGTTTCAAAAACATTCAAAGTTGTGTATCAAAACATTTTTTTGATGGCTGCTGAAAATCCTCATCAGATAATTCCATCGTCTGATTCTTCTCAAAGTTGACATCAGTTAATTATCTTTTCTCACTCAAGCCATCATTTCCCTGGCTCTTTGTATGATGAGTGAGTTTAGATTACATCCTGGACATTTCGCTGTTATGTTAGAAGACTCTGGATCCTGTTTAATTCTTTTAGTTTAGCATGAACTCACCCTGTTTGGGGTTTAGCATGCAGGCTCTAGATTACTTTATAGGTATAGGGCTATGGTTCCAATTGCAGTTTAATTTTGAGAGTCTTTGAGGTGCTATTTTGCTCTAGGCGATTTATCTGGTGCTTTTGGGGCTCCCACTGGTCCTCCCGGTGCTGCCTGAGAGGGCGGAGTCTCCCCAAGCTAGGCAGCCTGGTATTCTAGGTGGGGAAAGGGATGCTCTGTTCCACAGGGATGAAGAGTGCTTCCCAGGCCAGGCCAGGCCACTGAATGAGGCGAAACTGTGCTTGCTAGTACCACCAGCCTCCCTGATACCCTTCGGTGGGACTGACAAGGAGGCTTCCTGCCTGGGTCACTTGTGGCAGGATCCATCTTGCCAGTGCCCCTAGCCACCTGCTATCTCCCAGTGAAGGACAGGAGCCCCAGTAGACACAAGGAGAGCTTTCCCTATTCACATAGTACCCATGCCAGTGCTTCTGGGTTTGCCTAATGTTGGCAGGACTCCCATTCCATCTGGTGGGAGAATGCACCCACTTGGGGCACCTCCTGTTGCTAGGTTGTAGGTCAAGAAAAACAGGGCCTAGGCTGCCTTCTTATCTCAGGTGGGGGGCAGGTGTAAGACAACCCCTTCTATGCTGTTCTTCCAGTCCTGGGATCCCTCACCAGTTCACCTTCACCCTTCCAGTGTTCAGGGTTCTCCTCTCAGAGCCAGGGTTAACCTCTCCTCTCTCCTTTTCTGTTATTCCCAGGGTTTATAGTTGTGCTTAGCAGAGAGGAGCAGGGAGAAACAAGTCTACATCCTCTTGAATGAAGTAGAAAGTCTCATGCTGCTTGATCAATGTTTGAGTCTTTGTCTGCTCACCACATAATTGGCACCATAAGCTGAACATCACATCTTTTCTTACTCTTGCTCCAGAGCTCAGCACACTAATTTGCATGCAGGAGCTGCTCCATGACTATTTACCAAATAAATGAATGGATAGATGAATTTGTAAAAGGGATCTAGGCTAATTGTTGTCCCTTACTGAACTGAAAAATCAATGAATTTACTGTCTCCCCCTTTCCAGTCCCATCTTTGCTTAATCTCACGCCCCACGGCACATAGACACATAACCCTCATAAGCCCATCCGGATTCTCCCCATCCCATCCCACTGGCCTGTCCCCCATTCCACACCCCTGCCCATTTCTGTCTTCTGTCCCTTGAAATTCTCAACCACCGTTCACTGAAATAAAGGCTTTCATCATCCTTTGATGGGCTCAGCTCTCCATTGGCTTTGTCATTTCCTCCTACCCAGCTTCCTTCAATGCCCCCTTTCCACAGTAGTACATTTGATTGTTTGCTTATCATATAGGACACAATATGATGGTCATTTTTATATTGTATGATAAATATGATATAAATATAATACAAATATTTTATATATTAATGACAAATTATTTTCATGGTCTCTCACTCCCCCCATCCAACCGTGACATTAGGAGAGAACTGCATGAATTTTAACCATCCCTGGAATTTTGCTCCATCGCAGACCCCACAGCCCTGACAGCATGGATATGGTCAATTTATATTTGATTAACTGTAGACACAAAAGGGTCTCCATCAGTTCCAGCAGAGGGACATCTGAATGAGAGGGAATCTATCTATAGACATACACAAAGTCTCCCTGTCTGGACACAGATATGCTTCTCATAAGACATTAAACCCATTCAGAAATGGCAGTGAAACATGCGTAGATGGGAAGCAAGTGAGACCGAGGTGGTGGAAGATTTCATTGCTTGGGAAGAGTGGCATTAAGAAGTGGAGAGTGTCATGGAGGTTTGTGAAACTCCACCTAGATTCATCCGGAACACAATCTGTGCTCAATTAATCATGTCTGCCTTAGTTTGTGGGTGGAAGGTGGGAGGTGTCAACAAAACAGCCCTGTAACTGGTGAGTGATTTAGGAATGCATGCATCTGTCTTTAACTGAGCAGTGGTCTGTAAATGAACTTTTCTGTAATAAACAAGGCAAAGAGATTGCCTTTGGAGAGCACGTAGTGTTACTGGTGAACTAACCAAATAGTCGATGGTGGGCTTGAAATCCTTAGTAGGCCTTGCCTTGTCTCAGACAGAGAAACCCAAGGTTCCCTTCCAGGACAAGTTCCATCCTCATAAGATGCCAGGTAAGCTAGCAAAACAAAATCCCCTGTATGTTTTCTTCAGGGCTGAAGATTTGAAACATCGCTTTTAGTATGGAAGTGCCTTTTGTTTCTAGAAATGGGCTGGAAATGAGACTATTTTGGTGCCAACAAGAAACAAATGGAGCCAGAAAACTAGCCGAGTGATGCCTTCTTTGCCACCTGGCTTAGCCTCACCCATCTTTCCACTGCACTTGAGTCCCACGTCTTCTGGGAGGTCCCAGCTTCCATCCGGCTCACAGTGAGCTCTTCCTCTAAAGTCATCTATTACCACCCATGTCAGGGGTTACCAATTGCCATACTGAAGGCTGAATTTGGCCCACAGCCATGACTGGGTTGGATGGGACTGTGTTTTTAGATTTGTTCAATTTGAAGCTAACTTTTTTTAAGTGGAAGAGTTTATATTTTTTAAAATCCCATTTTTCAGATTTCTTTGAAAAAATCAGAGGCTGTAACAGCATCACTGGTGACACCAGGCTAGAGGAGAGGAGTGGCTGATGGAGCCCTTAGGTGAAGCTCAGACTCTCCAACTTGCCACATCATCTTCTAGGCCCTGAGGGTTTTATTCTATTTCTCCCCTTCAGGTGTCACCAAGGATTGCCTTGTCCTGTAACATATATTTTATTTTTTCTCTCTTTTTTTTTTTTTTTTTTTTGGCAACAAAGCCTCACTCTGTCACCCAGGCTGGAGTGCAGTGGCACAATCTTGGCTCACTGCAACGTCTGCCTCCCGGGTTCAAGCGATTCTCATGCCTCAGCCTCTTGAGTAGCTGGGATTACAGACACGCACCATCATGCCTGGTTAATTTTTGTATTTTTAGTAGAGACAGGGTTTCACTATGTTGGTCAGGCTGGTTTCGAACTCCTGGCCTCAAGTGATCCACCCACCTTGGCCTCTCAAAGTGCTGGGATTACAGGTGTGAGTCACCGTGCCCGGCCCTGTAATATATATTTTCTTATGTGTTCATCTTATCTCCCTAAAAATATAAAATGCAAAAAGGCAAGAAGAGTATTTAACCCCCCACCTTTGCATTCTGCCCCTTTCCTACCCTATCCAGTGCACCGAAGCTCCTCTTCTCATCCACATGCCTAAACACTGGGTACAGTGACAAAAATTCCTACCATTTATTGAGTACTTACTATGTGCCGCCTCTGAGCTCAACACTTAAAAACTCACATCTCAGTCCAAGTCACCATTTTGATTAGGGAATTATTATCCCCATTTTACAGATGAGCAAACTGTAGCTCAGTAAAATAAAGCAGTTGCCCCACATGTCCCACCTGGCTATATCTAGGATCTGAACTCAGCTCTTCCTGTTTCCCGAGCTCATATTCTTTTTGATGCATGACACCATCTTTCTATAAATATGTAGCATGGACCGTGCCTGGCTACCTGTCAGGACCCACTAGGAGTTGCATTGCCAGTACAGGCCTAGTTTGCCATCTAGCTTCAGTTGGAGAGTAAAGGCAGGAGAATGTTGGATAAAACACTTGTTCTCAAATTGGGGGAATTTTCCTCCAGAGAACATTTGACAATGTCTGGAGACATTTTTGGTTGTCACAGGCAGGGCAGGGAGTGCCACTGCTGTCTAGTGAGTAGAAGCCAGGGATAATGCTAAACATCCTACAATGACCAGGCACAGTGTCTTGTACCTGTGATCCCAGCACTTTGGGAGGCCAAGGTGGGCAGAACGCTTGAGCCAAGGAGTTCAAGACCAGCCTGGGCAACATGTCAGAACCCTTTATCTACAAAATATACAGAACTTAGCCAAGCATGGTGTTGTGCACCTTTGGTCTCAGCTAATCAGGAGGCTAAAGCAGGAGGATCGATCACCTGAGCCCGGGAGTTTGAGCTACAGTGAGCCATGATGACACCATTGCACTCCAGCCTGGGTAATAGAGTGAGATCTTGTCTCCAAAAGTAACCCAAAAAAACAATGGGACAGAGAATGATTCTGTCTCAAGTGTCAACAGTGGCAAAGCTGAGAACCTCTGAGTAAGAGATCCCATTCTATCTGCAGGTTAGCTCCCAGAGTTCTATACTGGGCTTGGGTTACAGACATTCTGTCAAGAATTATATGTTCATTTTGTTCCCAGAGCCTTGGCATTCTCCATCAATTTTGAGGCCGTCTTTGAAATTTCATATTATTCGTCAAGAGCCATCTACTAACAATTGCTAATTTTCTCTCTCTTATTTAAGGTAAAATTAGAGTCTTTCTGGGGTGAGTGTATCCATAGGGTTATCATGGTTGATACTCACCCCAAAACTTTCTGACTTCCTCCCAGAAAGGGCTTTTTAATACCAGCCAAGAATAATAGCATTTAAGGAACATAAACCACCTCTTGCTACTCAAAATGTACCCTTCATTTTAATTCGCTTGAAGCATTTTCTCCAGTTACTTTATTACCATGGGACACTTTCTAAATAGACCAAGGGATCATCTTCCAAACAGGAAAATATTTGAATAGCCCCACCAAGTCTGTAGATCATCTAAGGCTGATACTATTATTAGATAAAAGTTAAGCAATTAATCCCTAAAAACTTCCTAAGAACTGGGGTCACATGGGTTCCTTCATTAGAATCCAGGTATGGCTTAATCAAAACTTATCAGGACTCTTGAAGTCAAGGGTCCCCAACCCCTGGGCAACAGACTGACACTGGTCTGTGGCCTGTTAGGAACTGGGCTGCACAGCAGGAGATGGGTGGCAGGCCAGGGAACATTACCACCTGAGCTCTGCCCCCTGTCAGATCAGCAGTGGCATTAGATTCTCACAGGAGCACAAACCCTATTGTGAACTGTACATGTGAGGAATCTAGGTTGCAGCTCCATCTGAGAATCTAATGCCTAATGCTTGATCATCTGAGGTGGAACCGTTTCATCTCAGAACCATCCCCCTTGCCCCAACTGGTCAGTGGAAAAATTATCTTCCACAAAACCAGTCTCTGGTGCCAAAAAGGTTGGGAACCATTGTGCTAAGTCATGATTCAACTGCGTCATGAAACTGAAAAGCTTAGAGGAAGGGTGACTTCAGGCATGGCTGGATCCAGGTGTTCAGAAAGCATCACCAGGATCTGTTGTCTCTTAATTTATCTGCCCTACTTCCTCTGTGTTGGCTTCACTCTCAGACTTTATTCTCATGGCTGCCCTCATCAGTGTAGTAGTTCTAGTCCAGTGGGGAAAAGGCAGTGACAGTCCTAATAAAAGTCTCAGTGTGCTTCTGATGGAATCATATGCGCATTCCTGAGCCAATTACTGAGGCCAGGGGAATGTGGCACTCCACTTGGCTGGTGCCTCATGGGTACTGTTAGTGGGGGATGGGTCCTGGCAGCCAAAATCTGTGACCAGTTAAGAGCAAAATCAGTAGCACCCATTCAGCAAGGGTTTCAGCCTGAAGAATCAAGCACTTAGCAGGAGTTCACCAGGAGGGACAGGCCTGGCCCTGACTTGCTGAGCGACCCTGAGGAGGACACCTGTCCCCCAAAGACCCTCAAAGTCCCATCCACTGCAGAATACTTTCCTCCATGGATGCCCTCAACACTGGCTTCAGTTAGAGACCAAGTGCTCCACCAAACACAGCAAAAGAAGAAAAACAGGACAAGGGTCAGCAGAACCTTCCTGCTGCTTTATGTCTTTTCTGGCAGTTACGACCAGCAAATCACTCAGGAAAATCTGCTGGGTTTAAAATTTCATGGTAGCATAAACCACTCATTTGAGTAGATTCTGATTAATACCCTTTAACACCAAAAGGGTCCTGTGGCAAGGAGAACAGCCTGAGGAAGAAGTCCTCCAGGGTCTGATGAAGATGGATGGAAAGAAGAAACAGACAACAGCGTGTATACTGGGCCAGAAAGGCTTGTCTTTTCCCCATGGGATAAAATCATTTTCTGGTGGTCAGATTGGGTGGAGTGAGGAACTGTTATCAATATTATGATAAAATTATGTTCTTTGCTGAAAGCATGCAGCCTGTAATTATTGATTTCATCCCCTGACGTGGCCAATTATGGGTACATATATGGGTAGTAACTCAGTTGGGCTCTTGGCATTACCTACCAAAAAGAGTTGGCTAGAAATACTCGGGTGGCTATTAGAAAAGTAGGATAAGCACGAAGTCATGTGGTATGTGATGCACTGAGGTTGTAATTGCATTACCCAGCAGAGTCTGTGGATCTCTTAGTAAATCCATTGTCTCTAAGCCTAAAACTGAAAAGGCTTGATTTCCATCTAGAGAGTGACAGGGGATTAGATGGTAAGGCCTATGATTTCTTCCAATTGAAGCGCATTACTCAACAGTCAAAGGTGACAACATGTGGTCACATTTGAGCCAGAGCCTCAGAGCTGAAGAGGGAATTAATAAATGGAAGACAGGAAAGCATTCCAAATGTAGTCCAAAAATAAAGAGATGGATGATATGCACAACAGGTTAAGAGACATGGAAAATAGAGTGAGAAGGTTTAACATAAGTTTAATCCAAGTTCTGGAAGGTGATAAAAGACAAAATGGGAAAGTACTATCAAAGAGATAATGTTACCAATTTTCAAATTTAGCATATACCATAGATGCTCCATGGTGAAGCTGCTGAAAACCAAAGAAAATGAAACCATTTTAAAAGCCGGCAGTGATAAAACACAGATTGCCTACAAAGGAGCAGCCTTTGGAATGGCTGCTGACTTTTCACCCACAAGGATACCCAAAGGAGTGGATTACCTTCAGAGGGCTGAGAAAAGTTGCTGTCAACCTAGAGAGATTAATACCAAGTGAAACTCTCAACAATGATGGTAAAATAAAGATAGAAACAAAAAAATGGAGAGTATTTATTCACAAAATAGAAACCTACAAAATAATCCTTAAAACCTAAATTCTAAAGGATATATGTTGGGCAGAAGAAAAAATTATGCCAGATGCAAATGTGATGTATGAAGGAAGAAAAAGTAAAGACATGGGTAAATTAGTAGGCTGATCTAAACAAATATTAATCTTATAAAGTGATAATAAAAGTAATATCAGATGAAATGCAGCAAAGCAATAACACAAGCTGAAACAAAGATGCTGGACTATATTAGTAAAAGAACTCCAGCTGAAACCAAACTAATAAATAATAATGAAAGAAGGATGATCTGGAAATGAAATCACCCAAAAGTCTGTGGATTATTCAGGAGGATGAAAACCATATTAATTAAATTTGGATTTTGTTAAGCTAAGTATGCTTATGAAAACTGTGAGTGTAACTACTAAAAGAATGAGCTTGGAACATACATCCACTGAAGAAGTAGCAACTAAAGATGAAATAAAGAAAAGAAGTCAAAAGAGGGCAAAAAGAAGAATCAGAAGACGTAAGATAAATCAAAAGCACATAATGAGGTTGTAGCAATAAACTTAAATGCATCAGGATTCACAATTTATACAAATGGATTGGTATTTCTAAATAAAAGACAAAAACTTCCAGGCAGAGCTGGATTTTTAAAGCTCAATTGTATGCTGATATAAAAAAAACAAAAAACTTAGACATGGAAGAAGTAGACAAATCCACCAGTATAACAGAAATTGTTTTAACGTAACTCTCTCAATAATTGACAGATCAAGCAGACCAATAAATCATTCATAATTCAAAAAAGACAATTAAAAATCCTGATTTAATAGGTTACATAAACATTGAGCCAGTCATGGGGGCTCACACCTCTAATCCTAGCACTTTGAGAGGCTGAGGCAGGAGGATCACTTGAGCCCAGGAGTTCAAGACCAGCTTGGGCAACATAGGGCGATCCTGTCTCTACAAAATATAAAAAAATTAGCCAGTTGTAGTGGCATGCCTACGGTCCCAGCTACTTGGGAGGCTGAGATGGGAGGAGAGCTTGAGCTGGGGAGGTCAAGGGATGAGCCAATGCCACTGCACTCCAGGGTGACAGAGCAAAACCCTGTCTCAAAAACAAACAACAAACCAACACTGAAACCAGCAATTGGAGCATACACATCCTTTTCAAGCACAAAAACTTGCCACATATTGTGCCACAAAGTGAGCCTCAAAAACTTCATAAACTTTATATCCTCTGCACCATATTCTCTGACCAATATGTGCTTAAGTTAGAAAATGTGGGGGAAAAAAGAGAAAAACTGCATATATTTGGAAATGTTAAAAAAAACCTAATGTGTCAATGAAGAAATAATCATGGAAATCAGAAAATGCTTACAATTAAATATATAGGAGGCAGCTAATGCAGTATTACAGAGGAATTGTACTTTCAGTGTTTCATTAGAAATAAGAAAGCCTCTGATTTAGTGAACTAAGCTCACTGATTTAGTGAACTAAGCATTCAACTGAAAGAATTAGGAGGGAAATGCCAAAAGAAAAACAAGGAGAATAAAAGGAAAGAAATAATGAAAGTAAAAATCAACAAAATAGGAAACAAAAACATATGAGTGAAGGTCAACAAAGCTAGAAGTTGGTTCTTTGAAAAGACTAATAATACACAGAAAATTATTGTTAAAAATTAATCAGTAGAAACAGAGAATGTGGAAATAATATTACAAGTGAAAGAGAACATTACAAGTGCTGCAGAGATTAATAGTTAATAGGTTATTATGGATAACTTTATGCCAATAAACTTATAAGTTTTCATAAAATGGATAAATTTCTAGAAAAACAAAACCTACCAAAATTGATTCAAGAAAGGAGAAAAAGTGGAAATAGTCTGATCACTGTTTTTAAGATCATATTAATAGCTCAACATGTTAAGAAAAGAAAACACTGGACCCAGATGGCTTTACAGGCATGTTCTACCAAACAGATAGGAACAGATCATTTCACATTTACACAGACTTTTACAGAGAATTCTTTTTATTAGGCTGATTCCAAACAAGACAGGAACAGTACAAAAGGCCAATTGCACTCATGAGCATAAATGAAAAAATGTAAATAAAATATTGGCAAACCAAATTCAGAAATATATAAAAACAATGAAACATCATCAGGTTTTACTGAAACACAAGGTTGACATTTGGGTTTGTCTGTGAACTGTAACATTTATTGAATATAGAAAATAAATTAATACAATTCATTGTATTAACAAATTAGAAAAAAAACCATGATTATCCTAGTAAATAAATGCAAAAAAGGCTTTCTATAAAATATAATCCAATAAAGTGAACCTATAACGAAACTGCTGCAAACAAAATCCTTAATGACAATAGTTGAAAAGTATTCTGTCTAAAAATATTTTTAGAAATCAATATAAGAGAATAACTTTATTATCTGAGTGAAGAAAACATTTTTAAAATAAGATACAAGCACAACAAAGTAAAAGACTAAAGTTTTGACAACGTGAAAATTGAGAAGTGTTTCATGAAAAACAACAAACAGAGAAGATTTTTGCAACACAGAACCAACAGGGAATTAGTATACAGAAAAGACAAGGGATTCCTTTAAAAATCCATGATCAGAAGTCATAACTCCATAGAAAAAATTCATAAACAGGAATTTAATAGGGAGGAAATAAACCATAAACATCTTAAAAGTTGATCAACCTTGATTAATTATTAGATAAATGTGAATTTAAATCACATTGGGATGTTACTTCAGATGGGGAATAATTTAAAAATCTGACCACACCAGAAGCAGGCAAGAACGTGGAGCAATGAGAATTCTCATTATGTTGTTAATGGAAATATGGATTGGTATAGCCACTTGAAAAGCATTTTGATATTAATCAGTAAACGTGGC
Source organism: Homo sapiens (assembly GCF_000001405.40). NCBI lineage: Eukaryota > Metazoa > Chordata > Mammalia > Primates > Hominidae > Homo > Homo sapiens. Next base: position 55,381,632 of record NC_000003.12, read on the forward strand.
TATGCACAAGCACCAAGACCCAGAAATTTCAACCTTTGGTTGAAAAACTCTTGCAAGAAACTCTCTCTCAGAAAACTCTTAAAAATGTGTGTCAGGAAACATTTACAAAAATGATATGGCAAGATTGTTCATCAAAGTGAAAAACTGGAAACAATGTCCATCAATAGGAGAAGAAACAGGTCAACTGTGGCCCATTTGGACCATGAACACAGAAGTTAAAAGGAATCAGCTAGCAACTGATGCCTTGACACCAATGAATCTCAATGCAATGAAAGACAAGTTACAAAAGAATGCAAATAAAACTGATTTACGTTAAGTTCAAATTCAAAGTAATGGTTTAATTATTAGGGGATTTGTAAATAATGGAACAACCACAAAGAAAAGCAAGGGAATAAGAAATTTACAATTCCGAGTATTGGTCATCTTAGATGGAGGTAAGAAATGAGATGCAATCAAGGGGATGCCCAAAGAGGGTTTGGAAGGTATTGGAATTTTTTAAATTAACATGGGTACTCAAGGTTTATTCTGTTATTCCTTCTTAAACTGTGCCCACGCATTTCACAAGTTTTGTGTTTGTAATATTTTCCACTTAAAATAGCACTTAAAACTAAACAGCATTTTCTCAACATTAGAAAGACTCTAAAAATAAGCAGGACTTTGTTTTAATGTGTGTTTTCAATGTCCTTAAATCAACTGGCAGTACTGTGCTCTTTGAAAAAAAATGCTGTAATTCCCAATGAAATGAAGAACAGGATAGTGATATCATTACTATTATTTCACAGTCTTTACAATGTAGCCAGTGAAATTGGATGACAATATTAAATTAAAAGTATTGGAAAGGAAAGAGCATAGCTATTAATTTTCATAGGTTTTTACTTGGCCTTGAAAAGTCAAGAGAATCCGAAAGTTAGTTTTTTAAAAAATAAAATATATTTAATGAAAAATTAACAGAGCCAGGAAGATAATTAAGTAAATTGCTCTGGATTAAAATAAGTATATAAAAATAAATAAAATTGTATGCAGTGTCTTATTAAAAATAAACCAGAAAAATATCAGATGCAAAACATACTTTAAAAACATAAGATACCTAGAAATAAACAGTACAACATATTCAGGAACTACCTAAATAAAACTACATAATTATATTATAAAACTATATAACATAATTATAGGCCACGTTCAGGACCTAGCTAAGTAAAACTATATAATTTATACAAATAAAGACAAATAAATTAAGAAATGTACCATATATACTTTTGTGTAGGAAAACATAATATTATACCTACTTTCTTCAAAACTAATCTAAAAAGTAAATACAATCTCATTATCTAGGGACTTGACAAAAGTGTTCTGAAATTAGTCTGAAAAATAATCAGTGAATTTTGTAAGGAAAAATTTGTTTTTTTATTTTCTTTTGCGATGGAGTCTCGCTCTGTAGCCCAGGCTGGAGCACAGTGGTGCTATCTCGGCTCACTGTAGCCTCCACCTCCCAGGTTCAAGCGATTCTCCTGCCTCAGCCTCCCAAGTAGCTGGGACTACAGGTGCGCAACATGACATTTGGCTAATTTTTGTATTTTTAGTACAGGTGGGATTTCACCATGCTGGTCAGACTAGTCTCAAACTCCTGATCTTAAGCGATCCACCAACCTTGGCATCCCAAAGTGCTGGGATTACAGGCATGAGCCATGGCACCCAATGGAAAAAATTCTTAAAAAGAAGAGTAATGCTACAGCAGAGATTTATCAAACTCCTAGATATTAAAATACATCATAAAATGCTGGTGTCTAAAACAATATGACATTTATTCAGTTTATAAGGATATTGTACACACATTAAAACTACAGGACACAAAAACAATGAGAAGAATCTTAGATGCAAGTAGGCAGAGGCCATTTCATGTACTAATGGGTGGCATTTTAACTGGCAGCAAACTTCTCAAAAACAACAGTATAGGTCAGATGTAAATTGAATAATGTGCTAAAAATAGTGAGCAAAAGTAAATAGTAAGCCTAGAATTTTCTCCTCAGCTAAATTGCCATTCAAGAGCCATAATAATAACATAAAAATACTCTCACACAAAGTCTGCAAAAATTTACCATTTAGAGACCCTTGCTGAAAGAACTATCCAAGAGTGGATCACTGAGAAAAGGAATCTAAACTTCATAGAAGAGAGTGGGATTAAAGAAGCAATGGTGAGCAAATCATGGAAATCTAAAGCAAGAACTGAGTATATAAATAATAATTAGTAGTATTAATTCTGTAGCAAAAAAAGGGTAAGACAAAACATGAGACCATACTAATACATAATTAAAGCAAGTTAATGAGTAAAACATGACATATGTTTTGATTTTAAGTTAAGCATTCTTGTTACAAATATTTATTGATTCCTGAAACTATATAAGAGAAATGTATAACTTGCCAACTAGAGGAGAAATTTAAGAAATTGTAAAGAAAACAGATCAAACAATCCAACAGAAGGAAGAAAAGGAGAAAAAAAGCATAAGGAATAAACAAGGTAAAGAAAATACCCAAATATACATAACTTTTACTTCTGTTTAAGTAGAAGGATATGATGCACCATTTCTCTTATGTTGACAACAAGGAAACAGCAGAAAAAAATAAAAATCATACTATTCTAAAAGGCTAGTAAAGAGCAGTTAGAAGCCTTGAATAACTGACTTGCAAAAAGGAAAGAGACCTTCATAAGTGAACAGAAAGCCTCAGCTTCAGTTTGGGTACAGACGGACAGAGGAGTGGGCTTCAACCATACACAGAGATACTTTGTGCAGATGAGAAAAAATCAGCCAAGCTTTAGTTGAAAACATGGACAGATGCAACTGAGTCTAAATGCAAAAGCAAATCACTTAGCCCAGCAATTCTCACCCATCTTCTACGCCCTCAAATTTTGCCAAGAAAGCTTCAATACAGGAGGGGCAAGAAAATAGGATTCATGAATCCTGCCAGAGTTGAATTCAAAGATAAAACAAAAAATATTTGAAACCACGATCCAACCCCCTCCCAGCTCAAAAACTGGCAAAATCAAAAACAGTGATGACGTAATGAGAATAGCACTCTACCTCAGTGGTTTTTCTCCCCAAAACCCAAATCCAATCATGAGAAAAACATCAAACAAATCTCAAATGAGGTGTATTCTATAAAATACCTGACCAGTACTCCACAAAATTGTCAAGATCATAAAAACAAGGAAGTTCTGAGAAATGGCCATAGACCAGAGGAGACTCAAGAGTCAGGATGACTAAATGCAATATTGTATCTTGGATGGGATCCTGCAACTGCACAGGGACATTAGTGGGAACACTGGTGACATCTGAATAAACTCTGGAGTTTAGTTAATAGTAGTGTACCAATGCTGGTTTCTTAGTTGTGACAAATGTATCATGGTAACGCAAGATGTTAATAAATGATGAACTGGGTGAAGGGTGTACAGGACATCTCTGTACTATCCTTTCAACTTTTCTATAAATCTGAAACTATTCTAAAAAACGTTCTTTTTTAAAAAAAACCATCTATTTACAAAATACAAAACAGTTGTGAGTAAATTAAATAAAAGATACAGATAATTGGCATACTGATAACTAGAAAATATAGCTTGGAAGAATTTTGAAAAGACCTAAGTAAAGAGAAATACTGTGTTCATGGATTCAAAGTCTCAATATTGTTAAGATATCGTTTCTCTCCCAAACTGATCAACTGATTTAATGTAATCCCAATCTAAATCCCAGTGGGCTTTTTTTTTTTTTTTTTGTAGAAATTGATGGGCCGATTCTAGGATTTGAAATAATATCCAAAACAACTTTGATTAAAAAACAACAAAGTTAGAGGACTTACACTGCCTGATCCCAAGATTTCCTTGAAAGAGTAAGAGTAATCAAGACAGTATGATAATGACATAAGTATAGATATATGGAAATAGAACAGAAATAAACATACATATAGATGATCAATCAATGTATAGCAAAAGGTGGCGAGGGTGAATTAATAAAGGATGGTCTTTTCAACAAATGGTGCTAGAAAAATTGGATATATTTATTGTAAAAAATGAGCATCAACCCTTACATATAACCTAAACAAAAATGAATACAAAGTGGCTACAGAACTGAAGGTAAAAACTAAAACTATCAATTTTAATTTAGGACACAATTATTGCAAGTTTGAAGTAGGTGAATATTTTTTTGCTGGGAGAAAAGTAGTATGAGTTATGGGAATAACTCATAAAATGGAGTTCATAAAACTCAAAAACATCCATTCTTCCAAAGTTACCAATAAGATAATTAAAAGATAGGATATATACTGGGGGAAAATACAATACATACATCTATCAAAGAGTAAAGAGCCAGGTGGAATGGTGCACACCTGCAGTCCTAGCTACTCCGAAGGCTGGGGCGAGAGGATCACTTGAGCTCAGGAGTTTCAGGCTGCAGTGAGCTATGATGGTGCCACTGCACTCTAGCCTGGTTTGCAGAACAAGACTCTGTCTCTTAAAAAAAGTTGTTTAAGTATAAAGAACACATAAAATTCAATAATAGTAAGATTAGCAATCCAATAGAGTAAAAACTTCAAAATATAATTCACAAAAATAGATATATAAAAGGCCAATTAGAACATAAATCAATATCTTTTGTCACTAAAGAAATTCAAATTAAAACTACAAAGGGGGCCAGGCATGGTGGCTCATGCCTGTAATCGCAGCACTTTGGGAGGCCAAGGCGGGAGGATCACAAGGTCAGGAGATCAAGATCATCCTGGCTAACATGGTGAAACCCTGTCTCTACTAAAAATACAAAAAATTAGCCAGGCGTGGTGGTGGGCACCTGTAGTCCCAGCTACTTGGGAGGCTGAGGCAGAAGAATGGTGTGAACCCGGGAGGCGGAGCTTGCAGTGAGCCAAGATCGCGCCACTGCACTCCAGCCTGGGTGACAGAACAAGACTCTGTCTCAAAAACAAAACAAAACAAACAAAAAACTACAAAAGGGTATCACTACCCACTCCAGAAATTTTAGCAACTTGACATTGATAATACCCAGTATTAACAACAATGTGGAGAAATTGCTGGCAATGTAAAATGATGCAACAACTCTGAGAAACAGTTTGGTAACAACTTATAAAGAGGTAACATCCACTGATCATATGATCCAGTGATTTTACTCCTAGATAATTATCTGAGAGAAATGAAAATACATGTTCACAAAAATATCTAGGACACAACTTTTCATAGAGGCTTCATTTCTAAGAGTCAAAAATTGTAAGCAACTCTACTATCCATCAAGAACAGAAGGGATTAACACACTGTGGTATATTCATACAATGAAATATTCCACACTAAGAAAAAGAATCTAACTCTGATTCATGCAACCATGTGGACAGATTTCAAAAATACTATTTTTTGCAAAAGAAGCAGGCACGATAGAGTATATACTGTAGGATTTCATTTATATGAAGCTTGAGAACAGGTAAAACTTATCTATGTGATGGAAATCAGAAGAGTGGTTGCTTCTGGATGGAGAAAGAATTAACAAAGGATCATGAGGAAACTTTCTGGGGTAATACAAATATATCTTGATTTTGGAGTGTAGATTACAGAGGTACACTTAAGATTTATCTATATTACTCTATGTAAATTATACCTCAATAATAAAAATCAGTGAAGAGAGAGCATGTTAAATTCAACTGTACTTGTAACTGAAGTAAATGTAAACGGATTAAACTTGCCCATTAAAAGGCAGAGACCTTTAGTCTTGATTTTACAAAACAGAAAATTTAGCGATACACTGTTTACAATAGAAATGTTTAATCTATAAGGACAAATAAAATTTCAACATAAAGTGATGTAAAATTAAATACCAGGCAAACATTAATCAAATACATTTAATGTATTTCTATTAATATCACACAAAATTGACTATAAGGTCACACTATGAGGACAAAAGAAACAATTGGCTGGCAAATTATAATAAATCTGTACACATATGCACTTAATAACAAACAGAATAATGTATAAAGCAAATATTGATCATTACATTAAGAAATTGAAAAATCCCACTTTGGGAGGCTGAGGCAGGTGGATCACCTGAGGTAAGGAGTTTGAGACCAGCCTGGCCAACATGGTGAAACCTAATCTCTACTAAAAATACAAAAATTAGCTGGGTGTGGTGGCACGTGCCTGTAGTCCCAGTTACTTGGGAGGCTGAAGCAGAAGAATCACTTGAACCCAGGAGATGGAGGTTGCAGTTAGTCGAGATCATGCCACTGCACTCCAGCCTGGATGACAGAGTGAAACTCCATCTTAGAAAAAAGAAAAATTGAAAAATCCATAATTATAGTATGAATTTTAGCATACCTCTTTAAATGGCTGGGAGATCAAGCAGATAAAAATTTTTAAGTATATAGTAGTCTTGAGCATCATTGTTGTAAAAAATTGTTCTAATGGAGACATATATATATATGGCATCTGCCCCCAAGATTATTTTCAAGCACACATTATATCAATATAGATAGAAAGGTAAATAGATAACGAAGCACAAAACAACGAATACCAAAGTGCTGATACCTACAGAACACATCGCCTGACTAGAACATAATTAGCTCAGATACCATTGAGAAAAATAAAAATACATTTATGTATTTTGAATTTTTTTTTTTTTTTGAGATGGAGTTTCACTCTGTTGCCAAGGCTGCAGTGCAGTGGTGCGATCTTGGCTCACTGAAACCTCTGCCTCCTGGTTCAAGCAGTTCTCCTGCCTTAGCCTCCCAAGTAGCTGGGATTACAGGTGCCTGCCATCACACCTGGCTAAATTTTGTTTTTTTTTTTTTGTTTTTTTTTTTTTTTTTTAGCAGAGATGGGGTTTCACCATGTTGGCCAGGCTGGTCTCGAACTCCTGACCTTGGGTGATCCACCTGCCTTGGCCTCCCAAAGTGCTAGGATTACAGGCGTGAGCCACCGGGCAAGGCTATTTTGAAATTTAAAAAGAAAAGACTTTCAGAGAATTCATGACTTATATAAAATATTGTAATAATATAAATTAGAAAATGAAAAAATGTTTAAAAATTATACATATCCATGTGGCATACATATAAATTAGGACTTAGTGGGTGGAGCCAAGATGGCCCAATAGGAACAGTTCCAGTCTACAGCTCCCAGCGTGAGCGACACAGAAGACGGGTGATTTCTGCATTTCCAACTGAGGACCGGGTTCATCTCAGTGGGGAGTGTCGGACAGTGGGTGCAGCACACCGAGCGTGAGCCAAAGCAGGGTGAGGCATCGCCTCATCCGGGAAGCACAAGGGATCAGGGAAATCCCTTTCCTAGTCAAAGAAAGGGGTGACAGACGGCACCTGGAAAATCGGGTCACTCGCACCTTAATACTGCGCTTTTCCAACAGTCTTAGCAAATGGCACACCAGGAGATTATATTCTGCGCCTGGCTCGGAGGGGCCTACACCCACGGAGCCTTGCTTATTGCTAGCACAGCAGTCTGAGATCAAACTGCAAGGCAGCAGAGAGGCTGGGGGAGGGGTGCCCGCCATTGCCGAGGCTTCAGTAGGTAAACAAAGTGGCCGGGAAACTCGAACTGGGTGGAGCCCACTGCAGCTCAAGAAGGCCTGCCTGCCACTGTAGACTCCACCTCTGGGGGCAGGGCATAGCCAAACAAAAGGCAGCAGAAACCTCTGCACACTTAAATGTCCCTGTCTTATAGCTTTGAAGAAAGTAGTGGTTCTCCCAGCACGCAGCTGGAGATCTGAGAATGGACAGACTGCCTCCTCAAGTGGGTCCCTGACCCCCAAGTAGCCTAACTGGGAGACACCTCCAAGTAGGGGCCGACTGACAGCTCATACAGCTGGGTGCCCCTCTGAGACAAAACTTCCAGAGAAATGATCAGGCAGCAACATTTGCTGTTCACCAATATCCGCTGTTCTGCAGCCTCCGCTGCTGATATCCAGGCAAACAGGGTCTGGAGTGGACCTCCAGCAAACTCCAACAGACCTGCAGCTGAGGGTCCTGACTGTTAGAAGGAAAACTAACAAACAGAAAGGACATCCACACCAAAACCACATCTGTATGTCACCATCAACAAAGACCAAAGGTAGATGAAACCACAAAGATGGGTAAAAAACAGAGCAGAAAAACTGGAAACTCTAAAAATCAGAGCACCTCTCCTCCTCCAGAGGAACACAGCTCCTCACCAGCAACGGAACAAAGCTGGATGGAGAATGACTTTGATGAGTTGAGAGAAGAAGGCTTCAGACGATCAAACTACTCTGAGCTAAAGGAGGAAGTTCGAACCCATGGTAAAGAAGTTAAAAACCTTGAAAAAAAATTAGATGAATGGCTAACTAGAATAACCAATGCAGAGAAGTCCTTAAAGGACCTGATGGAGCTGAAAACCACAGCAAGAGAAATATGTGACGAATGCACAAGTCTCAGTAGCCGATGTGATCAACTGTAAGAAAGGGTTTCAGTGATGGAAGATCAAATGAATGAAATGAAACGAGAAGAGAAGTTTAGAGAAAAAAGAATACAAAGAAACAAACAAAGCCACCAAGAAATATGGGACTATGTGAAAAGACCAAATCTACGTCTAATCGGTGTACCTGAAAGTGACAAGGAGAATGGAACCAAGTTGGAAAACACTCTGCAGGATATTATCCAGGAGAACTTCCCCAATCTAGCAAGGCAGGCCAACATTCACATTCAGGAAATACAGAGAACGCCACAAAGATACTCCTCGAGAAGAGCAACTCCAAGACACATAATTGTCACATTCACCAAAGTTGAAATGAAGGAAAAAATATTAAGGGCAGCCAGAGACAAAGGTCGGGTTACCCACAAAGGGAAGCCCATCAGACTAACAGCTGATCTCTTGGCAGAAACTCTACAAGAGAGAAGAGAGTGGGGGCCAATATTCAACATTCTTAAAGAAAAGAATTTTCAACCAGAATTTCATATCCCCAAACTAAGCTTCAGAAGTGAAGGAGAAATAAAATACTTTACAGACAAGCAAATGTTGAGAGATTCTGTCATCACCAGGCCTGCCCTAAAAGGGCTCGTGAAGGAAGCACTAAACATGGAAAGGAACAACCGGTACCAGCCACTGCAAAAACATGCCAAAGTGTAAAGACCATGGAGGCTAGGAAGAAACTGCATCAACTAATGAGCAAAATAATCAGCTAACATCATAATGACAGGATCAAATTCACACATAACAATATTAATCTTACAGGTAAATGGGCTAAATGCTCCAATTAAAAGACACAGACTGGCAAATTGGATAAAGAGTCAAGACCCATCAGTGTGCTGTATTCAGGAAACCCATCTCACGTGCAGAGACACACATAGGCTCAAAATAAAGGGATGGAGGAAGATCTACCAAGCAAATGGAAAACAAAAAAAGGCAGGGGTTGCAATCCTAGTCTCTGATAAAACAGACTTTAAACCAACAAAGATCAAAAGAGACAAAGAAGGCCATTACATAATGGTAAAGGGATCAATTCAACAAGAAGGGCTAACTATCCTAAATATATATGCACCCAATACAGGAGCACCCAGATTCATAAAGCAAGTCCTTAGTGACCTACAAAGAGACTTAGACTCCCACACAATAATGGGAGACTTTAACACCCCACTGTCAATATTAGACAGATCAACGAGACAGAAAGTTAACAAGGATATCCAGGAATTGAACTCAGCTCTGCACCAAGCAGACCTAATAGACATCTACAGAACTCTCCACCCCAAATCAACAGAATATACATTCTTTTCAGCACCACACCACACCTATTCCAAAACTGACTACATAGTTGGAAGTAAAGCACTCCTCAGCAAATGTAAAAGAACAGAAATTATAACAAACTGTCTCTCAGACAACAGTGCAATCAAACTAGAACTCAAGATTAAGAAACTCACTCAAAACCACTCAACTACATGGAAACTGAACAACCTGCTCCTGAATGACTACTGGGTACATAATGAAATGAAGGCAGAAATAAAGATGTTCTTTGAAACCAACCAGAACAAAGATACAACATACCAGAATCTCTGGGACACATTCAAAGCAGTGTGTAGAGGGAAACTTATAGCACTAAATGCCCACAAGAGAAAGCAGTAAAGATCTAAAATTGACACCCTAACATCACAATTAAAAGAACTAGAGAAGCAAGGCAAGAAATAACTAAGATCAGAGCAGAACTGAAGGAAATAGAGACACAAAAAACCCTTCAAAAAATCAATGAATCCAGGAGCTGGTTTTTTGAAAAGATCAACAAAATTGATAGACCGCTAGCAAGACTAGTAAAGAAGAGAAGAGAGAAGAATCAAATAGACGCAAAAAAAAAAAATGATAAAGGGGATATCACCACTGCTCCCACAGAAATACAAACTACCATCAGAGAATACTATAAACACCTCTACACAAATAAACTAGAAAATCTAGAAGAAATGGATAAATTCCTTGACACATACACCCTCCCAGGACTAAACCAGGAAGAAGCTGAATCTCTGAATAGACCAATAACAGGCTCTGAAATTGAGGCAATAATTAATAGCTTACCAACCAAAAAAAAGTCCACGACCAGATGGATTCACAGCCGAATTCTACGAGAGGTACAAGGAGGAGATGGTACCATTCCTTCTGAAACTATTCCAATCAATAGAAAAAGAGGGAATCCTCCCTAACTCACTTTATGAGGCCAGCATCATCCTGATACCAAAGCCTGGCAGAGACACAACAAAAAAAGAGAATTTTAGACCAATATCCCTGATGAACATTGATGCAAAAATCCTCAATAAAATACTGGCAAACCGAATCCAGCAGCACATCAAAAAGCTTATCCACCATAATCAAGTGGGCTTCATCCCTGGGATGCAAGGCTGGTTCAACATATGCAAATCAATAAACATAATCCAGCATATAAACAGAAACAACGGCAAAAACCACATGATTACCTCAATAGATGCAGAAAAGGCCTTTGACAAAATTCAACAACGCTTCATGCTAAAAACTCTCAATAAATTAGGTATTGATAGGACGTATCTCAAAATAATAAGAGCTATCTATGACAAACCCACAGCCAATATCATACTGAATGGGCAAAAACTGGAAGCATTCCCTTTGAAAACTGGCACAAGACACGGATGCCCTCTCTCACCACTCCTATTCAACATAGTGTTGGAAGTTCTGGCCAGGGCAATTAGGCAGGAGAAGGAAATAAAGGGTATTCAATCAGGAAAAGAAGAAGTCAAACTGTCCCTGTTTGCAGATGACATGATTGTATATCTAGAAAACCCCATTGTCTCAGCCCAAAATCTCCTTAAGCTGATAGGCAACTTCAGCAAAGTCTCAGGATACAAAATCAATGTGCAAAAATCACAAGCATTCTTATACACCAATAACAGACAAACAGAGAGCCAAATCATGAGTGAACTCCCATTCATAATTGCTTCAAAGAGAATAAAATACCTAGGAATCCAACTTACAAGGGATGTGAAGGACCTCTTCAAGGAGAACTACAAACCACTGCTCAAGGAAATAAAAGAGGATACAAACAAACGGAAGAACATTCCATGCTCATGGGTAGGAAGAATCAATATCGTGAAAATGGCCATACTGCCCAAGGTAATTTACAGATTCAATGCCATCCCCATCAAGCTACCAATGACTTTCTTCAGAGAATTGGAAAAAACTACTTTAAAGTTCATATGGAACCAAAAAAGAGCCCACATTGCCAAATCAATCCTAAGCCAAAAGAACAAAGCTGGAGGCATCACTCTACCTGACTTCAAACTATACTACAAGGCTACAGTAACCAAAACAGCATGGTACTGGCACCAAAACAGACATATAGACCAATGGAACAGAACAGAGCCCTGAGAAATGAGGCCGCATATCTACAACTATCTGATCTTTGACAAATATGAAAAAAACAAGCAATGGGGAAATGATTCCCTATTTAATAAATGGTGCTGGGAACACTGGCTAGCCATATGTAGAAAGCTGAAACTGGATCCCTTCCTTACACCTTATACCAAAATTAATTCAAGATGGATTAAAGACTTAAATGTTAGACCTAAAACCATAAAAACCCTAGAAGAAAACCTAGGCAATACCATTCAGGACATAGGCATGGGCAAGGACTTCATGTCTAAAAGACCAAAAGCCAAAATTGACAAATGGGATCTAATTAAACTAAAGAGCTTCTGCACAGCAAAAGAAACTACCATCAGAGTGAACAGGAAACCTACAGAATGGGAGAAAATTTTTGCAATCTACTCATCTGACAAAGGGCTAATATCCAGAATCTACAATGAACTCAAACAAATTTACAAGAAAAAAACAACCCCAACAAAAAGTGAACAAAGGATATGAACAGACACTTCTCAAAAGAAGACATTTATGCAGCCAAAAGACACATGAAAAAATGCTCATCATCACTGGCCATTAGAGAAATGCAAATCAAAACCACAATGAGATACCATCTCACACCAGTTAGAATGGCAATCATTAAAAAGTCAGGAAACAACAGGTGCTGGAGAGGATGTGGAGAAATAGGAACACTTTTACACTGTTGGTGGGACTGTAAACTAGTTCAACCATTGTGGAAGTCAGTGTGAGGTGATTCCTCAGGGATCTAGAACTAGAAATACTATTTGACCCAGCCATCCTCTTACTGGGTATATACCCAAAGGATTATAAAACATGCTGCTATAAAGACATATGCACTCATATGTTTATTGCAGCACTATTCACAATAGCAAAGACTTGGAACCAAGCCAAATGTCCAACAATGATAGGCTGGATTAAGAAAATGTGGCACATATAGACCATGGAATACTATGCAGCCATAAAGAATGATGAGTTCATATCCTTTGTAGGGACATGGATGAAGCTGGAAACCATCATTCTCAGAAAACTATTGCGAGGACAAAAAACCAAACACTGCATGTTCTCACTCATAGGTGGGAATTGAACAATGAAAGCACATGGACACAGGAAGGGGGACATCACACACCGGGGCCTGTTGTGGGGTGCGGGAAAGGGGAAGGATAGCATTAGGAGATATACCTAATGTTAAATGACGAGTTAATGGGTTCAGCACACCAACATGGCACATGTATACATATGTAACAAACCTGCACATTGTGCGCATGTACCCTAAAACTTAAAGTATAATAATAATTTAAAAAAGAACCCTATATAGAGACATGAGAACTTGCAATAATTTCAGATGTAGAATTTCAAATATTATGGAAAAGATGAACCATTCATTAATGGGTGCTGGAATCACTGGCTATCCATAGAAGGAAGGATAAAATAAGGTCTTTATTATATCGGAGTAGGGAGAGCTTTTGAAAATATAATACAAAAAGTATAGGCCATTAAGAAAAATATAATGAAGTACATTAAAACGTATAACTTCAGGATCGAGCCATCATAAACAAAATAAAATGAAATCCACAATCTAGCAAAGGATATTTGTAGTTCATGAGACAACGAAGTCTGAATATCCAGAATATATAAAGAGTTCATTTAAACAATAATCTTAGAGAAAAATAAACAATGAAAATTAGCAGGCACATCACAGAAGAAAGTACCTGAATGACCAAAAAATGTGAGAATCTGCTTTCATCTTCATTAATAACAAGAAAATGCAAATTAAAACTGCATCATGGCCGAGCATGGTGGTTCATAGCTATAGTCCCAGCACTTGGGAGGCTGAGGCAGGAGGATCACTTGAGGCCAGGAGTTCAAGACCAGCCTGGGCAACATGGCAAGACCCCATCTCTACAAAAAATTTTTTTTTATTAACTCAGCATAGTGGTACACATCTGTAGTCCCCACTACTGGGGAGGTTGATGGAGGAGGATTGCTTGAGCCCAGGAGTTTGTGGTTACACTGAGCTATGACCATGCCACTGCACTCCAGCCTGGGCAACAGAGCAAGACCCTGTCTCTAAAAGACAAAGAAACAAACAAAAGCACTGCATTATACCATTTCTAATTATTTAAATGCTTCGAAATCTGAAAACACCAGATGTGGAGAAGGACACAGGGAACTGGGAACACCTACATACTATTATACAAGACAAACATTTTGTAAAGGAATTTGGCAACATACACTAAGTGTAAATATGAAGATGGCCTATGACCAGTCTTTCTACTTTTAGGTATATGTCCTGCAGAAATTCTGGCAGAAGGTCAAAGATATTCTCTGCTTTATCCTTCTCCCCTTGACCATCCATTATAGCAAAAAATAAAACAAAAATAAAAATAAATGGAAACAACATAAATTGTTCCTCAGTAAAGAACTAGAATATCATAGGAAATGTGCTAAAGCCACATGTATAAATATGTCATTTGGAATATGTCTTTTTGACATATTTCAAAAAGATATTATTGAGTGAAAAAAAACCCTACAAATTACAAGGATATGTATACCATGATGTATTTAAATAATTGTGATTATATATTACATATTACACAAAAAATATATTTGGGATAAAATATATTCCAGAATCTGCATCAGCTTAAAGATATCCATTATCTGGTGAAGAAATGAGAGGCAAGGGATCAGGTGGGTGCCTTTAGCTATAAATGTAATTTTTAATTTATAAAAACATTAATAATTTCTGAAATTCACATGTCAATATGTCAACATCCCCATGATCCCTAATATGTGCCAGGCACTGTGATAATATGCCAATAATGTGTCAGTAATATGACAATTATTAAATAACATGAGAATACTCTTTGTTAACCTTTAATAGTTGTCTATCTTGCAAAAGCACATTATACATTACAGTTATGCTTGTGAAATACTGACAGTCATATTGCAAAGTAACGGCCCGCTCAGCTGCAAAACTTTAACCTGTAGTAATGCCCGCTTTTTAGGGCATGGTTCTAATTCAGTTCTTTATAAAAAAAATTCAATGGTCTGGTTATTGAAAATTAATAATCAAAAGAACATTCTGATAAGCAAACGAAAATTATAAGAAAATTCAATGTTGGCTCCAAAAACTGGGCACTTAATCATATACTGCCTTACATTGTTTGCTTTTTAAGATATCTGAATTAGCTAATGAACTAGACTGTTAAAGATCATAGTTAGTGGAGGAAAGCAGCAGCCCAGGAACCAGGGGAAATACAAAAGAAACTTTGCCCCCAGAAATCTAAGCCTCTGGGAGAAATGCTAAGAACAATGGGAGGAATGTCTTACCTCTGTAACCTTATTTCAGAGCAAGATGCAAAAAGTTTATCTCCAGGTTCTAGAAGGATAATCCAACGTTCTTCAAGGAAAAGAAAATTTACCCAGTCCTATTTGTTTTATTTTCTTCGTTGTCAACACAATAACTTTAAGCCAAAAAACACAAAGACATTGTCTTTTTAAAAGGACAATGAAGATGGAAAAAGAATGACCAGTCACCTAAATTGAGTTCAGATGTCTTCATTAATGCAATTAGCAAATATATATTGAACACGAACTATGTGCCAGGAACTAGGATACAGTAGGGAACAAGAGAGGTAAAGCTCCCCTTCCTGGTTCTTATATTTCAGTGGGGTAGGTACTAATTAAACAAAGAAATACGTCATGCTAATTGCTAAGGAGAAAATCAGACAGGATAAAGGGATAGTGAAGACAATGATCAGAACAGGAACATTTCATGATCTTTGAGCAAAGGCATGGATGGGGAGAGAAAGTTATTCATGCACAGACCCAGGAGAGAAGTATTCCAGGTAGAGGGAACAGCTAGTACATAGACTGACATGAAAATGAGCCTGGCATATTTAGGTCCAGAAAGGAGATCATATGGCTAGAGGGTAGTTATTCAAAAAGAAAAGTGGCAGGAGGTGAACTGACACGGGTAGGTGGGAGTTAGATCCCACAGGCCCTGGTAGGGTATCACAATGGGAAACCATGGAGAGTTTTAAGCAAAAGAGTACAGGACCTCACTTCCATATTTGAAAGATTACTCTACTGCTGAGCAAAAGATAAACTGCAAGGAGACACGAAGTGGGAAGACCAGTTTGGGAGGGGTGGGGATATTGAAATAGACTTGGCAAGAGTTGACAGCAGTTTGGACCATGAAGGTAACAATGGAAAGGTAAAAAGTAGTAAGCTGTACTGCAGAACTAGAGCCAATGAGACTAGTGATGGTTAAAAAATGGCACGGGGAGGGCAAAAGAAAAAAATCAAGGTGACTCCAAGGTTTGGCAATTTGGAAGACAGTGGTGTCATTTACCAAGATAGGAGAGAGTAGGGGAGAAAAGAGAAATGGCCATGGGGCCAGAGAGGCATGAATACTGTGTAGGACACATAAAGTCTAAGACACATATACAACCAGTAGTCAAGTTGAACAGGCAATTCATTGAAATTCATTTCATTCTCTCTGAGAGATGGCAGAATGGAAGATTTGAATTTGGGAGTCACTGGCACGTAGACCGTATTTATAGACATGGGCTGGATGAACTCTCCTAGAGCACAGTGTAGAGAACCCAGGAAAAGTCCTAAGGCACTCCAGTGATGGAGACTCAGGATAGGAGGTAAAGACGCTGACAAAAAAGAGTGAGATTGAGGGGTGGGTGAGAAAAACAAAAACAAAAATAGAACCTACTATTCCATCATAATTCAGAAATTTGTATAACACTTTATGTAAATTTTCCAATTTTTTTCCTCATAATTTATTTGACTTTCTAGCTTGGATTAAGTGGTTCCTGGAGTTTGGGAATAATTTGTGCATGCAGCCATGGGCTCACTGTACACAAATCTGCATTGAGTAGAAGATGGGTAAGAAGAAAAAAAATAATAATTCCTGACCCCTTTTTAAGAAGGAAAGTGATGTGACACTTGGAATTGCAAACTGGCTCTAAAAGTATTCTCTAGGTGGCTTGTATGCACTTAGAAAAGAAAGAGTTTCCATTGGTCTATGTGCCTGTTTTTGTACCAGCGCCACGCTGGTTTTAGTTACTGTAGCCCTGCGGGATAGTTTAAAGTTGGGGGTAATGTGGTGCCTCCAGCTTTGTTCGTTTTGCTTAGGATTGACTTGGCTATTTGGGCTCTTTTTTGGTTCTGTATGAATTTTTAAATAGTTTTTTCTAGTTCTGTGAAGAATGTCATTGGTAGTTCCGTAGAGATAGCATTGAATCTGTACATTGCTTTGGGCAGCATGGCCATTTTAACGATATTGACTTTTCCTACTCATGAGCATGGGATGTTTTTCCATTTGTTTGTGTCTTTTCTGATTTCTCTGAGCAGTGTTTTGTAATTCTCATTATAGACATCTTTCACCTCCCTTGTTAGATGTATTCCTAGATATTTTATTCTTTTTTGTGGCAACTGTGAATGGGATTGCCTTTCTGATTTGGCCCTCAGTTTGGCTGTACAGGAATGCTGGTGATTTTTTGTACGTTGATTTTGTATCCTGCAACTTTGCTGAAGTTGTTTATCAGCTGAAGGAGCTATAGAGAGCCACAAAATAAGGTTGCACACCTACAACCACCTGATCTTCAACAAAGCTGACAAAAGCAAGCAATGGGGAAAAGACCCCCTATTCAATAAATGGTGCTGGCCATATGCAGAAGATTGAAGCTGGACCCGTTCCTTACAACATATACAAAAATCAACTTAAGATGTAAGTTGATTTATCCTTCTCCCAAATGTAAAATACTTAAATGTAAAACCCAAAACTACTGAAAAAAAAAACCCTAGAAGACAACCTAGGCAATACCATTCTGAACATAAGGGTAAAAATTTCATGACAAAGACACCAAAAGCAATTGCAACAAAAGCAAAAATTTACAAATGAGATCTAATTAAACTTAAGAGTTTCTGTACAGCAAAAGAAACTATCAATAAAATGAACAGACAACCCACAGAAGGGGAGAAAATTTTTGCAAACTATGCCTCTGAGAAAGGTCTAATATCCAGAATATATGAAGAACTCAAACAAATTTACAAGAGAAAAACAATCCCTTTAAAACATGGGCAAAGGAAATGAGCAGACACTTCTCAAAAGAAGACATACATGGGGCCAACAAGTATATGAAAAAAAGCTCAATATTGTTGATCATTAGAGAAATACAAATCAAAACCACAAGGAAATATCATCTCACACTGGTTAGAATGGCTATTACTAAAAAGTCACAAAATAACAGATGCTGGCAAGGTTGTAGAGAAAAAGGTTTTTGGTGGGAGTATAAATTAGTTCAGCTATTGTGGAAAGCAGTATGGTGATTCCTCAAAAAGCTAAAAGCAGAACTACCATTGGACCCAGCAATCCCGTTACTGGGTATGTACCCAAAGGAATACAAATCATCCTACCATAAAGACACATGCACATGAATATTCCTTGCAGCACTATTCACAATAGCAAAGACATAAAATCAATCTAAATGCCCTTCAATCACAGAGTGGATAAAGAAAATTTGGTACATATATACCAGGGAATATTATGCAGCAATAGAAAAGAATGAGATCATGTCTTTTGTGGGAACAAGGGTAGAGCTAGAGGCTATTATCCCCAGCAAATTAATGCAGGAACAGCAAACCAAATACCTCATGTCCTCACTTATAAGTGGGAACTAAATGATGATAAGTTATGAACACAAAGGAGGAAATAAGAGACACTGGGTCTGCTTGAGAGTGGACGGTAGGAGAGAGAGGAACAGAAAAGATAACTATTGGGTACTGGGCTTAACATCTGGGTGATGAAATAATCTGTACAACAAACCCCTGTGACATGAGTTTACCTATGTAACAAACTTTCCTATGTACCCCCAAACCTAAAATAAAAGTTAAAAAAAAAAAAAGAAAGCAGTGACCAATATGAACCATCATGGGTCCATGAAGAATTAATGTTGATAACTTCAATTTATTCCTCCCTTCAAAGGTGCTACTAGAGGTTGGGAAAAACCACATGTGATCTGATGACCTCCATGCCAACAACAGGAAGAGTACCATTCATTCATGTCCAAGGGTCTTTATTTTTTCCCTTAAGAGGTCCACTGGATACCTCTATAGAAACCAATGAGTATTGGTAGGATTCTGTCTCTAAGGGTCATAAGCTATCATCTGGGGACCATGAGCACCTATTAAGCCCTGAAGAGTGCAGATGTTAACCTACGCAGGAGGGTTTAGGGTAGGAGTTCTTACAGTCTGCTTTTAGGTACTGCCTCATCTTTCTGAGAAGCCAGACCATTCACCTAGTCAGGCAGCCAACTCCTCAAGGCATGGTGAGCACCAACTGGGAGGAGGCGGGCAGAGCGAGTAGGTGGAACAGGGATACAAGAGCTTCCCCACCTGTGCCTTCATTTCATAGTCCCTCCAGACTGCCATTTGCAGCAGCTGCCTGTCCCAAGCTGCTTCCCAGCAGTCCCTGAATATCCTGATGCCCCTGCAGTTAATTCTCAAGCTCACAGATGACTGACACTCTATTTCTGTCATCTTCTCAATGAACTGCAGCTTTTAAGTGCAAAAAATACATCCACCAAGCCTTCCACAGGTGTTCTCTCTGCCATTTGCTCTGTGAAAACACGGCCATGGCCTGTCACCACAGGAAGCTAGCAGAGAGCTGCTGGACGTGGGACCTTCCAGACTGGGAGCCCAAAATACGCTTTTCTAAGGTGTGCTGCTGAGACATTCTATGTGACTAAGTCCCCACCTGCAGAAAGATACCGCAGTGGGGAGGCTATTTGTGCATTAAGTGCTTGAGATAAAATTCATCTCTCAGGGCCTCCATTTCCTATATCTTGGAGCTGCCAAATGGTTCTTATTAAAGTTATCTCTTGCTGCCCCTATTCCTCTATCTTCCTAGTAGGGGACATGGTGAGATTTTGTGACAGCAAAGCTGAGTCTTAGACTACTATTCATGTGCAGTGGGTTTAGGAATATATATTAATACTGGTCCTGGCATACAATCAGTCTGGTTCAGAAATTACAAAGAGCACAAATGATGCTCAGCCACTCTCCGCTGAAACCCCAGTTTACCATCAGTAAAACTGGGGCCTAGATAGCATAGCCTGACGTTTCCTTTTACTCCCTGGTCCCATGAATGCACATATTTCACTTATCTTCAACATGCATTCATTTATTCCACAAATTGGGCACTGCTCTAGGTGCTACGAATATAACCCTGAACAAATTAGTTAAAAATCCCTGCTCTCCAGACTAACACAGGAACAAAAAACCAAACACCGCATGTTCTCACGCATAAGTGGGAGTTGAACAATGAGAACACATGGAAACAGGAAGGGAAACAACACACACTGGAGCCTGCCAGGGGTTGAGGGGTGAGGGGAGGGAGAACATTAGGACAAATACGTAATGCATGCAGGGCTTAAAACCTAGATGATGGGTTGACAGATGTAGCAAACCACCATGGCACATGTATGCCTATGTAACAAACCTGCACACTCTGCACGTGTATCCCGGAAGTTAAAGTTAAAAAAAAAAAAAGGATCAATGTGCTATACAAATGCTTCAGTTACATAAACCTAATAGTTATTGAAGACATCTTTTATTGCAGCAGAAATAAAAAAATACATCTTCATATAAAAAATTAAATAAATAAAAATCACTGCTCTCCTGGAGTGCACATTTTAGTGAAAGAACAAATGAACACAACCATTTCCGATTGTGAGAAATGCTGAGACGGAAACATGGTGAAGGATTTTAGTGTGACTTGGTGGGAGGGACACTTCCTTAGCTAAGGAAGCCTGGGAGGTAAGTCATGTTTTCTTCTCCTCTTTTATTGCCTATTTTCCTAATTGCACAGCCGAGTACCCCAGCTCTCAAGAGATTTATATTCCTATATTTTAGTTCTGTGCCTATGAAAGCAGCCTTTGAATAGTGTTTAGGAACACAAAACTTCTACCTCTTTTAATTGCTTATTCATTCAACAAATTATAGAGGTCCCATTAGATACTAGGCACTTCCTGGAGATATGAGCCCTCTTCCTACTTCACCTGAGGGAAAGATTAAATGAAACACTAAAAGAATCTAAACCACTAGTCCTCCACTGGTGAAGATTAGAAGGCACCCTTTCCCTTAAGACCCTTTACTTCTACTTGTCAGAAAGATGTTGTAATATACCACCAAAGGCTGCAGTCTTGACCTAATTTTCTTTATGACCTCGGAGTTGTAAACTGACCTAAGATCATCATGCTTAAATAATAGTTACTTTTGGTAACCAAGTGTCATTGGTTAAATGTGAGTAAGGGTTAGCCCCACTCCACAACCTTCCTACTAAAAACAAGTTTCAACCTAAATCCATCCCACTGGGAGACCTTTCTTAAACAAGCATTAATTAACAAGGATGCACAGAACAGTGCACACAGGCTGTGCTATAAAGTTGATGAAATCCCAGCTCTGTGACTTCTCAGGTGCACCGACTACAGCTCTTTCATGAAAGATTGACTCAAAGCAGATGTGTCAATAGTCCAGGGTCAAGTTTGTGTTAGCCATACAGTCAGCATTAGACAAACAAAAACCTGTGCACCAGTGACTAAGCAGTCTCATTTAAGGTCACGCTTCAGGGTCCAGCCCCAAATGAACAGGCTATGGGTTTAATTAGAAAATGGGTGGTTGTCAACCCATAGTTGACAACAGTAGTTCAATCAATCCACATATACTGACTGCGTTAGTGTCACTAGTGACAGCCCATTCCTAACATTCATCATACTAACAGATAAGCCACTCATTCAGCAAGAAAAACTCATCTCTAGCATCCCTTATGCAAATCCTCAGAGCCTATGGGATAGAGGGAGAAACTAAAGAGAGCCACAGGGCTCTCGGATAAGAATGCTGGCTCACTAATCCTGGGGTGTGACTTCCTGATGAGGGAACTGGCTGCCTGAGGGTGCCACAGCTAAGCACTGAGGGTGCCACAGCTAAGCATACAGTTAACATCCCACTGCCTAACATGGACTGAAAAGTGTAGGCATCCTCACCATGAGAGCATCCCCTAACATGACTTGTCTGTTTCCTCCGTCATCCACCCACCTCATTAACATTTGTCACATACCCATTGTGATAGAGGACAGAGATATATTCTGCCCTGCAGAACTCAAAAGCCTAGACATCAAGTAAGCATAATTTCTTATTGCCAATTCATTGGTTGGCACTGTGTGGAGTACTGCCTCAAAAAAAAAAAAATAATGCTCAGCAAGAAAAAGAAGTTAGGATAACTAGTAATGTCAGCCATGGCAGGAAATGGAAAATGGCCATACATATGTATGTGATATCCCCACATTAGACATGCCATCATTAAAACAATCTTATCAACCTTTTTGGATACTTTAAATAATAAAGTAGATTAGTTAGCTGTAAAATTACATTGAAATAAACCTTAAAACCCTAGGCCAATTTGAGGCATCTTTACTACCAGACTGCCAGAAGTAGCTGCCAATTTAAACAGAAAGATGGTATCGGATACCCATCTTCAGGGCTTTAAGCACATGAGAGATGAAAGGAAGAGGAGAAGAGAGAAATGAAAGTGCTGGAAAGCTTTCCTATGACAATTTCCTGTGAAGAAGGGTCAGTATACACCAGACTATGCCAACCATGGCTTCTAGTTAGCTGCTCTGAGAAACCAAGGAAGGATCCAGTGAGCAAGAGCCCTGTCCAGGCTCTGCAGAGAATGCCCATTCTGCTGTTCCATTAGCACTGCAGACTTGGATGCCAGTGACCCAAATCAAACTTCAGCGGCACAAGTCTCCCACTGAGCTGCAAGCCCCTTTGAGAGCAGGTGCAGTGCTTCACAGATGAGTAGCAAGAACCATCAGTTCTGCTATAACACAGCATACGTGTTCCTGACAGTCACCACACTTCACAAAAGCATACAATAAAAACCAAACGACTTACGGCTTTGGGGTACACTCAACATCTTCCCCAGTGACACAGTAAAATACAACAAGAGGAACCTCATAAAAATGGTAGCACGTTTTTACATATGTTAAGTAGCTGACAAATGCATAAATACTATAATAAATATGGCCCTTTACCTTGAAAAAGATCTGAAGTTTCTGGAAGTGGGTGTCAGAAGGGTTGCGACTTGTGAGTTTTTGTGTAGTGGAGGCTTATCTAAAATCAGATGGAAAATTGTAATGTCAGATGTGGGTGGCGTGACTCACAACGCATGTGCAGAGCTGAGGTAGCTGGTAGGTGTTTGAGCTGTGTGCAAACGTGTTGTGTATATTCCTACATGTCATTGTTTAGCTGTGTACAGTTTTCTGCATTCACCTAGTGTTTCTCCCAGGCAATATTGAGCATACCCAAATACAAAATTTGTGTTATGCTCAAATTGTTTCCTAATATATCAATCACATTGGAACAAACTTGAATTTACACAAGTGTTATGACAGAATTAACTTATGAAATTCTAGCCTAGAGCATAGAGGCACTAATTAATAATAGTTATACTTAGTAAAACTTACTAAGACCTTATGCAGATTATCTATGCAAATTATCTTGGTCAAGCACTATAACCAACTCATTAAAAAGTTAATATTTACAAATGAGGAAACCTGGGGCTCAGAAATGAAAATATTTGCCCCAAATCATACATGCTATGAGTGGTGAAAATAAGATTTGAACCAAGTTGGCAAGCATCAAAAGCCCATACCCTTCACCACTGCATCTACAGCCTCCCTAAGAGATTATTCCACGTGAGGGATAATCTGTCCACCCGTTGATGCATTCTGTGATTATGTATGTCTCCTTTTTAGCACATCAGATACCATAAGATTGTGGTGTGGCTATCCATCCCAAATGCAGATAGATAGATAAAATACCATCCAGCTAGTGTAGTAGACACAGTGCCTAAGAAAAGAAATTCATGAGACAGGCTGAGGAATTGGGACTAGGGATTACCTAAGGCCCCCCAGAGGAGAACTGGTTTAGCTCAGTATGTAGCTGATGCCAAAATCTCCCAAGGACATCACTGCAGCTGGAGCCAGGAAGTGGACCAGCAAGAGCATCAGAGAGCCGTGGGAGAACCTTAGTCAGACCATACAGAACCCATCTCCAACAACGGCACCATGTGGTAGCACAAGGTAATTGCAGATGGGAACCGCGCAGGACAGAAACAATGAGTTCAGCTGGCATCTAAAGAATACTGAGGCTGGGTGCGGTGGCTCACGCCTATAATCCCAGCACTTTGGGAGGCCGAGGTGGGTGGATCACTTGTGGTCAGGAGTTCGAGAGCAGCGTGGCCAACATGGTGCAACCCTGACTCTACTAAAAATACAAAATTAGCCGGGTGTGTTGGTGCATGCTTGTAATCCCAGCTTCTCGGGAGGCTGAGGCAAAAGAATTGCTTGAACCCGAGAGGTGGAGGTTGCAGTGAGCCAAGATCGTGCCACTGTACTCCAGCCTGGGTGACAGAGTGAGACTCTGTCTGAAAAAAAAAAAAAAAAAAAAGTAATACTGAGTGGCTAACATGTTTTTTGGTCCCAACACAAATTCTGCCCATCAGGATACTTAGGTGAGAATCACATGATGAAATACTACTGACATGACTTTGGCAAGTGAAATTGCTGCTAATCAAAAGAGGCGCAACCAATTAGCATTTATGGAAACCGCAAATGTACAGGCTCAGGTCTATAATTATATTGATAAGTATATTTGAAAGGCTGGTCTGGGTTTGTAGCTTGGCTACATCTCTTCACAGGTGTGTCACCTTTGGAAATTTATCTAGTCTCTCCAAGCCTCAGCTGTAAAACTGTGATAACAGGGTGAACCTAACAGAATTGTATTGAAGATTAAATAGTATATGTAAAACTCTTAACACAAATGCTTAATAGATTGCCATAGACCAAACATTGAGTCCCCCCAAAATTCATTTGTTGAAAGCTCATCCTCAATGCAATTGTATCAGGGGGTGGAGCTTTTGGGAGGTGATTATGGCATGAGGGTGGAGCCCTTATCAATGGGATTAGTGGCCTTATGAAAGAAACCCCAGAGTTCCCTCACCCATCTTGCCACATGAGGTCAGTGAGAAGATGGCCATCTATGAGAAAGTGGGCCCCCAGCAGACACTGAATCTGCCAGTATCTTGATCTTGGACTTCTCTGCTTCCAAAACCATGAGAAATAAATTTCTGTTGCTAATAAGCCACTCTGTCTATGGTATTTTGTTACAGCAGCCCAAAGAGACTAAGAATAGATCATAACTTCTGCTTCAGCTATATCCATCATTGTCATCATTATCATCACTTCCTCAGCCAAAAGGGTTAGACAGAGTGGGAGAGAAACCCCAATCCATTTTGCACAGGGTTGATGTCAGAACTTCCCACACAATGAGAAGAAGCTGGATAAAGCCTTTCCACAGAGGAGGAAGTAAGAAGAATTCTCATTGGTCCAAAAATAGTGGATCTAAAAATGCAGTTACCCCTTCTCATTAGCACTCGCCTTATGAAAAGCCTGACTTTACTTCCTCAACTTTGAGAGACCAAGTGCCACCAAAACACAGAGAGCCAATTCCAAAATGACTCAAAGAACCAAGGGAATCAGAGAAAATAAGTTAGCTGCAGTCTTGAAAAAACTTTAAAGCAGCAATTATGGCCTGTTCAGTCATATCCTGTCCCACGTATTATAAAAAAACAAAGTACTATTAGGAGACCAAGGGGACTATGGTTTGCCCTGAGGTAAATCCAGTATTACTCATTTTGACCAAGACAACCATTCTCAATTGTACATTTGTTTTAATGTAAAAGGGTACAGAGACTTAAACTCAGTATTTCCAAGTTATGAAATAGATTTTTCCAATTTTCAGATTATTATAAATCAGATATAAAATTCAAGAGAATACTCCAGACCAAACAAACACACTCTTCTGGTAAAGATCATTACTCTCCATAGGAATTCTGCCCTTGTCCACTACTGTGAGCAGCTGTTTCCATTTTGCATTGAGGATGCACCCTCTCTCCACTCAGATCAACTGACTGTTACCTGGGACTGAGTCAATCAGACCTCAATCCTCCCTGGCCAGAGTGATTGGCTTACGGCTAAGCACCAGGTCCAGTCAAAGTCAGTGAGTCTCAACAAGAACTTGGCCAGCATTGTTGGGATAGGGACAGGAAGTCATTGATCCATGCCATTAAAACCAGAAAGGATGAAAATGATGTTTCTGTGGCCAGCTTGCCACTAGGAGAGGTGATCCTTTCTGAGAACTGAAACTGGATCCTGGAGCCATCTTTAGAGCATGTAGATCTATCTATGTCTGAAGCCGCACATTCTCATGGAACACCATTACATGTACCATCAAATTTACTTCTTGCTTACACACAAACCTTGACTAGCCCACCCCCCGCTGATAGAGTTTCCTTTCTGGAGTGTCTTCATTATTCCTCCCCACATGTCTAAAATCTAAACACCCATTAAGACAGAGATCCCTTTCTCAGTAAAGTCTCTGCTGACCACTCCAGCCCCTGGCCACTGCTGTCTCCTCTGGGCTGCAAGCATTGCTGACCGGAGCCATTGTCCCATGACATACAAGCCAGAAGACATGATGTACACTCCCCATTTGTCCTCAACCACATTGGAAGCATGTTGAGGTCCCATGAAGTCCCTCACAGGTCCTTGTATAGAGGTAGTCTCACAAAGTATTTGATAGATGAAAATGAGTTTCCAGAACTCAGAGAATGATATTTAATAAAATAAATCTTTTCTTACCTGACAAAGAGATCAGAGCAGTCAGCTACTGTTATAGATTTCACTCCCTTTATTGCTTTTCAACAGGAACTGCCACCACAGCAGTGCCAACTGCAATAAACAGGTGGTGGGGACTGAGTGCTCATGGCATGTAACTCCTTTACGTAATATTTTATTTCATCTTCACCACAAATTCATGATTTTAGCCCCTTATTAACCTCATCTGATCATGAGAAAACTGAGGCTCAGAGAAAAGATGTGATTTGTGTAAGGTCACAAGATGAATAAGCAGCTCCAGGCCAGTTTGGCTGCAAGGTGCTTGCAATCACCGCACTGCACTACCTGGTAAAACCACAGCCTGTCAGCTAATGTGCTGCTGTGACTGGATCTCTTGAAGTCATGATTCGTGTATCTCACTAAATGCTTTTCATGTAAGTAATCCACAATTGCTAACACTGATAGCACAACAATGTTTATTGATTAAAGTTATCTTTCAAAATACTTTGATTATGATAGAGATTTAAGCTAATTTTAAAGTAATTTCTATGAAAGGGCTGAATAAGTGCAATGACGACTCTAATATAAAAGACCATTGCAGTGATGTAATATCCTCCATCATTTCTTTTTTTTTTTTTTTTTTTTTTTTCTGAGATGGAGTCTTGCTCTTGCTCTGTTGCCCAGGCTGGAGTGCAATGGCACGATCTCAGCTCACTGCAATCTCTGCCTCCTGGGTTCAAGCGATTCTCCCTGCTTCAGTCTCCTGAGTAGTTGGGATTAGTGGCACCTGCCACCATGCCCAGCTAATTTTTGTTTTTAGTAGAGACAGGGTTTCATCATGTTGGCCAGGCTGGTCTCAAACTCCTGACCTCAGGATCTGCCTGCCTCAGCCTCCCAAAGTGCTGGGATTACAGACGTGAGCCACCACGCCCAGCCAATATCTATCACTTTCATATGTGATGCACAGAAAGTATATGAAATCCTACAACTCAAATAATAAAGATTAGAAGCCTTTATAAATACAATGAAATAGATGCCTGATAAAAGCAGGTTTAATGTTCTCCGTAATGATGGAGTCGGAGATTGTGGGAACTGAAGAATCCTGTTAGCCGAGGGATGAGGTGGAATTGTTATTGGCTGAACCACAGCCATCACTGAGGCAAGTTCTGCAAAAGGTGATGTACCCCTACTGGGGTGGACCACTCAGGCCCACTTGCCTGGTCATGAGTAGAGCCCCTGAGATCTAGCAGCTCTGAATCTGCAGTTTCAATTTAGAATCCACATCTCCAAATATAGCCCAGGATAGTTGTACACATCAACACTCAGCTTCAGAGACTCTAACTATAACTGCTCAGCAAAACATGTTTTTTTATTCTGTTTTCACTATTACCTTTAAAAAATTTTTTAAAGCAAATACTCCATGGTTTCTGCCAGCATACCAGTGTGTCACCCTGGAGTGAGCACAAGATGAAAGGTGGGAATTTGCTGTATGCATGTCTGGCGTCAACTTTACATCGAAGAGGGTATAAAGGAGAGGGGATGTGGGGAGGGAGGGGATCACCGCAATGAGGATGACTCTAGCATTTAGAGGTATATTTTGTAAAGACTGGCCTCTAGAGCCAAGCCAAATATTTCATCTGGTGTTCAACCAAAGAAACAGTCAACTGTCCAACATTGAGGGTAATGATGACTATTTTTTATTTTTGCCATACACGCTTGTTTTGGAACCTAACTCCTATGTCAAATATGACTCACTTATAAAGAAAACATCCCCAGTATTCTTCAAAGAGGAGATGGCTCCAGTGACTTCCCACTGTTTTCTCACTGCCAGTGTGTTCAGCACCTCACCCCTTGACCATCCACCCTATATATTATCAGTTATTCATCTGGTGAGCAGAGTTCAGGTAAGGGAATGGATTACCTTGAGTTCCCCATAATCAGAGATGACCAATGAGATAACCACTTGGTCTGTGACTTGAAGGAGTGGGGTGACAGGGGAGTGACCTTGGTGGCCACCATGGGAGCCATGCTCACAGGTCTGAGATTCAGTTCCTACAGCAGTGTCTACTATAGCAATTCTGTTGCCAGGCCACACAAAACATCCACAGATAACTCCCCATAGTGGCCCTAAAGACTTTCCCATATACTGTCCTCGCTGGCATCATCTTCAAATGTTTCTGCATGTTCACTTAAAATATCATTCCACAAAAAGTCTACAAAAACACAATCTTCACATATGTGGAGAAACCAAGAAGTACATTTATAAAAATGTTAAGTGGGGAGGTCTACATGTGTAAGGATTACAGCTGATTTTTGTTACCTTTTATGTTTTTCTTTTTTTCCCCTCTAATTGTGTTTTACATTTGAGGCATGTAATAATGATGACGATGAAATTGATTGGTTAGGAATGTTTGTTCAAAAACAATTAATATAGACCTTGGGTATTAATGTCACTGCTTAACTTTAAAAGTACACTATATATGTAAATATTTTATATATATATATATATATATATATATATATATATATATATATATACATATACATACATACATACATACATGGAAGCCCACAGAATCCAAGGAAAGGTTGACCAACCTCAGAAAGGTCAACCACTAGGGCAGCTTAAGGATCCAGGCAACAGAAATCACTTAAGACGTCAGCCACTCTTAATCCTGAGTTTCTTGAATCTATGTCAAATGCCAGGGAGACAATTTATTGGTCTACCTAGGATCACCTGCCCGTGCCCTTCACTGCTGAGGGAAGGTCATCTTATTAATAATAACTGCATTAATGACTCCAGTCTCACCATGACTACATGTGATAAGGGAAGGGGAGCTCCCCAAAGGAAAATTCAGTGCTATTCGTAAAAGAAATGGCCATGGAGGCAAGAAAGTACAAACAACCGACATTGACCATAATAAAGATACCAAATAATTATTGGGTACCTACTATGTGCTATACACCCAACTAAGTACACATTTGACACAGATTGTCCCATTTAGTAATAATAAGAAGACTCTATGATTATCCTTATCTTGCAGCTGAAGAAATTGAGGTCGAAGAAGATTACATAGTTTCTGTATGTATCATAGGTGAGTGGGAGGGTTGGGATTCACCTAATCCATATGACTTTAAATTCCACTCTCTCAGTCACTGTACTTACAACCCACCAAAACCTCCACATCACTGCCTTGTTATTGATATTACAGGTACATCCTCTAAGTTGGAATGGCAAAGATAACATCACGATCAAGTCAAACACCTTCACCCCATCATGCCTCATTAAATGGCCACCCAGCCAAGTCAGGGATTATTCAATATGGCAAGGGTTAAACACAGCCACATTCAGAGAAACAGACTGGAAAGATTCAAATAAAAAGACTTGGGAATAAGACCAAATTTCATCTCCATTCTGTTATCAGAAAGAGAAGTAGGGCCAAGATGTGTGATTGCTGGAGTCCACAGAAACCCTAAACAATTTTCTAAATGCTTCTCCTCCTGGTTCCAGTCTGGGTGTATTTCATGGAAAGACAATCCGTCTGTTTCTAATCCACTTACATTTAATTTATGAAAACATT
The DNA here is from genome assembly GCF_000001405.40 of Homo sapiens. Lineage (NCBI taxonomy): Eukaryota > Metazoa > Chordata > Mammalia > Primates > Hominidae > Homo > Homo sapiens. The sequence continues at coordinate 55,411,865 of NC_000003.12, forward strand.
TCGGGCCAGACTATTTGAATCCCCCAATGCATTATGGGTCTATTTTACAAGACTTTTTAAAGTCTATTTCCTTTGAACAAAGAAGTCCTATTTTGCCTGGAGTGGTTTGACCAAAACCTCAAAAAAAGTAAAATTGCTTCTAAATTTAGAACCAAAGATGCTTAAGTCCATTCTATATAAACACTCTACTCCCAGGCACCTTGAACACACTCAGGCTGCCAAACCACAGCTGGAAGTTGTCTGGACCCCATTCTCAAATGTTGACCACCAAACAAAGAGAGATAGCATGATCTAAAATAGCTGAGTGGTGTGGAGAGGGTTAAAGCTAGAAGACAGGAGCACTCACCACTCACTAGCTCCATCCTCCACCTATTCACTGCCCCTCTCTGGGCCTTGGTATTCCCTTCTTTAAATACAGATATTGTTTACATATAGTCCACAGGGGTGTCCAAAGACCAAGAGTGATAATATATGTAAAAGTTTGACCAAAGATAAAGGATAATTTCCATTATTATTATGACTACTAGTTATCCAATAAAAAAAAATTAATTGGCATGGCCAGGGCCTTAACCAAAATTAAGAAGATGAATTTTTCCAGTTTACAACAAAGATTGGCCATGCCAAAAAGATTTGCTGAACTATCTCAGTTTACAGATGTCAGCAAAACTCAACTCTTGGGGTGTAGTTGATGTGCCTATCACTATGGAAATGGGTTGACACGAGAACATGCGTTTGTGTGTTCAAGAGTCTAAAATAGTCACAGCATAAATTGTGAACAAATTATCCAAATAAATCTGACTCCTGCCCCTCAAGCCCAGTAATAAATATCTGCATTAGGCATGGCTTACACAAAACCTTTCCTTGAATTTGATCATGATGTAATTTTTATTGCAGGCTCAAATAGGGAAGGTTAATGATACAGCAAATGTGAAGGGAAAGAAGCTAATTTGGGTGAAACATTAACTTGTTCAACTTTCAGACCACAGCAGAAAATATGACGGTTAATTTCACATCTTTGTATGGAATAAAACACAGAACCGTAATGGTTTCAAAATGAACTAGCAAATGAAGAATTAAGTCTTCCAAAAACTCAAAAACAATTTGCTCATTTTATTAAAAATGTATAGCCACATATATTACTCACTGACTCAAGTGACATATTTTCCTGTCGGGAGAACCGAATTGTGAGAATCGCATTTGTCTCCCAATGTATTCTATGGGACAATGCCAAAATGCAAGCTCCCAGGCAGGAAACTTCATATCCATAGTAGATTTTCCACATGTCACTGTGAGTTGAAAGCAGCTCCCAAAAGAGGCAACGTTTGCTCCCTGGGATCACTAAAGACAACAATAGTGCCAAAGGGGGGTTTTTTGAGGAAGAGTCTCCGACACCAACTTTTTTAAGACATGGAACTGAGACCAGCTGGTGAGGGGCAGGGCAGGCAGTGATATTTTATTCTAAAGAGTTTGAATACAGATAATCAAAGTAAAACCAGGAATCCCTTCCTCAGATAGCAGATATCTGAGCCTCAGATAGCTGAGCAAACATAGGCCCTTTCTACCAGTGCACTAAACCAGCGTCAGCAAACTTTTTCTTAAAGGCTGGAGAGTAAGTATGTTACGCTTTATGGGTAAGAGGCAAATGGAGGATATTATATGGTTACTTCTCAATCAATAAGGATTCCGAATATAAAAGCTGTTCTTCCTGTGCACTTATAAAAACAGGCATCAGGACGGACTTGGCCCACGGCCGTAGTTTACCATGCCCAAAGTGAAAGTTAATAGGCAAATTCTGAAATCTCGACTTCTAAGGCCACTTGATGTGATAGGATAAGGTTTTGAAATACTTTCTATTTTTTTTCCTTTCCTCCTCATTATTCTCTTGGCCTTCTCTCCATCCAAGTAAGGCCACCCTGAGTTCACTGCATCAGGACAAGATAAGTCAACAGCGAAAGGAACAAGAATCTCTTCCTGTCTTTTGAAGTCTAAAAAATGACATCTTTAGTTCTCTTCAGTGTGGGGAGATGAAAGAGGAAAGGATTCCTGTGTAACGATAGATGTGGGAGAAGAGGTGATGGATCACATTAGCAGCTACCAAGGCCTCAGCAGGTGGATGGCAAGGGTGGATGGCAGACCTGAATGTGGATATATGGATACGTGGGTAGCGATGCATCATTACAAAGCAGGCCCAGCACCCTTTTTCCTGCCCATCCCAGGCTGAGTGCCAGCATAGTGAGAAGAAACCTCAGACCCCTTGATTCAGAAACTGAGTATGGTTGATGGCTGACGTGCAGGGCCTAAGAAGAGATGAGTCCTAGGCCCCAGATTCTGTGTGGAGGCCCAGAAAAACAATAGGACCCCAGAGAAAAGTGACTTTTTAGCGAGCTGGGTAAACCAAGCCTAAGACAACTTCACAGAACACCCTCCATCCCAGGACACAAAAATAGTGACAAGATCCCACATCCTTAGAGAGTAGCAGGGACATGGCCAGTAGCTAAAGGAGAGAGAACTGCATGTAAAAGGAACTTGCAAATGGTAAGAGGAGATGACTTAGCAGCAAGCGCTGAGGACCCAGGACTTATGAACAGATGAGATGAGGGACAGATACCAGCATGCCAGCAGAAGGATGATAATTAAAGACCAGAGGATAGGTGGTAGCACTGGGACATGATCAAGAAAGGACCCCATGGCACTACCCATGCCTTCGCCCTCTGCTGCCTTCCAGAATTTGGCACAGCTCCCAGGGGAGAAGCTGATGATGTGTTGTTGCCACAAGGCAAAAATGGCTTGATTCAGAAACTGATCACGGTTGATAGTTGTTTATAGCCAATGTCTTACATACCTGGGTTTGAGTAGTGAGATTCCTAACAAAAAAAAAAAAGTAGCTCCAAAAAAAAAAAAAAAAAAAAAAAAAGGCAATTATCTGGGATGAGATCTAGCCCTCCTACTAACTAGCTGTGTGTCTTTAATAAACTGACCCTATTGAGCCCTAGCTTCCTGATGTGTCAAAGAAGGAACTGTTCAGATAATGGATGGAAAATAGGTTTCTTCTTTAGAAGCCACATTTGATAAATCAGCAGCTGTTAACTCAAGCATCGGATTGAAGACGGCTCTGAGTTTGCCTTTGGGTTCTTCAAGAAAGGATGCCACCATTGATTACTGCTTCCCAGGGGTACCAAGAGAAGGGGAAGGAATGGTGGCAGACACAACATGTTTTTCCTGCTTGTGGGTAGCTACATGATCTCTGAGGTCCCCTTTAATTCAGAAAGTCAGCAGTCTTTCAAATGCCTGGCACTCAGGAATCAGCAGACATTTTTCCTGAGAAAAATCTTCACTGAAAGTCCAGCTTGCTGGGTGGAGCCAGTCTTGGCAAAGACTGGGCTCAGATTGGTAAAGATGGCCTAGGGGAGGAGACCAAGCAGACCTGCACACTCACTTCTCCATGTCAAAATCTCACATGAAGTGGAATGAGCACTGAATATCGAGACTACCCCTTCAAAGCCGGGGGTCGCCTGGCTTCTCTGGGCCTAACTATGCTTATAGGACACAGTCCCAGGCAGTGTTGGGAGGACCAACAAAACAGCAAATGCAGAATGCACTCAGCACACAGCAGGCACTCAATAATTGCTCATTTCTCTCCTTCATGCATGGAGGACTGTATTCACCAACAAGATGGCAGTCTATGGGAAAATTCTTTCTCTGTATTTCCCTGTCATGAGGAATGTGACAATTGCCTCGTCCTTGGAATAATTCTGTTTCAGGCTTTCAAAGTACAGAAAGTTTAAAGCAGTATCAAAAAAGAAAGTTGGCCTTGGGCCACCACATAAGACTTCTAGAAAAGCAAATTGCCCGGCGCTGGGCTGCACCAAAGGAATCAGAATCCCTGGGAGTGGGGCCTGGGAAACTGCATGCCACCACAATTCTAATACTCAATAATGCTCAAGGCTACTGGTTCAAAAGGCACTTATGAAAGATCCCTAAAGCCCCAGCCACAAGGCTCATCCCTTCACCTTCTCAAAGAAGGTGACCACCCTGTTTAACACAGCAGCCTTGTTCCACCCAGCCCTCCCTGTCTCCTTCCCTTATTTTAATTTTTTCCCATAATACTTTCCACTCACACTGCCATCCATGCATTTTACTCATTTATCTATTCTTGTCCTCCCCTTCCCTCCCCATCTCCACAAAGGAGAGTCTGGTTGTTTTGTTCATTGCTACCTCCGAGAGCCTAGACTAGTGCCTGGCACACAATGGGCACTTGGTAAATATTCCTAGAGTGGTCTTTGCTGCATCCCATGCTCTCATTTTACCTCAGAGGACCCTAAAAGGGAAGGTCAAAGAGATGAAAAAGATACCAGTTTATGGAGGGTTATGTAATGATATGACTGAAAAAACACTAATCTAGAAATTGTAAATACTAAGTCCCCATGACCTTTCAAGATAAGAAGGAAGCAGATGATTCCCTTGAAGTTCCCTTCAACCTTGGTCATTTTCCCAGCTAAATGGTTAATCTATAGCCTCAGTTTTCAGCTGCTCAGTTCAGCAGGGGTTGAGACATGGCCTAAGTCCAGGACTAGAGGGATGGCTTGAGCTTCCTGTCTGAGTCAGTCAGTCACAGTGGCCTGAGCATCTGCTCTGCCCCCAGCTCCCAGCTCCAGTTCAGGCTGCATTGGTCTGCTCGCTTCCTGGCTGATGCCCTTACCAGCCAAGACCAAGCTGGGCACCACCCTTGCTTGCCTCCAAAAAAAATGAGGGTGTGGTTCTAGGCATCTGGAGATGAGGGGGGAGGCTGCTGTTTAACAAAAGAGACACATCATTATTTTCTTGCACCAGGATCATGTTTCATTTAGCTGACTTGGCTCGACATTTAAACAGCATCCCCCAGGCAAATAATACAATTAAGCAAATGGAGAGGAGATTTAGTAACAATAAATTCCACAGAACTAGTCATTCTTTTGCGTTCAGTTTTAAAAGGAGCTAAGCATTTAGAAGGATCAATCATGCAGAATCTCATGGGTTCAAACATTATATAGAAACTGCTAGGAAAATCTGATGGGAATTTGACATCACACACACACACACTCACACACACACACACACACACACACACTTACTCATGGGTTAGGCCTATAAATTTTATTTTTTTTTTACAACCTAATAATGAAAAGACAATTACAAAAATAGGCTTAGGATGCATACGGAAGAATTTAGGCCAAAATGGAAAATAAACTACAGAAATTAAATCTATTTAAGAGCCAGTCAGGGCGGAAGAAGAGCCGTTAGGAGCAGAGTTATGTGTTAGAGCAGGTAAAGTAATGCATTGGGAACCAAGAGATTTGAATCCAGCTCTACCATGCATATTCGGTGTAACCTTAGGCAAGACAAATAACTTTGTGAGCTTCTATTTCTCTACATGTAAAACAAGTTGTTTGAACCCCACTGTCACCATTTTTTTTTTTACCATCTCCAAGTACCATCTGTATTGCTATTTACTATTTTCCTTTAAGTCAACTTTTCTTTATTTGAACATGGGTACATACTCTGTGTAAGGAAGTGAGTATTTATTACACTATTTGTTGTATTTGCTAGAACTTGTACATCTCATAATGAATATATTTACTTAGAAAGGAAACTACCTCATTAATATAAAAGGAAAGCTGGAATCACTGGTCTTAAAGTAGAAGGTAATGACAAAAATAAGTACAATGGACTCCTGCTTTTATTCATGGCAACTAGTTTGCTTTAGACTAACCCCTTTGCCAAGAACAACTTTAAAAGCTAGATAAAATACATAAAATAGAAAAATAAAAAATGAGAAAACCTCTGATGGAAGACATTCAGGGAATACTAACGCAACTAAGAGCCAAGAGAGAAGTAAAGCACACTGAGATAAATCTAGTGTTTCACAGCACTTTTTCTCTAGGCGTTTGCTGATTTGTAAAACCTCATAGAATCCAGAAGCTCAAAAGTCAAGAGTCTGATGATAACTAAAATTGAGGCTTTAGGTCCACCAAGGGGCGTGAGTTGGGGGAGGCCTGGTATAGACTTCAAACTTCCAGCTGAGATCATGAATGGGCTACACATTAGAAGTGAGGGTGAGGCAGAAGTAGCTCAACTCTTACAAAGATTAAAACCTTATTTTAAGCAAGCTCAAACCAAGATGAAACAAAGTGACCTACCAGTATCAAAACACATAACAGTAGCCAAGTAAATTTAATTTTCTCTGGAAGAAGATAACAGAATCCAGAGCTTCAAATGGGCTCTATAATTTGTCATACATTTGTTCAGCATTTATCAAAAATTACCAAGCATGCCAAGGGACATAACCAAATAACCAAAAACCAAGAAGAAAAAAACCCAGACCCATATGTGATCCAGATATTGGAATTACTAGAGGCAAACTTGAAAATATCCATGATTAATAAGTTTAAGAAAGTAGATGACATGATGGAGAATTTCATGAGAACTGGTATTTTTATAAAACAAGAAATTGAAATTCTAGAAATGAATATGCAATAACTGAAAAATTAGAACTCAACAGTTGGGTTTATGGCAGATTAGACAATGCAGAAAAGAAGATCTGTAAACTGGAATATAGGTCAGCAGAAGATTGAGCATGAAGACGAAAATATTGTAGAAAATGCACAAAAGAGCATAAGAGAGACGTGGGACTTGGTGAAAAGTCTTAACATGTATGCAGTTTGAGATCCTGAAAGAGAAAAAAGAATTGAGGAGATGCAATACTTGAATAGGTATTCACTGAAATGCTTTTTCACAACTAAGCAAAGACATCAAGCTAAAGATTCAAAAATCTTTACAACCTCAAATAGGATAAAGAAAACCACAACGAGGCACATCATAGTCAAGCTACTTAAAAAACAAAGACAAATATATCACAAAAGCAGCCAAAGAAAAGAAACATATTATCTTCAAAAGAATAAAAGTAATGATGGAAGCTGAGGTTTAAACAAAAATGATGGAAGCCAAGAAACAACAAAATGACATATTCAACGTGCTGAAAGCAAATGATTGTCAACTTAGAACTCTATACTCAGTGAAAACATTTTTCAAAAATGTATGTAAAATAAAAGCATTTTTAAACAAAAACTGAGATAATTAATATCCAACAGACATGCTCTTTGAGAAATATTAAAGAGAATTCTTGGAGCAGAAGAAAAATTAGGCCCAATGGAAGCATGGAAATGCAGTCAAGAATAAAGATGGTAGAAAGTGCAAATATTTGGGTAAAATTAAATAAATATTGGCTGCACAAAACAACAACTTCTTGTGCCATGTGAAATATATGTAAAAATAGGTGCAACAATCACACGAGAATTTGGAGTTAAAGTATCCTGAGGGCCTTATGTTGTTCACAAAGTAGTAAGAGGACCATCATCATACTCTAATAAGATAAGAATGCATGTTTAATTGCTAGCATAACCACTAAAAGTAGAACAAAAAAGAATGTTTTCTAGCAAGCTAGGAAAAGGAAAAAAGGGAATAAATTAATTCAAAGGAAGTCACAAAAGAAAGTTAAAATAGAAGAAAATTGTGAGATAGTAGACTTAACTACTAAATACTAATTCAAAGACAAGATGTCCAACTGAATTATTTTTTAAAAAAACTATATGCTGTTTGGAAATGACGCATCTTAGGCTGGGCATGGTGGTTCATGCCTGTAATCCCAGCACTTTGGGAGGCCGAAGCAGGCGAACCACTTGAGGTCAGGAGTTTGAGACTAGCCTGGACAACATGATGAAACCCTGTCTCTACTGAAAAAAACAAAAATTAGCTGAGCATGGTGGTGTGCAGTTGTAGTCCCAGCTACTTGGGTGGCTGAGGCACGAGAATCGCTTGAACCCTGGAGGCAGAGGTTGCAGTGAGCTGATCACACCACTGTACTCCAGCCTGGGCAACAGAGCAAGACTCTGTCTCACAAAAAAAAAAAAAGTAAAAAACCATATACCATGGACACATTGATCAAAAGAAAGCAAGTATAGCTAAAGAATAATATGCCAAGCAGACTTTAAGGTAGGAAGCATAACTAGAGTTAGACAGGGACTTTTGATAACACTGAGAGAGTTAATTCTTTAGGAAGATTCAATAATTCTAAAAGTATATGCCTAATAAAACTCAAAAATATACAAAACAAACATTGATAGAAATATTAATAAAAGGTATAATACTCAAACCTACAATCACAGTGGGAGATTTTGTCATACTTTTTCAGTAAATGATATAATACACAGAGAAAAACTCAATAAAGATATTGAAGATATGAACAACATAAATAACAAACACCATTTACACATACACACACACACAAACTTGGCCCACACTTGACAACTATACATGTTTTTTCAACTACACGTGGAACATTTACTAAAATTGACCCTTTGTTGGGCCATATCAAAGCAAATATCAAAGAATTGAAATCATACGGAGTGTATTCATTTTTTCTTGCTGCTGTAACAAATTATCACAAACTTCATGGCACAAAAAAACACAAATGTATTATCCTACAACTTTGTAGCTTAGAAATCCGGCACGGAAAAAATTAAATTACACAAACAATTCCATTTATAATGGTATAAAAATAATTAAACAAATGTATCCAAGAAGTACAAAACTTTTACACAAAACACTACCAAACATTTCTAAAAGAAGATCAAAATAAATGTGAAGACATCTAGGTTTATGGACTGAAGGATTCAATACTGTTAAGATTACCATACTCCCCAGGTTGATCTATAGATTAAATGTAATTCTTATAAAAATTCCAACTACCTTTCTTGCAGAAATGGACATGTTGATCCTAGAAGTTATATGGAAATGCAAGGGACCCTGAATAGTCAAAACAGTCTTCAAAAAGAACAAAACTGGAAAACTCACATGTCCCAATTTCAAAGCTTATTACAAAGCTACATGAATTAAAACAGCATGGTACTTGCATAAGGATAGACATATAGACCAATGGGATAAAACTGAGAGTCCGGAAATAAACCCATATACCTATGATCAGTTGATTTTCAGCAAGTCTTTCAACTAATGGTGCGGGGACAACTGACTATCCATATGTGAAGGAATGAATTTGGATATGTACCTGACACCTTATATAAAAATTAACTCATAATGGATCAAAGATCTAAATGCTAGAACTATGAAGCCCCTAGAAAGAAACACAGGCATAATTCTTAAATATGACACCAAAAACATAAACAAGAAAAGGAAAAACAGATTAAGTTGGACTTCAAAAATAAAACCTTTTGTGCATCAAAGGATGTTATCAGGAAAATGAAAAGACAACCCACAGAATTGGGGAAAACATTTGCAAATTATATATCTGATAAGGACCTAGTATCCAGATAAAAGAACTCTTATAACAATAAAAAGAAAAACGAACCAAAAAATTGGCAAATAATTTGAATAGTCATTGCTCCAAAGAAGACGTGCAAATGGGTAATAATGTACATGAAAATATGTTCAACACTAGTAGTGATTAGGGTAATGTAGTATTAGTTCAAGGTGAGATAGCAGACCAACAGAACAACATTTTTGAAAGCCCAGAAACAAACCTAGAAACATAAAGAACTCCCCACAAAGAAAACAAATGACAAATTGGACCACAGTAATACCAAAAAGCAAGCCATGAAGTTGAAAGTATTTATAGCAAAATTAACTGACATAGAACCAGAATTTAGCATATATAAAGAACTTGTAACAAGTGAATTTTTTTTTAAAAGACTGACAACCTAATAGAAAAATAGCAAAAGGCTTTATCAGGTATTTCAAAAAGAGGATATCTAAATGACCAATAAACAGAAAAAAGGGACACTTTATTCCATTAATCACCAGGAAAATCCAAATCAAAATCACAATGAGATATAATGACACACCTACAAGAATGGCTAAACACTGTGTACCTCACAAAAATACACAGATGTATATACTCAAAGATCTGTATAAGAATGTTTGTAGTCACATATAACTGCTAAGCAAAAACTAGAAACACCGTCTACCCACCAGAGAATGGGTAAATTGTGATATGTTAATACAATGGAATAATATACAGCAGTGAAAAAGAACGTCATATAAACAACACAGATGAAACTCAAGTATAAGCTAGTCCACAAGAAGTCGACACAAAAGAATTCATACTAAATGGTTTTATTTACATAAATTTCAAAACTGGCAAAGCCTATTTAAGGTGTCAGAAGTTAGAATAATGGTGTTCTTTTTTGGGAACAGGGAGGTGGAGAGACATTAGTTACAGAGAAGGGGACTTCTGAAATACTTTAATACTTTATGTCTTGACCTGAGTGATAGTTACACATATGTTTGCTTTCTGAAAAATCATCAAGTCATATACTTCTATGTACTTTTCAGTCTCAATGTATACTTCAATAAATAAGTTTTTTAAAAATCAAACACAAAAGAATATTTGCAATCATCCTAATGCTTTTGGTGAATTATTTGAATCAAATGTTATAGTCATTTGGTATACTCCACTAATATGAATCTTAAAAAATAAATGTGAGTTAACAAATAAATATGCTTTAGGAAAAAATGTATTAGTGAATTCAAAACCACGTATTCCATTCTTGCAAGATCCTATTGGCCTGCTGCAGCTCTGGGCCCAAGGCCTGATCTCTCTTGCTTAAAAGAGAAATAAGGAAGTGTTCAAGAAGTGCTTAAGATTTACCAGCAAGCTGATATTGTGTCTTGATATATAATGAAAATAGGATAGAAAAGGAAATTGCTTTCTCAAAATGTGATCTAATATCCATTACTATGTATCATCTGCAATCCCTTGGCTAAGTCCAGGGACCTCCCCTACACCATAGGACATACTGGCTTATTTATCTCCAAGTTTCTTCCCAGCTGACCATCTGTGACTTGCTAATAGAAGGCTCTTCACACTCAGTGAGAACTAAAATAGTCCTTCACTTAGAAATGGTTTTAAAAAGGAAAATTGAGTCAAGTCCTTTCATTACAGGATTTGCTAAAATGGGTAGGCATCTTCTATATACCACCAATGATATAATGACCACCCGTCTCCTTGTGCAACAGGCCTGACCTTGAGAAGAGAGAGCTCCATTCTAACAGGGTTCCCTGTCCCGCCTCACATCCAAGTTATCAGCAAAGCCATCAGCTTTCCTTTCAAAATATATCCCAAATCCAACTACTTCTCACTATCTTCTAAGTCACAATCATCTCTCACCTTCACAATCATCTCTCACCTGGTGGCCTCCTGACTGCTCTCTCCACTTCCACCCTTGTCCTTCCATGTTTTCTCAACAGAGCAGCCAGAATGATTCGGTCAAACCTTAAGTCAGACCTTAGCACTCCTCTGCTCAAAACTCTCCCAACTTATGCAGAGAAAAGGCCCACACATATCTTTACCATGGCCCATACCAGGCCCTCCAGGACCTGACAGCCCATGACTCCAGCTCACTCCTTATGGCCACAGGGGTCACATAGATCATTTTCAACCATTCTAAACCTGCTTCCACCTCAGGGCCTTTGCACTTGCTGTTTCTTCTGCTGGGACTCTCCACGTTAGACACCCCTGGCTCACTCTTTCATTCACCTCAAGTCTTTACTGAAAGTTCATCTTACTAATGAATCCATCCCTCACCCTCTTATGCAAAATTGCACTTGCCCTTGACACTCCCCAGCCCTGTTCCCCGCTTAAGTTTTTTGTTAGTATTTACCACCATCTAATACTCTATATTTATCGACCTACCTTAGAGTTTCTTGCTCCCTGCCCCCCATCTCTTCATACCAGGAGATTTTCCAATAAGAAAAGCAGACTCTGGGACTTGAAATTCAAGAGAGTTTAGAAAAGAACTTGAAAAGACACTAAAGCCCCTTCTGGCTTTACAGTGGGAACCGTGCCGGTTTGGGAATGGTCCACTTGGTAACAAAGCCCCTTTCATTCTCACTGGCCAGATAAAGCCAGGATGATAGTCAAGCTGCCGATGGGAGGCTGGTGTTTATCCTTCAAACCTTGGCATTCTGTCCAATTCTCCCAATTCCGGAGGGCTCCCTGATTTAGTGGGGGACGGAACGGGGTGGGGAGACTTTACTCTGTCACTCTCTTGGAGTGGAGGAGTACAGTTGTTCATTCAGCAAATATTTATCAACTGCTGTTTATGTGCCAGACAACACACCATGTGCCAAGAACAGAAGAATCCCACACAGCCACTGCCCAAGTGAAGCTCACAGTCAGGAGAGCAGACAGGAGAAGTGGCGGTTCTCTCAGCACCCTGATTAAACCTTCAGAGCCATGGTGGATAACATCCAGCTGGGTCCTGACAGGTGTCAGGTTGCTGCCAGTCCTTTGTAGAAAATAAACTCTTCAAATTTGTAATCATTTAGTCTTTATTTTTAATTGACAGTGGCTTGAAGATTGTGCCTATGGTGTCACTTTCACTCTGTGACATGTCCCTTAACTGAAAGAAAATGAGGTACAAGAACTTACACAAAAACCTGGAAACACCCATGGGGTGGGGATGCCATGCCCGAGGCTGTCAGGGTGCAGACTGAGAAAAAGTTGAGAGCTTCTGTTAAAAAATTATCCCCTTAGCCTGGCGCGGTGGCTTGCACCTGTAATCCCAGCACTTTGGGAGGCCAAGGCGGGTGGATTACAAGGTCAGGAGTTCGAGACGCGCCTTACCAACACGGTGAAACCCTGCTGCTACTAAAAATAATACAAAAATTAGCCAGGCATGGTGGCATGCACCTGTAATCCCAGCTACTCAGTAGGCTGAGGCAGGAAAAGCACTTGAACCCGGGAGGCAGAGGTTGCAGTGAGCCAAGATCGTGCCACTGCACTCCAGCCTGGGGGACAGAGGGAGACTCCACCTCAAAAAAAAAAAAATTATCCCTCAGATATACCTGGTTTAAATTCACAGGGGACAATCATAGTGGCAGCTATTGCTGCTGGGCACTGGTGTGTGCAGGCACTGTAACAGGTACTTGGATTAGGTTAGCTCATTTATGCCTCACTACAATAAGAGGTGTAGGTATTATCTGAGTCCACTTTTCAGATGCAGAAATTGGCACTGAGGTTTGTGTTAAATATGGTACCAAAGTTACACGGATGGTAAGAGGTGGATTTGGAATTTAAATCCAGACTTGTCTGACCCCAAAATCTTTGAATAAAATCCTGCTGGCATACCACTTGGCAAAACCAGTTAGAAGTCTTCAGAATCAAACTTTCCTTTGAAGAGTGACTTGATACATTTATAAAACAATATGACGCAAACAAGAACCAATTAAATGAAATAAGGTGTGTAAGGTGGGTAGCTCATGACCGTCTAACTGGTACTAAGTGCTAGATGTTTAGTAAATCATCATTACCATTTTATATAACATTTGCTTGCTATCTTTTCTCTCTCCTTTTTTTCCTTTTTAGCTTACACTAGCTACCATTTATTCTTACCCATGAGCCTTCGGGTTGCCTGGGCAGTTCTGATGAACTAGACTGAGTTCAGCTGATCTTAACTGGCTACACTTACTCCTGGGTCTGCAGTCAGCTGGCAGGTTGGCTTGGGGCTGGCTGATCTAGGATGGCTTCAGTCACGTGTCTGGGGCTTGGCTAGGTTTCAACAACCAGCAAGCTAGCCAGGCCTGTTCACATGGCAGTAGTGTTTCAAGAGAGTGAGGCCTCTTGAGGTCTAGGCTCAGAATTTGCACTCTGATATGGTTTGGCTGTGTACCTACCCAAATCTCACCTGGAATTATAATAATCCCCATGTGTCAAGGGTGGGGCCAGGTGGAGATAAATGAATCACAAGGGCAGTGTCCCCCATACTGTTCTTGTGGTAGTGAATAAGTCTCCTGAGAGCTGATGGTTTTATAAATGGGAGTTCTGCTGCACATGCTGTCTTGCCTGGCACCATGTAAGAAGTGACTTTGCTCTTCATTTGCCTTCTACCATGATTGTGAGGCCTCCCCAGCCATGTGGAACTGTGAGTCAATTAAACCTCTTTCCTTTATAAATTACCCAGTCTTGGGTATGTCTTTTTTTTAGCAGTGTGAAAACAGACTAATACACACTCCATCACTTCTATTTGATCCCAGGAGCCAACAGAAGTCATAAAGCCAGCCTAGATTCAGGGAGTAGGGAAACAGACTCCTCCCTCATAATGGGCAGAGCTGAAAAACCACAATCCCAAAAATGCATCACATTTACTCTCGCTGAGAATCCTCCTAGCAGGCTAACAGAAACTTCACAAGCAACAGAGCCTCCTGCATCCAAATGGATTCCCATAGTAAAGTGCAATCTGCTACCTGTTGTTTAATGCCAACAGTTCTTTAATTTAGGTTGGATAAGTTTGGTAAGTTTTTATTGTTGTTGTTGTTACTAAATAGGGACTCACAATATTCTTTCCTAGTGGAGCTTCCATTTGTTACCCTTGTATTTGGAAGTAGTCATATTCAATTATTTTGGGTCCAATAGTTGTGAATAAGTTTGGTAGTTGCTCTACCAAACAAGTTGCCCCCTCCAAGTCAAAAGTCCTTCACTAAAAGGACTCGACAGAGTTAGGTGAGCCCCATGGCTTCAGGCCCACTATGAACCTGGCCAAAATCTATACCTTTTTAAACCCCGTCTTCTGCTCCCAGCCCATGTGAACCCTTCTTCTGGGCCCAAGCTTAGCCTTCAAGTCACCGTGGAGTTGTACGTACTGCCTACATGCTGTTACATGCTGTTCCTGCTGCCTGACAGAAATGGCATACCCTCTCTTCTCCACCGGATAATCCCCCACTGATCACTTACAATCCAGCTTGTATCTCATTTTCATGCATGCCGTCATTCAAAAAATATTTACTGGCCTGCCAGGCCCAGGGATGCATGAGGAATGAAAATGAACCTAGTCCTTCTTCCCCTCTCTCTGTGGAGCCTACTGGCACTCTTGTGTGAAACCACTCAGCTTCTAAGTCCTTGCTTCTGCTCTGTGTGTTCCCACAAGCTTAGATATATGTGTGTGTGTATGTATCTATGTGTCTGCATATAGATATAGCTACATGTGTATATACATTAATATCTACATACACACACATAAACACATTCTTTTACAACACAGGCTACATTGGACTCTGATGATTTGTTCGTGAATTTTTCTTTTCCATAAGACTGTGAGTTCTTTACATTCAGGATCACACCTCATTATTTCATTATTATATCATCCAGTTCTTTCCTTATAGTAGAAATGCAAATAAACATTTATTGAAATGATGAATGAATGTAAGAAGGAAAAAGTGCTCTTACAGAGTATTTAGCTCCATTACTTCATTAAGCAAATGAGAAAACCAAACGGGGGGCTGAGGGGGGGATTTATTATGACTATATGACCTTTACACAGAACCAATGTGGTCCCCCTACTTCAGGTCCAAAAGGGGACTTTTTTACATTTTAAACATCCTTTCTGGTTTTAAGAAACTTTATTTAGCATTTTAGAAAAACTGTAATTTGGCAAAATGTGATACATCAAAAGTGGTAAGAAATTGGCCTCCTGAGCCAGAAAGATTTGTAATAAAATCCTGGCACTATTTGACCTTGGGCAAGTTGTTTTCATTCACCTCTAAGCCTCACTTCTTCTACCTATAAAATGGAGCTGCCCAACAGTACCTGGCTCAGACATGTTGAGAAGATATAAAAAGATAACAGCACAGCAAGCACAGGGCTCAACACGAAGCACATGCTTAATATGTGCAAGCTATTGCTTTTATCATGATTATTTTGCTGTTAGTTTAAATGATACCTGGTAAATGCACTACCTTAAGGTTCAGAGGTTCAAGTCTAATACTAATTATATTCAATAGGTCCCCACAATTATTGAATGTATGTGTTCATTTAATGTATCTATGTTACTATGTTAAATTGGTTACAGCAAACCTCCCTTATAGAAAAACTTGGATGACTTTTTGTCACAGATTTTAGATGTAGCATTGCTTTTTGCCACAGGATTTACCTCTAGGAATTAAAGCATTAGCAGGGTCCTGAGCATAAGGAAATGAATGCATTCCAAAGTGCGATGGCTCTTGTTCCCTGTATGGCAGAGTGATTCAAATGCCATTACTAGACTAGTAGAACCTGCTTTTAACGGCCAGAAGATGTTCATTTCCTGAGGCTTGGTGCATATACTGAACAGTCTTTTTTTCCAGCATAAAAATAGAAATGTAAAGGTTGGAACGCTATCGTTACCAGCCTGGCGACAGAGCAAGACTCCATCTCAAAAAAAAAAAAAAAAAAGGTTTTAAACAATATTTTACGGCGTCTGAAAGAAACCCTTTTATCTTTGACATCTTCACTTTTTATTGCCTGTGCTTTTATGGGCTGTGTGCTTGAACTAGACCCAAATCCTGGGTGCCACACTCAAAATCATATGGTACATCTGTTTATCTGACCAAGGACATGGTGAGATTCTGCATATCACAGTCTTCCACCCACCTCAAAATCAACACTCACTTTTGGTGGAAGAAAAGGAAAACACTGTACTCATGCCTCCTCTGAAGAAGGGCCGTCTTGTTCCCATTCCATGGGGCCACAGGACAGGGCACAGCCAGGACCCTTGACATCATGTTTACTGCCCCCAGCTTCTTCTACGGGCCTTCACCTCCCAAAGGAATCTCCAATGCTGGTGAGGCCTTAGCATCACCATAGATATCTCCATCGTACCTGGTGTGGACCTTGAACTTGGCTGGCACTCGCTGAGCAAAAAAAATTAAAAAGATGCTCTGCCATCATTTCAAAAATCAAGCCAATGCATTTTAGTCTTTTATTTTTCCAGATTTGGGATAAATTTTTCTTTCTTGGTAACAAAGAATTTTTGAATGAAAATATCATTTTAAATTAGGAGAAAGCCAAGGGAGACGAGTGTGTTGAAGCAAGAACTCCAGTCGTAAGAGTTCTGCTTTCTTTTGTGGAACTAAGGGAACTTTGTCTGACAGAAGCAGTATTCTCTTCCAAAAGGAATTTGTATTTATTAAAATGTTTTACCAAAAGTTAACTGAGAGCCATCAACTGTGTCTTGAGCCTGTACGTTTCAGTGATGCTGACCAGAATAGACCCAAACCAGGCCATAATGGCTGGGGTGAAATGTGAGAAACAAGAAGTTGGGGAATGCAAATGGGGCTGTTGAGAACATTCAAAGATGTGGTTGGAAATTATACTGGAAAGGTATGTTAGGGTGAAACTATGAAAGGTTTTGAATGTCCAAGAAAAAAAAAAAAAGTCTAGAATTAACACCCTAAACAATAAAGGGCCATTGAAGTTTTTAAGCAGATCAGTTTCTAGAGTTCAGAGCCTAGGCTGCTCCAGCTCCCTTCTCACGCTGCTCAGGGCCCTGGAGCTCACCTGTAATGAGAGAGAGCAAGCCCTGCGCCTGTTTCAGCTGCTATTCTCAACTGGCCCACGGTGTAGCCCAGTGAACACTTGTTGGATATTTTTGGGTTCTTGTTCGCAGGCCCTGTTGCTGCCCTCTGCTTTCTGTTGCACAGAAATGTAGGTCTGCTGACCCAGGTAGATCTTGTGGCTCTTGATGATTTATCCTTACTGCTTCCACTTGGGAGTTTGTAGAAATACCTAGATTTGCAGGGAGGGAGTTTGGATGTTTGTCTGGTAAATGTTGACCATTTGTTTCTGGCTTGTTTTCTTCTTTCTATCCAGCTGTTCTTTTTGTATGTGGGAATTTGGAGCAATTTTTAAAGGATGCACCCATTGTCGTCTTCATAGAATCTAGAATTGGGTTGTTGTTTTTTTTCTTTTGGCGGAAATTAAGGTAACGGATGTATTCCATATCTAGTTTGATCTAGCCCATAATGGAGTAAGGAGAAAACACAGAATGATGAGACAATATGTTTTTAAAAATAAATTCAAGGCCACAAGCGGTAATCCCACCTGTAATCCCAGCACTTTGGGATGCTGAGGCAGGCGGATCACCTGAGACCAGGAGTTCAAGACCAGCCCAGCCAACATGGTGAAAACACATCTCTAATGAAAATACAAAAATTAACTGGGCATGGTGGTGCATGCCTGTAGTCCCGGCTACTCGGGAGGCTAAGGCACAAGAATCACTTGAACTCGGGAGGCAGAGGGTGCAGTGAGCTGAGATCACACCACTGCACTCTAGCCTGGGCGACAGAGCAAGACTCCATCTCAAAAATAAATAAATAAAAATAAATTCAAAAGAAGATGGAGATCAGGCCAGAGGCAACCAGAAGGGTAGCCCCTGAAAAAGAACACAGATGCCTATGAGGGATCTGGACTTTCTTTAAAGGTGCATTGGAACCGTTATCTGGATTAGTCCAGTCGGGAGCTCTTGGGTCAAAATAACTGAACCCTTGGTGATGAGTAGCAAGACTGTCTCTTCTCACCATAGTGTCTCCTCTGAATGTCCCAAAGACTCTAGGTAGGAGTTCAGACTCAGTTTTGATGACCACTTCACAAGGAGGAGGCTATGGTGTGAAGCACACTGACTTGTAAACAGTCATAAAAAATTGAGAGTTGAAAAGAAATTGCCTTAATACTGGTCAAACTGATTTCCCCAAGATGAAAATGGCTATGTTGGTGAGACTGACCTGGAAGGTAGCCAGAGGATGGGAATGGAGGGAGGTGCTAACTTGCCTGGCATGGGAGGAAGTGTGTTCCCCCTTCATGGCAGTGCCTATCCTAAATTATGGGATATGTGCTGAGGACCCTCACTCCTCCCCTGGAATTCCAGGCCCTGAAATAAAGCCAGGTGTTTTGGCCAGGCACAGTGGCCCATGCCTGTAATCCCAACACTTTGGGAGGCCAAGGTGGGTGGATCACGAGGTCAAGATATCGAGACCATCCTGGCCAACATGGTGAAACCCTGTCTCTACTAAAAATACAAAAATTAGCTGGGCATGGTGGCGAGTGCCTGTAGTCCCAGCTACTCGGGAGGCTGAGGCAGGAGAATGGCATGAACCCAGAAGGTGGAGCTTGCAATGAGCCGAGATCGCGCCACTGCACTCCAGCCTGGGCAACAGAGCGAGACTAGGTCCAAAAAAAAAAACAAAGCTGGTGCTTCAAATCATCCTTGGCTGTCTGTGACAGAAACCTGTCTAGGATATGAAACAAGTTCCTGGTCCCTCTCTTTCCCTTGTTCACGAAGCAAAGTCCAGGGAAAATTTCAAAACCTGACAATGGGCGAGAAATCCTAAACTTATGTGAGCTGTGTGAGACACTCACTCCCACTCACAACCTTGACTGTGGGACAGAAGGACAACTGCACGGAGGCAAAGAGATGCAAACCACACCAGAGTGCTGCCCCTCCTGGCAAGCCACACACACAAGGGTGGGACTGGGACGCTTCTATCTGAAGATATGGTGTGATACATGGTAATGAGTCACGTTCCAGGCAGAGTGGCAATGGCTCAGGGCACTTTTTCAGCCATGAGCCTTAGCCCAGAGCCCTTCCAGGCTGTGGCCAGGGTTGGTCCTGGAAAAATCATTAAGTTTAACAAGGAACCATTGAGTTGTTTCTAGTTCTCCCTCATTCAAGGCCCCTCGCGCCTTGTTTCAGGGATATCCCTTTCCTGTAACTTTAAGAAATCACTGATCTTATGCCTTGAGGGGATGTCAAAGTGCAGACTTTGAAACCAGGGGCTTTGGGTATGTGGGCCTAAGTTTCCTCATCTATAAAATAAGGAAGATACTTAGCTCATCAGTGCTCCAAGCATTAAATGAGATATATCTATACATACAGAGATCACACAACCCTGTAGAAGCAAGACATTTCCAGTTTTTGCCTATTATCCTGCTATGACACAGAGTTAGCACCTTCTTTAACTCTCAAACCACCCCAGTTTGCATGCTAAATTAATTATATGATCACCCTATATATAAAGCTCCTAACATACTCCTACAACTTGACAAAGAATAGGTCACAGGCCTTCCCCATCCGCTTCCTACCCAAATGTGCTTTCAGAACCTTCACTCACATTGAAGTGCAAATCTTTGACAATATTTAAATGTTATTCCTGCCCCAAATCTTACACTAAAGAGATATATCTTTGGTGGCAGAGTCTCGATTACCAGTTAGTGGGCTGGGAAGATCCTGGGGGAGGAGGGTGCTAGGGGCCATTACCCCTCGATACATAAGTCTGACCCCCCCAGTGGACATACTGAGCTTTGTGATTATTCCCCAGCTTTCACCATCACCCCAATCCCCACAAACTTCAGCATAGATGCATAGACACCCTCAGAAGGTAAGGGTCCAAACCCAAATGGTGATGTCTCCCAGGCAAGTAGCTGTTCAAAGCCATCTCCCTGAACAGGGATAGCTGGTGCTTTCTACGTCCCTAGAGCATCAAGAAGACATGATGTATACCCACCTGAAATCCATAAGGGAGTGCATGTTTGGGCCTGAAGACAGCAGGTCACTAGAGGTAAGAGACACTGGAAGAAACTCACACCTTACAAAGCAAAAAATAACACATTTTTAAATATCTGCAGGCCACCTACAACCATCTGATCTTCAACAAACCTGACTAAAACAAGCAATGGGGAAAGGATTCCCTATTTAATAAATGGTGCTGGGAGAACTGGCTAGCCATATGCAGAAAATTGAAACTGGTCCCCTTTCTTACACCATATGCAAAAATCAACTCGAGATGGATGACAGACTTAATTGTAAAACCCAAAACTATAAAAACCCTAGAAGAAAATCTAGACAGTATCATTCAGGACAGAGGTGCAGGCAAAGATGTCATGATGAAGACACCAAAATCAATGGCAACAGAAGCAAAAATTGACAAATGGGATCTAATTAAACTAAAGAGCTTCTGCACAGCAAAAGAAACTATCATCAGAGTAAACAGACAATCTACAGAATGGGAGAAAATTTTTGCAGTCTATCCATCTGTCAATGGTCTAATATTCAGCATCTACAAGGAACTTAAATTTACAAGATAAGGAAAACAAACCCCATTACAAAGTGGGCAAAGTCATGAACAGACAGTTCTCAAAAGACGACATATGTGCAGCCAATAAATATATGACAAAAAGCTCAACATCACTGAACATTAGAGAAATGCAAATCAAAACCACAATGAGATACCATCTTATGCCAGTCAGAATGGTGATTATTAAAAGTCAAAAAACAACAGATGCTGGTGAGGTTGTAGAGAAAAAGGAACACTTCTACACTGTTGGTGGGAGTGTAAATTAGTTGAACCATTGTGGAAGACAGTGTGGCAATTCTTCAAAGACCTAAAGGCAGAAATACCATTTGACCCAGCAATCTCATTACTGGGAATATACCCAAAGGAATATAAATCATTCCATTATAAAGATATATGCACACCTATGTTCATTGCAGCACTATTCACAATAGAAAACACATGGAATCAACTTAAATGCCATCAATGATAGACTGGATAAAGAAAATGTGGTACATATACACCATGGAATACTATGCAGCCATAAAAAGGAATGAGATCATGTCCTTTGCAGGGACGTGGATGGAGCTGGAGGCCATTATCCTCAGAAAACTAACACAGGAACAGAAAACCAAATACCACATGTTCTCACTTATAAGTGGGAGCTGAATGATGAGAACACGAGGACACATGGTGGGGAACACGACACATTGGGGGCTATTGGAGGGAAGGAGGGAGAACATCAGGAAGAATAGCTAATGAATGCCGGGCTTAATACTTAGGCGATTGGATGATCTGGCAGCACACCACCAAACCTGCACATCCTGCACATGTACCCCTGAACTTAAAGTTAGAAAAAAAAAATGGCAAACAAAATATGTGCAAAAGCACTGGGGATGTGCAGGCAGCTGATTACATGCAGGCACTGAGGATGGGGTGGTCTCCAACTGGTCAGCAAGATGATCAGGATCAGAGGCTGAGGCGGGGAGAAGAAACATGTGGCATGTGTGGGGACTGCAGTGGAACTTCCTGACCAGGGGCAGGTGCTGTAGCCAATTTTAAAACTTCCCCACCCAGACTCTAATTTTTCCCCTTAAAATTGTTATAGTGTTTAAAAAAGACGTTATTATTTTAAAAACTGGAAAACGTATGTAAATTAAAAGAAGTAAAATGCTATCTCAATCCCACCAGGTAAGTAAAACCACTATTAACTTTTTGGTATTTTTCCTATCAACATGTTTTTCTCTCCCTAGTTTTCTCCGTTCCTTGCTTTTGTAAATATGTGTTACCACGTGGAAAACACAATTTTAATTATTTCTTCTGATTATAAAAGTACACATATTTATTATAGAAAAGGTGGGAAACGCTCCAAAGCCAATGTATAGAATAAAAGTCATCCACAATTCGCCAACCACAAGTAACTGCCACTGGCATTTTGAAATGAATTCTACTAGATCGTTTAAAACTATAAGCACACCATTTTGCTGGTTGGGGATTGTGATTGTTGTGTTATAGAAACTGAGAAAATAATGTCTCTAATCTTTTGAGCCTGATTTATTCCCGTAAAAGATTATTTAAAACCTATTATCAGTGAAAATTCTTCTACGAACATGATTTATAATGTCTGTCTATCATACCATCAATGAATGTAAAACAATTTCATCCTCAGTGGACACTGAGGTTTTTTGTATCTTTGGCTTTTGTTTGTTTATAATTTACAATTCCTTCATGTAATATTTCTTTGCTGAATGTCCACTATGTGCCAGAAACTTATAGGTTCTGAAGCTATGAGAACCAAGATAGACAAATATGTGTTCACTTTTAACAGATTTCTCTACATACATCTTATTTCCTAGAATACATTTCTAGAAATAAAAACATTGAATAGAGGGGTCATACCAATTTAATTTACACTCTCACAAGTAGAATAGAAAAGTGCCCTTTTCTCACACAAGTAATAATTTTCTAACAGATTTTGAGCTGGGGAGATGGGCAATAATTGGTGGGAAGAAAGCCTGAAGGTGAAATTCTCAGAGGTAGGCACGCTTTACTAAAAATCTACCAGGAATAGAGAAAAAACAAAAAACAACTTCAGATTAATCATAAAATCATAAAATGGAAGACATGGCAAAGCATCCAACTCCAGAGCCAGCCTGACCATGTGTTAGTCCTGGCTCTGCTGCCCACTAGGGGGCAGCTTTGGGAAAGTTATGCAGTCTTTCTGTGCTTCAGTTTCCTCACCTGTGAAATGGGAATAATAATAGCATCCACCTCAAAGGGCTGCTATGGTAGTTACATGAGTTAAACATACACAAATCCCTTAAACAGTACCTGGCATGTATTAAGTACTCATTATGTCATTTTTTAAAATATATAATCTATATAACTTTCTACAGCACAACTGGTAGGCAAAGCAAAGTAAATCTAGTTCTCCAATTTCCAAAGACAATTTTAACTTGTTGACTCAGAAGAATTAGGAAGAAATACAAATAATTAGATTTGAACCCTAACAAAACTTGAGTTTTTATCTCCCTTCCATCACTTACTATACAGCCCAGTTCTTCAAGTAGGACTTGAGGCAACATCAAGCCCTTCACGATCCCATGACCAAGGAACACTCTCTACCTCCCCAGACTGAACGTAACCACCATTTTTCCACTAACACCACGGCCCACAGAGCACTGTGGGAGAAATACCATGCCTGGAGGGTCTTTCTCTGAAGAAATGATCTAAAGTAATTGTCTAAAGCTCTCAGAAGCATTGGCTTGAAGGAAATTGCCAAAATCCTGAGAGATTTGGCATTTTGAGTCATGTGACGAACTGCCCACAGAAGGCGGATTTCAACAGGAGCTGTAACTGACTGTGAATTCTGACGGTCGTCCACTGGTGATTAATGACATCAGGGAAAGCAAGCCAGCAGGCACCAATGTTAAGAGAGAAAGCTATTTTAAATATCCCCGCATTTTAATTAAATATTTCTTCTTATAACACTTGCAACCTAAAAATAGTTATGATCTGTCCGCAGGGGCCACTTCAAGTCGACATGGAGAAGTTTAATTAGATTGCCTCAAGCAAGAATGTTATTCTCCAAGTTTCACGATATTGGCATTAACTCCCGGACTGAAGTAAGTGCAATTTACACATGTGTGTGATGCCTGCTGAAGTGGAGGACAGTATTTTCTACAAAATCCTGATATCAGAAGAGGCTGGAAGAAAGGCATTTGTAATTGACTTCATATTTACAATTGCTTAAAAATCCAGCAACTGGTGATCATAAATATGTTTATCCCTTTAACACAGAAAGTGTTTGATATGCTAAGTTAGACCCAGATTCAATGCAAGAAGAAAAATGTACCCACGTGAATACCTGGTGGAATAGAAACACTGCTTATACCACTCCCACAAGGTGTAATTTTAACTGAATTACTGTCAATTTGTCAACAAACTACCAGGCAATTCATTAAACTACTGGTTATTCGGCAACCTAGACTATTGACATATTTAAGCAACACACTACTGATAAACTTGGAAAATATCTCCTATGTTTTGCTACTCGAAATACTCTAGCACTCTCAATCATATTCATTCAGTCATCCATCCATTCATTCAACCAGCTCTTACCAAGTATCTATTAGGAACACATGAGTGATGACTAAATCAGACAAGGTCTCTATCCTAATGCTGGGGATAGTCTAGAAAACTCCCCAAAATACTGTGTGTGAATCTCAAATTCTAGAAGGAGAACTGTTGAGTTTGAGGCTTTTAATAATGCATACAGCAATGCCACCTCCACTAGCAGTTGACCAGACACTTACCATCATTCTTTTTATCATTGCCAGTTTGACAGGCAGAACATGGCATTTCAGGTTTGTGTTTTATTACCAGTAAGACTGAATATCTTTCCAAATATTTGTTGACCAGATGTACCTATTTCATGAGTTATCTTTATGTCCTTCACTTTGAGTTCTACATACAGGCCTCTGCATATTCTCTGCACATTTTTTGACTGGTTTTCTTCCCCTTCATAAAGTATTTTACACAGTAAATACATTAACCCTTTGTCAGCAAATAAATCTGTAAATTTGTGGTTTCTCATGATTTTGAAATTTTTGGCTGTGCTGAAGATTTTTTTAATTTATATAATCAACTTTGTCTTGATATTTCTGCTGCTACCTTCAGTAATATGTTTAGAGACATTCACTTTCCCCAAATTATGTTTTTTTAAACTGTTTATTAATCATTTCATCTTGTTTAAATCTTCAACTCATCTAGGATTTTGATATGAGCTGAGAGGTAGGATCTAGTTATATTGTTCCCCATATTCAACAAGCTGCCCAAGTTTTTCTTAAACTTTCCAAGCGTTTCTACCAGTGTCCAGAGACACAGCTCGAAGGGGGCCTCATTCAGCAGTCCACAGCATCAAATGACCGCCAATGGAATGACCACAAGGCAATAAACAGGTTTCATCATAAATTATGGAGGAGAGTGCCAAATATTTTCTGAGAGTATTATTAAGGAAAGTATTTTGTCTCAAAGCTATTGCAGGAGGGACAAATGCTATTAGAACAACCAGAGGAATATTTACTCTGCACCAGTGGTCAAAAGTGGTGAGGATGAAAAGGGATGCAGATCCTACAAATGCCGGGTGAGACTGAAGGACAGATTCTCATTTTTAAAGATCAATCATAATTTTCTTCACAAGAGTATTTAAACGTTAATGAATTCAGATGTTAACTCCCCGTGCCAGGACAAAATGTTTATGACCTTTCCACAGGTTACAGCCAGGACAGCCTGGCCGCGTCGACAGTTTGGAAGACTGAGTACAGGGAGCTGTGGCTTCCTGCTTGACATAGAATCATCTCTGGGCCTGGGCCAGGTGCAGTGGCTTATGCCTGTAATCCCAGCACTTTGGGAGGCTGAGGTGGGTGGATCACCTGAGGCCAGGAGTTTGACACCAGCTGGCCAACATGGTGAAACCCCGTCTATCCTAAAAATACAAAAATTAGCCAGGTGTGGTGGTGGGTGCCTGTAATCCCAGCTACTTGGGAGGCTGAGGCAGGAAAATAGCTTGAACCTGGGAGGAGGAGTTTGTGTAAGCCAAGATCGCGCCACTGCACTCCAGTCTGGGTGACAGAGCAAGACTCCATCTCAAAAAAAAAAGAAAAAGAAAAACAAAAGAAAAGAATTATCTCTGGGCCTGGGAAATGCAGAGCATTGGTTGGTTGTTGTTCTAGCTAGAGGCAGAAGGATGGACTTGGTGTATAGAGATCCCTGTTGACTAGTCTTCAGATGCCTCATCTCTAAGATTGTCTTTCCTTTGTTCCTTGTTCCTTTATTTCATGTTTTCAGAAACATAGTGGTCCCATGTTTGAGACATGTCCAATTAGCTCCATGTATAGCCTCCTCTCCTTCCTTTTCTAAAATATTTAGAGAGCAGCTCCTATATGCCAAGAACTCTTTTTGTTGTTTTTGAGACAGGGTCTCACTGTTACCCAGGCTGGAGTACAGTGGTATGATCACAGCTCACTGCAGTATCCACCTCTGAGGCTCAAGTGATCCTCCCACCTCAGCCTCCTGGGTAGCTGGGACAACAGGCTCATGTCCCCACACCTGGCTAATGACTTTTGCCACGTTGCCCAGGCTGGTCTTGAACTCCTGGGCTCAAGCAATCCACCTGCCTCAACCTTCTAAAGTGTTGGGATTAGAGGCATGAGCCACTGCACCCAGCCTTGTGCCAAGAACTCTTAATGCAGTTGAGATACTGTGCTGGACAAGACAGACAAGGTCCTTGACCTCATGGGGCTTACATTCTAGAAGGAGGTTTGCAAACTATAGCCAGCAGGCCCACTGCATATTTTTGTAAGGTCCAAGAGCTATAAATAGTTTTTATATTTTAAAAGATTTTTCTAAATCAAAAGAATATTTCAAAACACATGAAAGTTATATGAATTCCAACTTTCAGAATCCACAAAGTTTTACTGGAACACAGCCAGATCCATTCATTTATACATTGCCTAATTGTGTTCTTTCACACTGAAACAGCAGAGGTGAGCAATGGGGCAGAGCCCGTGCAGCCACAAAGCCTAGACCGTTTTCTATCTGGACCTTTACTGAAAAGTTCTGCTGTTGAAGGCAGCAGACCAAACAGGAAAATAATATGGTTACAGACTGTGGAAGACAGAGGACATAATTGGGGTGAGCTGACAAGGTCAGAGAAGACATCGCTGGCTCTCCAGTAACAAAATGTTAGCTTGGGAAGGCCTGTGGCAGGAGGCGGGGGGAATCCAGGCAATAGAAATAGCAAGTACCAAGACCTGAGGCAGGAAGAGCCAGAAAACCAGCAAGTGCTGGGGCAAGTGAGAATGGGATGTAAGGAGGGGAACATGAGAGAGTTAAAGAGAAGTTGATCAATGGGTACAAATATATGGTTTGATAGAAGAAATAAGAACTAGTATTAGAGAGATCAGTAGAGTGACTATAGCTTACAATAATCTGTTGTACACTTCAAAATAGCTAGCAGAGACTTCAAATGGTTTTAACATAAAGGCATATATTTAAGGTGATAGATATCCCAAATATACTGATTTTATCTTTACAAATTATATGAATTATTGCATATATCCCAAAATTATGTACATCCATTATGTATCTTTTTTTTCCTTTAAAGGTGAGTTAGGCAGAACCTGATTACTTTGACTGCAGGGTGATGGCACGGAAATACAAGTATTGAGTAGACTCCAGATGTATTTTGGAGGCAGAGTCCACAAAACTTGGTGTTGGATTGGATGTAGGGAAAGGGAAGAGTGAAGGGTAGGGGCCAGATTTCTGGCTCAAACTAGGCTGGTGGCACCATTGCTGAGATGCGGAGAACTGGAGAGTCACAGTTTGCATAAGACTAGGGAGAGAAATCGAGAACTTGTCTTTAAGAAGTCCAGGGAAAGATGTCAAATAGATTGTTTGATCTAAAGGTCTAGAACTCAGAGCAGAGTTTGGGATGGAGACAGGAAATCTGACAAGCCTGCCTTCTGAGGTTGTGTGTTTAAGAAGACTCATCTTCAAGATCCCACTCATGCACCAGCTGCCTCCTTGCCTATAGGCCATGGGGCTTCCATGGCTGGCAGCAGCAGATGCTCTAAGGAAGCCCCTCCTCTTCCAACAAAAGGAGTGCCTGATGACATGCATCGGGCCATCTGACAAACATTTGTGAGCATCTTTTGAGTCCCATTATCTCCTTAAGTCACACGTCAGTCACTACCTACTGTCCCTAGGCATGAAGCCATTGCATAGGCAGGACTCCTCGAGGGAGGATGAGTTTTTATTACAAGGTCACCACACCCCATTATACAGGGCTCATGAAAAATGTTTCCCGCCCAACTTCAAGAAACTAGGGCCTGTAAAAACCTACCTCCTGCTTTCAGCAGGAAAGCTCAGCTTGGAAACTCCAGGGTGGTTAGGTAGACAAGAGGGCTCTCTAGACTTCTAAGAGCATTATGACTTAAGTGGGTCACTGAAAAACTATTAGGAAGGTTACCTCCCAGGCAACACTAGCACTAGCTCCCCATCTTCCTGGCAAGCTCCATCCTATAAGTAGGCAAGCACAAAATTACCCAATTTGTACCCAAGATCCCCTCTGCATTCTTTCAAGCTGCAAGGACATTCCAACATCCAATTCATAGAAGTGTTTACCAGCTCCCAAGGTCCACAGCTGACTCAACACATTAATTTCCCATCTCCACCGCAGGGTACTAAGTGAAGACATTCCAAGTACCAGGAAACCATCAAGTGACAATCTTGACAAAAGTTTTGTGTGCTGCCTTGGAAACACCACTAGCTCAAATCTAGAAGTTGGGTTCTGTGTACTGGTTCTTCCACCAACTGGCTGTTTGGCACAGGATATCCCCTCTCTGGATCAGACTTTTCATCTGTAGCATGAAGGAGTTCATTTCCTGTTTCAGAAGGCATCTGATAAGCATGGCAGATGCTGTGCTAGGCCCAGGGATACAGATACTGGTAGAAAGGTCCCTGCTCTCAAGGAAACGAGAGTTGAAGTTGGATCCTCTCACAGGGTGGCATGGACAAAGAGATCATGCTGCATCTGGTATGCTCAGGGCTAAGCACATGACAGGAATAACCTCACTTTGCCTAGCAATCCTATGAAAAAGGCACTCTTACTATCCCATTTTAACAGATGCAGGAACCAAGATTTAGAGTAAGTCACTTATCCAATCAAGGCACATACTTTAGAGCAAGTAAGAGGCAAAGCTGGGGCTCAGTCCCAGGAAGGCTGAATTCTGGTGCCCTTGTTCTTCAACACCCGAAGGCCCTCTCAGTTGGATACAGCTTACCAGACAGGTTATGTCCTGCAATGCCAGTGCCAACGTTCAGTCAGTCCATGAGCAGAGGGCCCCCAACAGCTTTGTATGGTCTGATAATTATATGCTGTGCCACTTTCTGAGACTCTCTGGACTCCAGCTTCCCCAGAAGCAGCCCAGGATATCCAATACAGGAGGCTCCTCAGAAGCCATCAAGGCAAATCCTCTTATTCTTATAGATGGGGGAAACTGAGGCAGGAAGCAGCAGAATGACTCGACAAAAGTCTCTCCAAGAATTAGCAGGAGAGCAATGCCAGGATCTCAGTGGAAGTCCAACCTCATGGTCTCATCCATTTCCATTCTACTTCTTGAGTGCCATTTCTTAATGAAGGAGAAAACTGGGGCTCAGATAAAGGAACGAGTTTAACCAAAGTCCCCAGCCAGAAAGTAACAAAGCAAGGACTTGAACCATCTATTGCTGGAGGCGAGATGCAAACCAGTTAGGAGCATGGGCTTTGAAAGCAGAGGAAGTTGGGTTTGGACAATCCTTACTATGCAACTTTAGGTAATTGATCTGACACCTGCAAACTGGGAACAATCCTAGTGGTGCCCTCATTAGGTCATTATGAGGATAACAGAGGGAGGCTGGCACAAACAAAGGGTCGAGCACACTGTTTGGAAAATAGCAAGCGCTCCACAAATGGCAAGCCCTGGTAAACATTTATTGAACACCTACTGTGTGCCAGGTACAATTCCAGTGTTTTTATCCTTCTTTACAACCTACTTGGTGGGTCTTCTCCTACTTTTCATATGGACAAATTGTAGTCAGTCACTCATCCCAATTGCCTAGCTGTTGACAGGATTGAAATCTGCACATTCTCCTCCAGACCCCTGAACTCTTCCTTGCTGAGCTATACTCCTGCCTGCACCTGCCTTCAGTGTTGTAGTAAAACAGGCCTAGGGAGGGCATGGTTGGCATTCTTTCTACCACACAGCAAAGTTGCCCTTCCAAAAAAAGCCATGGGGGATGAGCAGGGAGAGAAGCCAGGGACCGGTGGGTCACACCATGCAAGGAGGTAGGAAGCAGTCGTCTCCAGGGCTGACAGCAGTAAACACATTTCTGACCAGGCAAGGTCTCAACAGCCCAGAAGGCCAGGAAGACCAGGCCTGGATCCCTGCTCTCATACCCCATCTTCTCACAATGCTGGGGAAATGAGAGTTCTTGTTTGGATGGGCTTTGTGGTATGGCCAACTCTGGGGAGAGACTGGCTTTCGCAGATACCATGGATGCAGGCTTTAATAAATTGAAAGGGCCATGCTCAGCCTGGCCCTCCTTGGCCCAGAAGTGAGCAGGGTAGGTAAAGTCTGCCTTTTTCACTCAAATGACAGCTTGTCTTCTTAAGCAGAAGTGAGGCTCCAGGAATAGCTCCACTTAGAGCAAATGGGCTTGTCTGCCACATCTTGGAGTATTTGTCTTCTTTCCACAGCGTTTTTCTTTGGATCTACATGATGTTAGGGCTGTTCCTCCACTTCATTCCATTCTGAGGCTCGCAGCTCTCCCATGTGCTTCAGAGAAATAACAGAACTGCAGGAGGGTCTTACCTTTAGGGTTAAAACACGTTTGCATCACATCTTCTTAAAGTGGAAGAAAGGGGCACAGATGTGAGTGTTAAACTTTTTTGACTTTATTTGTCCCTTATGGTTTCCTTACCAAGAGTGATGGATAATCTACTTGGGGACTATTCTCTCCCTGGGCTCTTCTCACACGTGCTCACAATGCCAATGTCACCATCACAGGGCATGAATGAGCACAGCCCAAAGAGCCACATGTCCAGGAAGTACAGACAGGCAGGGACAGTGGAGATCTTCTGAATGATATGGGGCTTTGAACTAGAGAAACCCCCAGGGTCGTTGCCAAGGCTAAGATACTATGCTTCCCACCGCATCTTCTGAAGTGGGTAGGATGGGATGAGCATCCCTGCTGTGGATGAGGAATTTGGTAATAATTATAGTTAAGCCCTAAAACTTTACATATGACTCATTGAATCCCTATACAACCTTATGTGGTGGGTAACAGTATTATTCCTATTACAGAACTGAGGCACAGAGAGGTTGAGTAACTTCCCCAAGGTCACACACGTAGTTTATAGCAGATCTTGAATCTGAGCCCAGACAGACAGGCTCCAGAGTCCCTTTTCTTAAACTGTAAGAAGCACAGCCTGTCTAAGATAGTCCAAAAAGTTGAAGTGACTAGCCCATAAGATACTGAATCGTGGCTTAGAATCTAGCTTGTGACCTTAACAACAAACCACACTGGGTTTAGAGCCCAGAGTCAACTGGTGTGATCCACATGCTGCACGGGATGGCCAATGCTCTTCCCAGTCTCCCCAGTTCTCCCTAGTGCACCCTTCCCTTTCCCACCAGAGCCTGTGCAATCACTAGCTTCCAGGCCTTCGAACCCTCCTGTCCTTCAGCCTGGTGCACACACACCTTCCCCTGTGCCTGGACCAGCCTTACTCACCCTTCAAGACTGAACCTAAACCTCCTTGCTGCCTTGGCTTTCCAAATCTGGTTTTTGTACCCCTTCTGCCTGTACCAATATCAAACCCAACTCCCTGCCTCTGCACATCTCATAGCAATGATGCATGGGAATAGGAATATGTAGTCCCCTTGCAGACTTCCAGCTCCAAGAGGGAAGAGATGGGCTCTGTACTTGGCACATGACAAGCATCTTACTACGTTTTTAGTGGCAGGAATTTCAGGATGGTGTGGAGCTTGTGGCTTCCCAAGTACACCTCAGGCAGAGGTTTCATGAGGTCTCGCTTCAGCTCCTCCAGGGTGCTGTGTTCTCCCTCACCCCTGGGCCTTTGCACATGGCCTGTCCATGTCTGAAACACTCTCTAATGTCCTCCCTTTTTATTTTTTGAGACAGAGAGTCTCACTCTGTTGCCCAGGCTGGAATGCAGTGGCATGATCTTAGCTCACTGCAACCTCCGCCTCCTGGGTTCAAGTGATTCTCCTGCCTCAGCCTCCCAAGTAGCTAGGACTACAGGCGCAGGCCACCACACCCAGCTAATTTTTTGTATTTTAGTAGAGACAGGGTTTTACTATGTTGCACAGGCTGGTCTTGAACTCCCGAACTCAGGCAATCCGCCGGCCTCGGCCTCCCAAATTGCTAGGATTACTGGCGTAAGCCACCACACCCAGCCTTTCCAACCTTTTTATAATCTAGTCCCTTGCTTCCAAACCCGGGTCAGTTTATCTTGTCTTAAGCTCTCATTGCTCCACGTACCTTTCCTTTAAAGAAGCAGTTCCCAAAGTGTGGTACCTTGACCCCTGAAAGTTCCCTGAAAGGGAATCTGCAAGATCAAAACTACTTTCATCAATTACTAATCATTAGGGATATACAAATTCAATCATAGTAGGTGCTCAATAAATCTTCAGAAAATGAGTAAACTGAAGTCCCACTGACAGACCCGAGGGCCAGCCTATCTGTGTGCCTCGGACAAATCCCACCTCACTAGGGTAACTGTAAATGCCATGCTTGGGGAGAGGCTGTGGAGGGCTCCTCCCTGAGGAACAAAGAGGAGGAGAAGGAGCAGAGGCAACCCCTCCCCTGGAATAGGGTGCCCCGCCCCCGGGCAAGACTGTCAGGCTCAACATGGTGCCAAAATGGGCAACTTCCCACTTGGCTCTGCATTTTTCCCATTCCTCACACATGTATCTGGAACACATTGGAAAGGGGTCAGACTGGTTTGGGTAACTCTGAACATGGGAGGTAGGGCTGGAAACCTGTGGAGAAGAGTATGACCTCTGAAAGAGTTCATGGATACGGCCAGGGTGATGCCACATGCCAGCCTGGGACAACCTCCACTCTTGTCCTACCCATCTGGAGGCCTCTGGCTCTGCCTTCACCCATCAGAGACCCTCCTGAGTCTTACTTTGATATCCCTCCCTAGCCCACTTCCTATGTTATCTTTCTCCTGTTGCCTCCCCTGACCCAAATCACAAACTCAACCCAGGCCCTGCTCCATGAATAAAAATGGTAATAATAATAGCCACAAATTATTATTTCCCATCTACTGATCCCTCATGTACCAGGTAAAAAGAGTCACACATATTCTTCCATTTTATCTTTTGAATAAGCCCTCACATCTTAGGTACTCACATTTTCATTTCATAGATGAGGAAACCGAGGGTTTAAAAAGTGACCTGATTCCCCCACGGTCATAAAGCTGAAACTCAAACCCAGAATCGTCTGACACCAAAGTTTGCTTCATAACCTCTGCACCACACCAATATCCCAAGAATATAAAATAATCAGTCTAGAAGCCAATTCATTTTCTCCCAAATCAAGGACATTTAGGAGCTTGAATGTAGGGGGAACATTCCTACTCATGGAACACAGTTATCTGCGAAAACTAGTTGAAATCTAGTTTCAAATTAAATTTTCACCACTCTCCCCAGGAGTTCACACAGGTGAGCAGCTACAAGGGACTGAAACATCCACTTCCGCGGCCCACTCCGCTCTCCAGAAGACAAGAGTCCTTCAGAACAGGGAGAAGTTTAAAAAAACACATACACACAAAACAAAACAACTTCTTTCACTTGGAATATCCCTGAGAAATCCAGGGTTAATGTTCAACTCTGGGTGTGTAGTGGAGACCAGCCCAGCCCACAGGTTCAGCGGAGCAGAGAGCAAAGAGGCCAGCCAAGGGGCACTTCCCTGCTCATGTCTCATAGTCAAGGGAAAGCACAGCCTTCCAGCCAGTGTCCACCCTCCAGGGGCGGTCAAGGTGACCAAACGGAAACTTGGTGAAAAGGCACAGATGCAATCAACATCACACAAGCTACCTCTAGGTCTACACCTGCACCATCCAAGACAGCAGTCACCATCCACCTGTGACTCCTGGAGGGTGGCTAGTCCCAAATGAGATGTGCTGCAAGAAATACAGCCCAGATCTCGAAGACTCAGTACAAGAAAAATATTAAATATCTTAATTTTCATATGAATTACATGTTGAAATGATACATATTGATAGATTATATTAAATAAATTAAAATTAACTTCACATGTTTCTTTTGTTTTTTAGATGGAGTCCTGCTCTGTTGCCCAGGCGGGAGTGCAGTGGCCTGATCTTGGCTCACTGCAGCCTTCACCTCCTGGGTTCAAGCAAGTCTCCTGCCTCAGCCTCCCGAGTAGCTGGGTTTACAGGTGCCTGCCACCATGCCTGGCTAATTTTTGTATTTTTAGTAGGGACGGGGGGGTTTCATCATGTTAGCCAGGCTGGTCTTGAACTCCTGGGTTCAAGTGATCCACCCGCCTCGGCCTCCCAAAGTGCTGGGATTACAGGCGTGAGCCACCATGCAGGGTCTTCTTTTTGCTGTTTTGAATGGGCTATTAGAAGACTTTTTAATGACATATGCGGTTGGCAATGTATTTCTATTTGACAGTGCTGTCGTGGATAAAGCACATGGTCAACCCTAGAGTCCAGGCCCTGGACACAGCACACCTGGGGTTTCTTCCTCCACCCCCTCAAATGCAGTTGGTGCAGTCACCAGCCCCACCTTCCTCTTCTTTGAATCCTGCCCCTCCCTTGCTCCAGACTTCACCAAGTCTCTGCATTACAGTTCACATCAACCCTAAGTTGCTCTTTCCAGCATCCTAAGCCACCCTGGTTGATCTGCTGGCCCCTGTCCTGACCTTAGTAAAGGGCCCCTGGAAGCTGTCTCCATACTCCTTTCATCCCTTCCGGCTTCTTGCCATGCCAGGGCCACAGGTAGAGAACAACCCCCGTCCTGCCCCTACCCTTCAGAACTTTGCCTTCCCTTCAGAAGTTTGCATGTAATCGTTCCTTCCCCTCCTAGTTAATGAGCTTCTGGCTCCCAGGGTGCAGGGAACATGGGCCCAGACTTGCCCCTCTGTCTGGAGCTGATTGCTGTCTAGCCACTCCCACCTCGCCCTAGTGCTCATGCCTAACAGGTGTGGGTCCACTGAATCCAGCCTCTCACCCTCAACCTGCACACCTGTTAGGCATTGACAGTGGGCAGAGCAACAGGAACTGGACGTTCCCAGCTCCCTCGCGTCCCCCTGAGACGCTTCTTTGCAGTGGCTGTCTGCCTGGCTGCTCTTCCTCCAAGAACTGTGTCTCTTCCAGAAACCCCCTCCTACCCCCAGGCTTCCCTTCCTTCAGATCGACATGCTTTCACTCTTGGGATGCCAGAAGCACTTACCACTGGCACAGATGGAAGCCCCTATTTACTGTCTGAGGTCATTGGATCCTTATCTAGCACTTTCACCTGCAGCATTTAATCCTTGCAGCAATCCATGTGGTAAGAATCATCCCCATTTTACAGATAAAGAAAGTGAGGAGGTTCAGAATGATAGAGGAACTTACTCAGGAGCCAGGCTCTGAACCCAGGCAGTTGGTCTTTATGCGTCCATGCTATTTAGTATCATAAGACAAGTACAGATGGACCAGGGTTTGAATCCCAGCTTTACCACGTTCAAGGTCCGTGACTTTGTGCAAGCTTCTCACTCTCTCTGTACTCAGTCTTCTCATTTATAAAAGAGAGGCATCTCAGAGTTGTGAGAATTAGCGAGTTAGTGCAGGGTTTACACTTAAAACAATGCCTACAGGCGCCATGTGGTAATTCTCAACAGTAGCTACTGATATTAATGAGTGTTCAGTCTTGTTCTCTCCTCAGTTGTGAGGTCCTGCAGTATAAGCGATGTGCCCTGGGCCATTCTTCCTACCCAAGTCTCTAGTGATGGTCTGTGAGGGTGCTGTACCCTGACAGTGAGACAGAGGGATGTGGGTGCATGTCGATATTATGCACTGAATGTATGTGGTTCCCCAAGATTCATATGTTGAATTCCTAACCCCAGACATGGTGGTATTTGGAGAGGGGTCCTTGGGGAGGTATTTAGGGTTAGAGAAGTTTATGAGGGTGCGTTCCTTATGCTGGATTAGGGGCCTTAGAGAAGGAACACTGAAGAGCTTTCTTAGCCCCACCCTCATGAGAGGAGGCAACAAGAAGGCAGCTGTCTAAAAGCCAGGAAGAGGCTGGGCGCGGTGGCTCATGCCTCTAGTTCCAGCACTTTGGGAGGCTGAGTTGTGGGGATCACTTGAGGTCAGGAGTTCGAGATCAGCCCGGCCAACATGGTGAAACCCTGTCTCTACTAAAAATACAAAAGGGCATGGTGGTGGGCATCTGTAATCTCAGCTACCTGGGAGGCTGAGGCAGAGGTTGTGGTAAGCCGAGATTGTGCCACTGCACTCCAGCCTGGGTGACAGAGTGAGACTCTGTGTCAAGAAATAAATAAATAAAATAAAATAAAGCCAGGAAGAGAGCCCTCACCAGAAACAAGCCATGCTAGCACCCTGATCTCGGACTTCCAGCCTCCAAAATTGTGAGAAATTCAGGTTCTGTTGTTTGAGCCACCCAGCCAATGGTATTTTGTTATGGCAGCCCAAGCGGACTAAGACAGTAGATTGGTTTGCTTCTGCTACTCGTTTAGAAAAGTTTAGAAGGTGAGGAATGGTGCTGCCTAGGCTCACAGGAATCTCCAAGTCTCAAGAGCTCCTCAGCATGGAGGCCCTAATGGATAATACAGGAAGATGGTCTTTTCACCACCTCTCTCTCAGATCCCCTAACCAAGAAAAATCTGTTGTAACAGTTTCTGTATGAGAAACAAGCTCAAGGGCCCAGCACCCTGGACACTGAACAAGTAGCATGTTCTACCTGAAAGCTTCACACATCATGGAATCCAGACCATGCTTTAAAAAATCACCATCATCACAACACAATTCCTTCCCCCAATTACAAAAGGAATAGTGCAGACGGAAATAGTCTTAAGCATAAAGAAAAAAAATACATGTTAATCTTACCATCCAGAGATAATATGCCATTAAAATGTTGTGCATTTTCCCCCATTTCTTTAAGGCCTATATGAAAAGAGAGAGACCTTCCTTAGCTGAGCTCATGCTACAGATAGTCTTCTGTGGCCTTTCTCCTTAAATACTATATCACAACTATTTTCCCTCATCATTAAAATTTTTTTTTGTAAACCGTATTTTAAGGTTTAACCATTTCCCTATTGTTGGACATTTAGGTCATCTCTAGTATCATACTACAATAAAAAATGCTGCCATTAACATGCTATTACATAAATTTTTATTCGCCTACCTATCCCTGATTATTTTATGACAGGTTCCTAGAAGCAGGATTACTGGAATTGACTCATTACCTATACTGAATAGCGTATGTAGAAGAATACCCATCTCAACACAGACTCACCAGCATGATTAGCTCTTTTTAATCTTTTAATAACATTTTATGATACTCTTGAATTACCTTGAACACTAGTGAGGAATAACCGGCACTCGGGTTTTGATAATTTGGCTTTGGAAGAAAAACAAGTAGGAGAAATGTTCTTTTAAATTTGAAACCAGATGGAATTAGACATTTGCTTGTTAAAAATACATTGTTATTAAATTTAACTGCAGTTTGTGACACTAACTTGTGGCTGGCAAAATAAATAAAACAGAGGTTTGAACAGCCCAGCTTTATAGAACAGATAAGCAAAAGAGGAGGCATATACCAATATTTACTGAGTGGTTCAAAGTAACCTGCTCTTCACATGCAATCCCATATTTGTTCTTTAATCTCGTAAAGTGATGTTATTTCTAATTCTACAGATGGGAAAACAGAGAGGGTTTGTTATTGGCCCAGATTACTCAGTAGTAGTTGTGTAACCAAGAATTTTGAACCCAAGTTGGCTCTAGAGGAAACACCACTACTCCAGGCTGTAGTGCAACTAATGGGTGGAAATCAAGGTGACATAGTCTGAAGTCAGCTCTCTTGTACAGGATAGCATAGTCCCATACAATCTTCTTATTTTGCTAGATTCTTCAGAACTTTCCCAAATAGAACAGGAGGAACACCTCATCTAGAAGTCACCTAAATTACTATCTGCTGAAAATAGCAATGAATTACACAACCTTGTACATTTGTATGTACTGACTTTCTAAAAATAAAAATAAAAAGTAAATATTAAAAAAAAATCCATCAGAGGATAAATATGTGTTACAGGGGAATTCTATTCACAGAAAGCCAAAACAAAAGAAATCCCATAGTTTAGGGTTGTAAGTAGTGTATGAAATCTTTGGTTACTATACAACATGGACATGATTATTTGCAATATAACAAAACATACAAAATACTGGCTTATAGGAAATGGAAATTAATTCTCTGAAACAATTCGGTACTGCAATCTGGTACTGCACTCGTGTAATTTAAAGTTACATTCAGAAGATGAAAAACATTGATTCCAGTGTTGGGAAAAGAGACTTGTTAATAACGATTTAGGAAGGGACTGAGCAGGAACCCAAGTAAAGAATAGAACAGGCGATTGCTGACACTGATTTTAATGCTTTTTACCAACTCTTTTGAAAAACTGGTTAAGAAAAAAGTGGTTATCCATCTTTTTCATCTCTTAATAAAATGAGCTGTAGCAAGTTTATCCTCCTATAACATATTCATTCCTAGCTGTGACATGTTAGCAGAAAGACTTTGATAACAAGTGCCTTGGACTTCAGGCTGGATCTTGTTTCTTCCTTAGAAATAAAGCCTGCCTCCCTTTCTGCCTTTCTTCTCTCCTTTCTTCAACTGCTTTACATTGAATTACAAAGAGAAATATAGAATTTTGGTATAAAGCCTAAAATCTTCAATACAATTCATAAGGCTTTTGTGACTTTCAGCTGATCTTTCCAGCCCAAATGGCCACCATTCCCCTCATTTTTGGTCACCTAGTCACATCAGCCATTTTTCAGGCTCTCAAAGATGCCATCCACCACAGGGCCTTTGCATGTGTGCCTGAAATACTCTCTCCTAACTTCACTCCTCCCAGCCTGCCTTTGCCAAGGTAACTTCTAACATATTTATCAAGGCTCAGTTTAATCCCTAGCTCAACTTCTCCTTCTTTGGGGAAAATTTCCCTGTTTCCCCAGATTGGATTGAGCTCCCTATTACAAACTCTTAGAGTACCATGAGTCAGTCCTTCATGTAATTTACCAATTGCACTGTATTAGTCTGTTTTCACACTAATAAAGACATATCTACGACTGGGTAATTTATAAAGGAAAGAGGTTTACTTGACTCACAGTTCAGCATAGCTGGAGAAGCCTCAGGAAACTTACAATAATGGCAGAAGGGGAAGCAAACACATATTCTTCACATGGTGGCAGCGACGAAAAGTGCAGAGTGAAGCAGGGGGAAAAGCACCTTATAAAACCATCAGATCTCGTGAGAACTAACTCACTATTATGAGAACAGGATGAGGGTAACCGCCCCCATGAATCAATTATCTCCACCTGGTCTGTCCCACACACGTGGCAATTATGGGAACTACAATTCAAGATGAGATTTGGGTGGGGACACAGCTGAACCGTATCATGTACTTTCACATTTATTTGTGTGATGATTTGATTGTCTGTTTTTCCCACTATCTGGTTAACCTCATGATTAATCTTTTATGTCTAACATAGAACTTGGTGACCATAATATTTTGTGAGTAAAAACAATGGATGAATAGTTGTCCATTTCATACCCAGGAAAGCTTTCATTCAAGACTGACAGTCAAATGAAGATGATTTCAATAAAACAAAAACTGAAACAATTCTTACCAACTCCCTCAAGGAACTCCTAAAGGCTGTACTTCAGGTACTAAGGAAAATGAATCCAGATCACAGAAGTTCACAGAGACAAGATGTTGGCAAATATCTTGGAAAAACTTTTATATTATTTTATATTGAATATATAAAATAATAATTACAAGTTCTATTTTAGGGGTTAAACAGCTAACACATGGGTCAAAACAGAGCATATGCATTTGAAAGAGGGTAACAAATTAATCTAAGAATCTCACACTGTTTGAAAAAAGGATCAAAATACTGATTAGACTTTATTAAGTATAAATGTTTGTGTCTAAAGTAGCCATATAAAAATAAATACAGCAAATATAGGCCAGGCACAGTGGCGCATGCCTGTAATCCCAGCACTTTGGGAGTCCGAGGCAGGCGGATCACTTGAGGCCAGGAGTTCAAAACCAGCCTAGCCAACGTGGCAAAACCCTGTCTCTACTAAAAATACAAAAATTAGCCACCTGTGTTGGCGCGCGCCTATAATCCCAGCCACTCGGAAGGCTGAGGCAGGAGAATCGCTTGCACCCGGGAGGCGGAGGTTACAGTGAGCCAAGTTCGAGCCACTGCACACCAGCCTGGGTGACAGAGCAAGACTCCATCTCAAAAAAAAAAAAAAAAAAAAAAAAAAAAAAAAATATATATATATATATATATATATATATATATATATATAAAAGAAAAAAATATAACTTTTCGAACAAAAAGAGGGGAAATGGTGCAAGAAAAAGAAACAAAAACCAATGCAAAAGGATGAAAAAGGAAAATAAAAATTAAAGGTAAGATAGATAGAAAGCTCAAGATATGACAATGATTATAATCAATATAATGAACCAAACTCTTCAGTTAAATGACTAAGATTATCAGACTAAAATCCTGAATGTTTAAAATAAAAACTCAAAACTTAAAGACACAGAGGAGCAGTTGAATAAAAGGATTGAAAGAGACAAATACAAACCAAAATAAGACTATAGTAGCCATATTAATGCCAAACCCATATTCTGAGGTGTAAAACATTATCAGGTATAAAGAAAGACACTATATAATAATAAAAGTTTCCACTCACCCAGAAAGATATCAAATGAACAAATGAGTAAATTGCCATGAATTAAGTTGCATCTTCCAGTGATTGGGAAAACACATCCACAGATAGGAAGCAGGTCTGTCCAAACCAGGGAACAAACTCACGTGTTGGTTGAGGATGCATCACCATGCTAAGAGCATGTGATCATCCTTTACCACCTTGCTCAGGTGAAAAGACCTCCCCAAGCTCAGCACAGCTTCATTTCCCCCAGCTGCTGGCCAGGTAGTCTGATGTCTAGGCTGCTGTTTTGCACAGTTTCTCAAGTGCCATCACTTAAGTTCCCAATTGCTTAACAAATGTCAATGGTCTCTTGCTCTTGCAGCCCCAGGTCAGAAATCTAAAGGAACCCAAATGCTCTATGTCAAATAACCGTCTTTGATTTTCCTTCATCCCCAAGCTTTACTATAGGAAGTCATGAGTCAGACTTAGATTCTCAGATTATCTCTTCATGCTTTAATTCTATCAACACTTTAGCGTACTTCCTAGGTGCTGGGCACTGTCCTAGCTACACAGGAAAAATTTCTTGGTAGTTCCCAGTCTGACTGTCAGGAGCTAGCCTGGAAGACTGCTCCTATTACATCCTGGGAGGTGAGGTGCTATGATTCCAAACTGCCAAACTGCTGAGCAATCCTAAAACAGTGGAAGCTAAAACTTTCCCCAGCTTCAAGCATGAAGGTAGCCCTTAATGAACAAAGATCCTTTCCCAAAGTTTTCAAGAGGGTAATTACAAACATGTCAATCATTATTTCATTTATCCATTCTGATGTTTAAAAACCTTTAATTATTGCAACAAGAATTCACGTTCATCCCAGAAAAATTAGAACAAAAGATTAATAAAATTAAAAACGAATTCTGCAACTTATGGATAATTACTGGGAACACTTTGGTGCACTGCTTTATTTTCACACACACATGAATAATTGTACCCATTCATTCCCATTATAAAATAGGCATTCAGTCTGAATCCAAAAAAAGGATAAAGATCCTTGGACACCATCAAAGTCAGGCATTAAGCAGCTCCCATTTTGCAATCTTTGCTGTTCATGAGATTAACTATATTTTTCATTAAAATGTTCCATAATCAACAACACACTAAATAGTAAGAGAAATACTTTCAAATGATCCCACCAAAAAGAAAAGAAACTCTAGCTACTAATCTATTATTGCACAACAAATTGCCTCACCGCCCCCAGACATCACAAAACAAAGCACTGAAAATGGTATTACCCTCCAAAAGGAGATGTGTTTGCATGCCTGAACACATCATTAAAATTCTCCTCTCTCTCTCTCTCTTTCTAGTAATAAGAACACTTAACATGAGATCTATCCCCTTAACAAATTTTTCAGGGTACAATGCAGCGTTGTTAACTATGGGCACAACATTGTACAGCTGATCTCTAGAATGTACTCGTTTTGCATGACTGAAACTTTATAACCTCAAACAGCTCCCAGGTTTCCTCTCTCACCAGCCCCTGGTAACCACCATTCTACTGTTTCTATGAGTTTGACTATTTTAGATACCTTATATAAATGGAATGCCATATCACATGTATTTTGTCCTTTTGTGACTGTTTTACTTCACTTAGCATAATGTCTTGTAGGTTCCTCCCTGTTGTCCCATATGGCAGGATTTCCTTCTTTTTTTTAAAGCTGAATAATATGCCATTGTATGTAGATACCACTTCTTTAACCACGCATCCATGGATGGACATTTAGTTTGCCTCTACGCCTGGCTATTGTGAATAATACTGAGAGTTCATGTATCTCTTAGGAGTCCTGATTTCAGTTCTTGTGGATATAGATCCAGTAGTGGGGTTGCTGGATCATACAGTAATTTTAGGAAGCTAGCCCACAAGAGTCAAGACTGAGTCACTAGACTCCCCTCCCTTCTCTACCTCTGAACTGTGCTGGACAATGGGCAGACAGCTGGGCCAATGAGATCATCTGGCTTGGGAGCACAGTGCTCAATCTGAGAGCTAAGGAGCCACCACGCGGAGCGCAGACCACAGCACAGCATTTTGAATGGCTGCTTGGGTCTACCTGAGGAGCCTAGAAAAATACAGATACCCAGGACCCACTCCAAGCATAAATGAATCTGAATATCCAAGGGACAGCACTAGAATCTGTACTTTACCAACATCCTCGTCAATTCTGAAGTTCTGTCAAATTTGGAAACTTCAGCAAAGGCGGATTTCTGAGTTCCTGACCAGCGGCACCCTCAGAGCTGCCCTGATTCTCCTTGGATTCCAGGAGACATCTCAACATTCTTCCAGTGACTTTGTGTCTTGTTTACTCGAGCTGGAATTGGATTCTATAATTGCAGTTGAAAGAACCTTAGCTAATATGGTCCAGAACGTTAGCACCCCGAACACCCGCAGTGTCACAGCCCTCTCTTTGTAATCTGAGCTGTTCTCATGGCTCATTTGCCACGCTGGGGAGCATTTTCCCATGTTTGGACGTTATATATGCAAGAAGAGGGGTCCACAAGAACAAGACAACTGGTGTGAGAGTTTCAAATTCTAAATACTGGGGGACACTGCTCTCTGTAAAATGTATTTCTGACAATTCCATCCACTGTTGACTGCAGGTGCTTGTACTAGTGACAGACAGTGAAAATCATAGTTTCTCTTTTAGGTTCCTAATGAGCATCTAGTGGGTGCAGGCGTAGTTCTAGGCCAGTGCTGTCCAGTAGAAATTTCCACAGTGATGAAAAATCCTATAGCCATACTATCGTTTTGGGTTTGTGGCTATTGAGCCCTTGAAATCTGGCTAGTTCGACTGAGGAACTGAATGTTTTATTTTAATTAATTTAAATTTAAATAGCCACACACAGCTAATGGCTTCTGTATTGGACAGTGCAGTTCTAGATACTGTAATTAATTCAGCAAGGCATGACGCACCAGCCATTTTACAGATGAGGAAATGGATACCCAGAGAGGGAGAATGACGTACCTAAGGTCATCAAGTGAGAGGGTGAGGATTCAAACCCAAATCCAATCTATGATACAATAACT
Organism: Homo sapiens; assembly: GCF_000001405.40. Classification (NCBI taxonomy): domain Eukaryota; kingdom Metazoa; phylum Chordata; class Mammalia; order Primates; family Hominidae; genus Homo; species Homo sapiens. The sequence continues at coordinate 55,455,888 of NC_000003.12, forward strand.
GCTACACACAATGTGTGTAACACTTTGATAGGGGACAAAATAAAACTGAACATCCCATCAGCTCTCAGGCATCAACTCTGTTTTAGTTACAAAGCCAAAACAAAAAGGAAAGCCATGGAGCGGGACACACACTATCAATTCTGCCTAACCATGAAGACGGTCCGGCCAGCGGGCTTGGCTTTCTCCTCCAGCCGTCCTGGCTCGACACAGGCCTTGTGGTTGAGCATATTTTATTGCATGCCGAAAACTCCAAGATAGCTCAGCCTCCAAGAACAAAAGTGATTTCAGGGTGAAGAGGGAAGGGGGCCAGGAAGCTGTCCCTCCCATCTCCTCGGGTGGACACCACGTCTGACAAGCCGCATTCAGGCCTTTAAAATACCGCACCATTGTGGAGAGGGCCCCACTGCCCCTGGGAAGCGTCCCCAGCTGCCTTCTCTGCTCACTGCGCCCGGGGAAAACTCCGTTTCTAACAGTTACGGTCAGCCATTTAAATCATATTACACTGTAAGTGGATATACAAATTGTCAGCCCTAATGAAATTTAGGAGGAAACAGTGGGAGAGGTGAAAACACTTAGAACTGGTTTTTTGGTTTTCGAGACTCGAATTCAAGTGGTTTAAACTGCTCGTTGAAAACGTGCTTGGAGTGTGGTTTTTCTGCCAGCACATGGAGGCCGCCCTGGGAATTCACAGTCAAGTCTTCATTCCTGGTTCCCCCTAGAATTGCAGCATATATAGACCTTGATCTAGACATTGAGCTCCTCAAGGAGGGAAAGGGTCTTACTTGTTTCTGCACCCAGCAAGAGACCTGGCACACAGAGGCCCTCGGGAAATGTGGAATGAAAGAATAAACCCAGACAGCCCTTGTGCACAGCCTGAATCGTGAAAGTCAGAAGAGGCGCTGGGAAGGAAAATCCACCTTCATGCCAGAATCCCTCCATTAAAGACTGCTAGGGTGAATGGGAAGATGGGGGTGAGAACTGCCCCCTTTCCGTCTATTGTCTTAGCAAACACAGGCTCACGAGCCAATGAGCTGAACAGCATATTGTACTAATGAATTGCCTTCCACTAGATAGTTTATCAGGTTTCTCTCTCCAGGGCAGAAGGGGTTCCAGCAGAAGTGAGGGATTATGGATTAAGATGATAATAATACAATAGCTACCATTTATTGAGTGGTTACATGTGCCTGTCACTGTACAAACCCCTTCCTCTGTAATCCTCACAAAACCCTCGCACAGTGGAGAGGGTTTGCCCCTTTTCCAGACGAGGAAATGAGAGCTCAGAAAGGTCAAGAAACTTGCCCAGGATTGTGCAGGTGTTTCTCATTCCAAAGCTCATAGTTTTCCTGCTCCCCGACCCCGTGCCAGATAGAGCACCTGGTAGGGAAGCGGTGAGTATGTGAGTGTGTATAGAAGGACATGCCAGAGAGAAGCTGTCCCTACATCATTTGGTATTGCTGGGTCAAAGCAGTGTAGGCCAGATTCCATTTGCATTCATTTTATTCCCATATGGCAGGATTTGACGTCCTATTCTCCACCTCGATAGAGCATCAACTTCTTGAGGCATGATGTTGTTTAGCCAGACTCACTCAGGTAACCCCATCTAAACCATCATGCACATGTCAAGGAATGAGGCCCAGGGAGGAGAAAGGATTTGCCCAAAGCTACACAGCAAACTGGTGACCAGAGTGGAACCAGAATCCCAACAGTGGAAGTCCCTTTGGGCCAGTCATGGAGTCTGGGTCCAGGATTCTCCCAGGTGTGGTCATGTACAGGAGGAAATATCCTTGCCTGACACCCACCAGGGCCCTCCAATGACACAAGAGTGAGGACTTAGAGGAGGAACTCTGAGGTGGCCTCAACTGGAAAAATAGGCCAACTGACTCGGGGTCAGGAATTCAATGTTAGGTTTCTAGCATTTCTAACCTTCCATTTTCCTCTTCCCATTACTCCTGAGGCAACATCACCTCGTGGATGAAACCAAGAGCTATAAAATCAGAGAGACTTGACTTTGCTTCTTACTGGCTATGTAGTTTGGGGAAAGATACTTAGTCTTCCAGGGCTTCTATTTCCGCATCTGTAGAATAAGGAGACTAACACTTCCTTTTGAGATGCCACGAGATCAAACAAAATAATGCGAATGAAAAAACTTAACAACAAGCCCAGTCAGTGTGCTTAGTAAATGAGAGCAGTTGCTAGTAAACCTGTGTTGCAGTTACATGGGTCTTATTTTTCCATTTTATAGATGGTGAAAGTGAGGCCCAGAGGAAGCTCAGTGGCTTGCCCAAGGGAGCACAGCTTGCTGCCCACAGGAGTGATGTGGGGTGCAAAGGTGGGTACACCTAAAATTCAGGAGCCCAGGCTGCAGTACTGGCTTTCGCCTTCTCATTGAAAACATCATTTCCCTATTCTCCGCCTCAAAATCTCACTCTGTAAAGAGAATGTGAGTCCCCACCCTGCTCATGTCATGGGTCTCTCCTGAGACATGGGAAAACATGCTGCAGCGTTTCCCATGGGTGGGGGAGGGATTGGCATGTCTGAGCTGAGGCTAAGCCCATCCTCTGCCTCCCCACCCTCTGCTTCTCCAGCCTGAACCTCCTCAAGAACCTTCAGGAGCCCCCTCCCAGTGCCTTGAAGGGAGCGCCCTGCAATTTGCTGAGTCAGGGAGGCTCATGAGTCATTGAATTTGGTGATGGAAATGTGGCTGGCTCTTCCCCGATGCCAGTAATGGTCACCATCCTCATCCCTACTACTGCTGGAGTGCCTACTCTGTGTCAGGGCCCTTGACTTACATGATGAGCAATCCTCACAATCAGCTGGTAGCATTCTCACAGCCTTGTGTTATGCATGAGAATACTGAAGAGAGGCCCAATAACTGGCCAAAGGATGTGCAGCTAATACAAGCAAAGCTTGGAGCCAGGTTTTCTTGACTGTAAATTCTTTGTTCTTCCCTGTGCACCATGCTTATGTGGGTTTGTAGCGAGAAACAGATATTCTACTGAAAGTGTTTTTTTTGTTTTTTTGTTTTTTGACATAGAATCTCACTGTCACCCAGGTTGGAGTGCAGTGTCACAGTCATGGCTCACTGCAGCCTTGACCTCCTGGGCATAAGCACTTCTCCTACCTCAGCCACCCAAGTAGCTGGGACTACAGGCACATGCCACAACACCCAGCTATTTTTTTTAAGAATGTTTTTGGAGAGACAGGGTCTCACTGTGTTGCCCAAGTTGGTCCTAAACTCCTGAGCTCAAGCAACCCTTCCGTCTTAGCCTCCCAAAGTGCTCGGATTGCAGGTGTGAGCCACCGCACCTGGACTGAAGGTGCTATTATATAGGAGAGAATAGGTAGAACACTCTGTATACACTGTGGAATCTCAGCCCGGTGGGGGAGACTGCAAAAATGGCTGCAGCAAGGTCTCCCATCCTATATAGATGCCCCTCTGCAACATGACTCTACCAGTCCTCTCACTGAGAGATGGAGTCTACTTCTCCACCTCTGTGAATGTGGGCTATCCTTGGGCTTGCCTTGACCAATAGAATGAGGTGGAAGTGATATAGTGTAACTTCCAAGTCCAGGCCTCACCTTCGTGAAATGTGGCATCCAAGTGTAAAAGAGCCCAGGCTGGCCACTCAAGAGATGAATATTCACATCAACGGAAAGGCCCAGCCAACAGCCAGAATCAACTCTTGGCTTGTGGGTGAAGCCATCTAGGATCATCCAGCCCCTAGCCTATCTGCCAGGCCCCGAGTGAGGGCAGCAGAAGAAACCCCCTCCCTGCTACCCCTGCCCAGACTGCTGACCCACAGAATCATAAGCAAATACAGTGGCCATGGTTTTAAGCCGTTAAGTTTTGGTATGGGTATGGTGTGTGATTAGGTGATAGATAACAAATAAAGCGAGTGACTCAATTTCTCCCAGCCTTGGTTTCCTCATCTGTAATCTGGGAATCATGTATCAAGAATAAATGAGATGAAGCCTGCAAATCATGGAGCACTGAGCCTGGTACAGCATGAGCATCATCAGTGTTGAGGAAGTCAGTGCTGGTGCAGGCAGCTCTGGTTAGGGACACTGAGACAAAGGTCAGGAGGTGAGCCCTTTGTTGGGTGGGTGCTGGGGGCATGTTTGTGGAGGGCAGCCCTGGGACAAGACTGAGGTAGAACTTCTAGCCAGTCATCCTGGTGGTGCAGGGGTGGGCAAGCATCTGGCTAGAGTTGTCTCAGTTACAGGGACATTAGGCTGCCCCAAGTGTGGCAGGAAACTCTGGATAGGTTAGGGAGTGGTGGCTGAGCCATGCCAGTGCAACACCAAAATATCTCCAAGATCATGGAGACCTTGAGTTTCCATGGACAAGATGAGGGTCCAGGAACTAAGGAATTGTGGAGGCAGCATTTTCTCCCCAGGGTCTTTTGTTTGCTCATGTGTTTGTTTTTTGAGGTAGTCTCACTCTGTCTCCCAGGCTGGAGTGCAATGTCATAGTCATGGCTCACTGCAGCCTTGACCTCCCAAGCTCAAGCAATCCTCCCACCTCAGCCTCCTGAGTAGCTGGGGCTACAGTCACATACCACTGCACCCAGCTATTTTTTTTTTCTTTTGTAGAGACGGTGTCTCACTTTGTAGCCCAGGCTGGTCTCGAACTCCTGTCTTCATGCAATCCTCCTACCTCAGCCTCCCAAAGTGCTAGGATTACAGGTGTGAGCCACTGCACCTGGCCTCCACTGTCTGCTTTAAAGGTTAGTCCTGAACCTGCCTCATGCCTGCTGAATACCTTTCACCCACAGGAGGAAGTCTAGATGCCTTATCAGAGGCCCTACTGACTGCAGTCTGAGTCTCCGTGTGCCCAGCCTCATCTTCCACCACTCCCTCTTCACCCTCTTGTTCCCATGAACCTCCAGACTCACAGCTCCTGGGGGAACTGCATTCCCTCCCACCTCTTGGCCTTTGCTCAAGCTGTGCCTTCTTTCTTGAATACTCTTACCTACCCTTCCCCTACTTAACCTGGATAACCTTTGCTTGTCTTTAAAACCTCAGCTAAAATATCCCTTTCTCCAGAGAGCATCCTTGGTTCTCCAAGTCTGGATGTGTCTCTCCTCCTTGAGCCCCCATGGAACCCTATTCTTCCATGATCCCCGTCACCACAACTGCTCACTATGGGAAATGTGTGCTCTGGAAGGACAGGAGCAGAGTTTGCTTTGCTCACCTCTGTAACCTCATCACCTAAATGAGTGCCCAGCACACAGTGGGTGTTCATTAAATTCTCCTGTGTTAGTCCGTTCTCATGCTGCTATGAAGACATACCTGAGACAGGGTAATTTATAAAGGAAAGAGGTTTAATTGACTCATGGTTCCGCAGGGCTGGGGAGACCTCAGGAAACTTACAATCATGGCAGAAGGCAAAGGAGAAGCAGGCACCTTCTTCACAGGGCAGCAGGATGGAGTGAGTGCAAGCAGGGGAAATGCCAAATGCTTATAAAACCATAAGATCTCATGAGAGTCACTATCAGAAGAACAGCATGGGGGAAACTGCCCCATGATCCAATTACCTACACCTGGTCCCACCCTTGACACTTAGGGATTATGGGGATTATAACTCAAGATGAGATTTTGGGTGGGACACAGCAAAACTATATCACCTTCCTAGTGTGTAAATGATGAATTGATAAATGAATTGACTGGGTCTTTAGAGAAAAAAAATGACAACAACAACAAAAAATCAGAGGCTCAAAGAGGGTAAGAGACTTACCCCATATCACACAGAAGTTATGTCAGAATCAGGAAAAGGGCTTGCCTTGATGGAATGAGGCCCACTTTCCCAGATGGCAGGGAGGCACCCCAGCTGATGGAGGGAGGAGCCCTTTTGATACTGAGTGTGGCCAATCAGGACATGTCTGAGTTTCCTAGGGGATGGAGTTCTCCAGGTGAAATGGCATGCCTCTCAGGAGGCTGTGAACCCTGGGGTGGGGTGGGATGGCCTGCAAGGGACCTTCCCAATCTGTGACTCTCCTGGCTAGGGGATCCCCATTGAGTCTGGGGACTCAGTGACAACCTTGGGAAGTACCAGGAGAAGCAATGTGTTGGGTAGAATTACTAATTGCTGTATCAAACTCCAATATGGTACTGACTTAACATAAAATAGAAGTTTATAATTTAGTCACTCAACTGTCTAAGGAAGGAGTTTCTGGTCAGCTGCTGGCTTTCTTCCATGTGGTGAGTCAAGCATCCAGGTTTCTCCCATGTGTGGCCCAATCAACTCCTAGGACTTCAGAGTCCTCTGCTCCAAGCTGGTGGAGGGAACGATGCAGTGAAAAACTCACACTGGCTTTTCAAAAATCTGGACTTCAAAACTGACACACTTCACTTCTGTTCCCCTTCCATTTGTGGGAACTAGTCCTCTAGCCATACCTGGATGCAAGGGAGCCTGGGAAATGTAGTCTTTGTTTAGGCAGGATCAAGGCCACATTGATAAAGGGAGAGCATGCATTTTTGTTGGGCAAATGGAGTCTTGGGTCAGACTTAAGCTCTCCAATCTTCCTTTGCTTCATCTGTAAAATGAGGATAACAATATTATCTCAAAAGTTTCTTGGTACTCTTACTGAAATGGGATGAAAGATAAAATCCTTACCAAGTGCCAGGCACAGAAGAAATGCTTGTCATAAATTACCTTCCTAAACCGCTGTAATTTTTTTTTCTAGTAGAAATGAGATTTTTCTGAAGGTCATGGTCAGAGGACAGCTGGATCTTCTCAGTCCTCATTTGCCTCCTTTGCATTTTATGCCTTTTCCCCCCTTTCCTATCCCCTTTCTGCTTTTTCTTTCTTCCTCTCTCCCACCTTTAGGTCTAGTTATGTCTTAGGAGTCTCCTTGTTGCCTCCCAGAGCACATTCTTCCCCATCCCACCACCCAGGCTATAAATACGTAGATTAGCCACCGGTTGGGACTAGCCCTCCATTAGGAAGAGGAACAGAAATGTCACCAGGTAGCACTCCCTACCTTTGCAGCCATAAATTTCAAGCCAGGCAGCTCTTGACCTCAAGAGAACATATGCCCACAAAACCTGCCAGAGAGGGGTTGCTCCACCCCAGGACTTCCCAACTTGCCCAGAGAATGGGAACATTAACAGGTCTCCCATGAAAGGAAGTCAAAAACTCAAGTCAACGAAACTCCGAGTTAACAGATCTCTTTCTTGCAGTTCTTTGATTTTAGCATTGCCAATATGCTAAGGACCATCATACATCTCTCAGCGGGGCAAGGATCCATCAGTCCTCACTTCCCAAACTTGTTTGGCCATGAAACACTTCCTGTTGATCATCCTTTGGGTCTGTGAGTGATGGAATGCTCTTTGGAAACTGCAACTCAAAAACAAGCATCAAAAACTGGAGCTCGTGTTTAATTTTTTCTTTTTATTTTCTGAGATGGAGTTTCGCTCTTGTTGCCCAGGCTGGAGTGCAATGGCGCCATCTTGGCTCACCACAACTTCTGCCTCCCGGGTTCAAGTAATTCTCCTGCCTCAGCCTCTGTAGTACCTGGGATTGCAGGCATGCGCCACCATACCCGGCTAATTTTGTATTTGGTAGAGAGGGGTTTCTCCATGTTGGTCAGGCTGATCTCAAACTCCCGACCTCAGGGGATCTGCCTGCCTCGGCCTCCCAAACTGCTGGGATTACAGACGTGAGCCACTGCACCCAGCCTGGAGCTCGTGTTTATTTAGCTATGCAGGGCAGGCTGGCTAGAAACATTTAACTGTTAACTCATTATCTTTGTTTTTAAAACGAATTCCACCTCTTATTATACTGCTACTATCATTAGGCTTTGAAGGTGGCCTTTTGCAGATTCTATCATGTAATTTAAATATCAAGCCTAATTGGGTGGTGGCTTTTGTTCCCATGTTCTTGCTGCGGACGTTAAGTTCAGAGAGATTCAAGCATCTCTTCAAGGCCACACTGCAAGTAAGTAGTTAGGCTGAAACCTGGGAATGGTTGTGTTTTTCATCCATTCATTAAATATTTATTGAGTTCCTGTGATAGGCCAGGCATTCTGTACACCAAGAAACTAATCCATTTTGTTTATTTCTTTGTTTTAGACTCATTGGCTAGCTTATAAATATGTACAGACGTTTTTGGTTTAAACCAGTCGTTTTCACCTGGGATAATTTTGCCCCCCAGAGGACACTCATCAATGTCTGGAGACATTTTTGGTTGTCACAAATGGGAGGCTGCTATCAGCATCTAGTGGGTAGATGCCAGGGATGCTGTTAAACATACTATAATGCACAAAGACAGCCCTCACGACAAATAATTATCCTGCTCAAAATGTCAATAGCGATGAAGCTAAGAAACTCTTAGAGGGAAAACACCTTTAAAAACAATTACAAATGTAAAGGCCTGCAGGGGCCAGTTAGGTGCCATAAATGACTGGCCAATTAGACATGCCTAGCCCTGTCTAAAAGGGAGTAGCAGCTGCTTGGGTCCAGCTGATTGTTGCTACGTGGGACCTGTGACATGCTCCTAGGTGACCAGCTCTCCCCATTTTTCAAGCCAGAAATCCAAATTTTAATGTGAAAGTACTCATATTTTAAATGTTGGCAACTAATTTTTTAAATGCTGTGCCAGTCAAACAAAACACATCTGGAGGTGTGATGTAGACAGCAAGCCATAAGTTTGCAACC